>NC_000001.11:180457314-180760344 GCF_000001405.40 Homo sapiens | reverse complement strand
ATGTCATCTGCAAACAGCGACAATGTGACTTCCTCTTTTCCTAATTGAATACCCTTTATTTCCTTCTCCTGCCTGTTTGCCCTGGCCAGAACTTCCAACACTATGTTGAATAGGAGCGGTAAGAGAGGGTATCCCTGTCTTGTGCCAGTTTTCAAAGGGAATGCTTCCAGTTTTTGCCCATTCAGTATGATATTGGCTGTGGGTATGTCATAGATAGCTCTTATTATTTTGAGATACGTCCCATCAATACCTACTTTATTGAGCGTTTTTAGCATGAAGGGTTGCTGAATTTTGTCAAAGGCCTTTTCTGCATCTATTGAGATAATCATGTGATTTTTGTCTTTGGTTCTGTTTATATGCTGGATTACATTTATTGATTTGCGTATGTTGAACAGCCTTGCATCCCAGGGATGAAGCCCACTTGATCATGGTGGATAAGCTTTTTGATGTGCTGCTGGATTCGGTTTGTCAGTATTTTATTGAGGATTTTTGCATCAATGTTCATGAAGGATATTGGTCTAAATTCTCTTTTTTGGTTGTGTCTCTGCCAGGCTTTGGTATCAGGATGATGCTGGCCTCATAAAATGAGTTAGGGAGGATTCCCTCTTTTTCTATTGATTGGAATAGTTTCAGAAGGAATGGTACCAGCTCCTCCTTGTACCTCTGGTAGAACTCGGCTGTGAATCCATCTGGTCCTGGACTTTTTTTGGTTGGTAAGCTATTGATTATTGCCTCAATTTCAGAGCCTGTTATTGGTCTATTCAGAGATTCAACTTCTTCCTGGTTTAGTCTTGGGAGGGTGTATGTGTCGAGGAATTTATCCATTTCTTCTAGATTTTCTAGTTTATGTGCGTAGAGGTGTTTGTAGTATTCTCTGATGGTAGTTTGTATTTCTGTGGGATCGGTGGTGATATCCCCTTTATCATTTTTTATTGCGCCTATCTGATTCTTCTCTCTTTTCTTCTTTATTAGTCTTACTAGCGGTCTATCGATTTTGTTGATCTTTCAAAAAACCAGCTCCTGGATTCATTAATTTTTGAAGGGTTTTTTGTGTCTCTATTTCTTTCAGTTCTGCTCTGATTTTAGTTATTTCTTGCCTTCTGCTAGCTTTTGAATGTGTTTGCTCTTGCTTTTTTAGTTCTTTTTATTGTGATGTTAGGGTGTCAATTTTAGATCTTTCCTGCTTTCTCTTGTGGGCATTTAGTGCTATAAATTTCCTTCTACACACTGCTTTGAATGTGTCCCAGAGATTCTGGTATGTTGTGTCTTTGTTCTCATTGGTTTCAAAGAACATCTTTATTTCTGCCTTCATTTTGTTATGTACCCAGTAGTCATTCAGGAGCAGGTTGTTCAGTTTCCATGTAGTTGAGCAGTTTTGAGTGAGTTTCTTAGTCCTGAGTTCTAGTTTGATTGCACTGTGGTCTGAGAGACAGTTTGTTATAATTTCTGTTCTTTTACATTTGCTGAGGAGTGCTTTACTTCCAACTACGTGGTCAATTTTGGAATAGGTGGGGTGTGGTGCTGAAAAAAGAAATGGAACGCTTCACGAATTTGCGTGTCATCCTCATGCTAATCTTCTCTGTATCGTTCCAATTTTAGTATATGTGCTGCCGAAGCGAGCACTACCTTTTTTCTTTGAGATGGAGTCTCGCTCTGTTGTCCAGGCTGGAGTGCAGTGGCGCCGTCTCAGCTCACTACAACCTCCGCCTCCTGGGTTCAGGCTATTCTCCTGCCTCAGCCTCCTGAGTAACTGGGATTACAGGCATGCGCCACCATGCCTGGCTAATTTTTGCATTTTTAGTAGAGATGGGGTTTCACCATGTTGACCAGGTTGGTCTTGAACTCCTGACCTCAAATGATCCACCCACCTCGGCCTCCCAAGTGCTGGGATTACAGGCATGAGCAACCATGGCTGGTCCATCTTTACCATTTTTAAGTGTATACTTCAGTGGTAATAAATACTTTTATATTATTTATTTTCCCTTCATATCCCCTCCTCCCCTTCCCCGTCTCTGGTAACCACAAATCTATTCCTTATTTTCATAAGATCTATTTTTTTAGCTCCCACATATGAATGAGAACATGCTATATTTATCTTTTTGTGCTTAGTTTATTTCACTTAACACAATGGCCTGCAGGTCCATCCATATTGCCGTAAAGGACAGGATTTCATTCTTTTTTAAATGTGGCTGAATAATGTGTGTGTGTGTGTGTGTGTGTGTGTGTGTGTATCCTTCTATATGTTCATATATATGTATACATATATCCTTCTATTTCTTTAGGACATGTATGGTGGTCATTCCAACACCATACTCTTCTGTAAGACATTTCACATTTAAACTACTATCCAGTTTCTCCAATAGCTGGGCTTTCTCTACTACATATCAACATCAACATAAAGGCTTCCTCTTTTTCTTATCACTATAACCCATAGGGGTATGTACAGGCTTTTTTTTTTTTTTTTTTTTTTTTTTTACATTTTCAACAATATCTTTATACCACAGAGCAGAGAATAAGCAAAAAGACAGTGAGGCCAGGGGTGGGGACTCACACCTGCAATCCCAGTGCTTTGGGAGGCAGAAGGATCGCTTGAGGCCAGAAGTTTTAGATCAGCCTGGGCAACACAGCAAGATTCTATCTCTACAAAAAAATTTGTAAAAATTATCCAGGCATGGTGGTGTGCACCTGTAGTCCTACCTACTCAAAAGGCTGAGGCGGAAGGCTCTCTTGAGCCCAGGAGTTTGAGGTTGTAGTGATGCAGTGAACCATGATTGGGCCACTGCACTCCAGCATGGACAAAGAGCAAGACCTTAACTCTTTAAAAAAAAAAAAAAAAAAGGCCTAGTAACTTTCCATCTTCTTTGAAAGCCATCAGTTGCTGTTCCAAACCAATAGCATTAGCTGCATCTTTAGTTTTTTTCTGATGTATTCAAAATCCACTGACATTCTTCATTTGTGAGATCTTTTAAAATCTAAAAAGTTGTTTCCAAATTTTTTA
Organism: Homo sapiens; assembly: GCF_000001405.40. Classification (NCBI taxonomy): domain Eukaryota; kingdom Metazoa; phylum Chordata; class Mammalia; order Primates; family Hominidae; genus Homo; species Homo sapiens. Next base: position 180,757,346 of record NC_000001.11, on the reverse strand, counting down.
TTGTAGAGGCAGAAGGATTTATGTGTGTATTTTTCAGGAGCAGCAACAACAACAAAATCCCGTTTCCAAATACCCATTTCCAAAGTGCTGTCTCCATTTAGTATACTTTTGAAAAACATACTTTCTTACTTATTGTTGAAATGTCACCCCTACTTTGAAAGATAGATTAAATTTTAGCTGATGCTAAAATACATATGGAAATGCAAGGAACCCAAAAGAGCCAAAATAATTTTGAAAAAGAAGAGTAAAGTTGATGAATTAATACTTCCTGATTTTAAAACTTACCATAAAGCTATAATATCATGATAGCATAGTACTGATGTAAGAATAAACATAGGTCAACGAAAAAGAATTGAGAGTCCAGAAATAAACTCTCACACTTGTGTTCAACTGATTTTCAACAAAGGTGACAAGATAATTCAATGTGAGAAAGACTAGTCTTTTCAACAAATGGTGGTGGGACAACTGAATATCATATGCAAAAGAATGAAGGGAGAGTCTTTCTATCATGTGCGAAAATTAATTCAAAATGGAGCAAAGACCTTCCTCTTTTTCCAGTATCGTTTTCATTACTAAGTATCACCCACAATGCTATCATTACATTGCTCTTAGAAAATAAAAATAAGAAAATCTTCATGACTGAAGATAAGACAAACCTCTCTTACATATGACATTAAAAGCACAATGAATGAAAGAAAAATGAGATAAATTAGACTTTATCAAAATTTATAACTTTTGTTATTCAAAGGACACCATCAATAACATGAAAAGGTAAACATAGAATGGGAGAAAATATTTGCCAATACAACTGACGAAGGACTTGTATTTATAAGGAACTCTTATAATGCAATAATATAAAGACTACACAATTTTAAAATGGGCAGAGGATGTGAATAGACTTATCCCAAAGAAGAAATAAAAATGGCTAATAAGCATATGAAAATATGCTCAACAGCATTACCCAGACGATAAATGCAAATAAAAACTGCAATGAGATATCACGTCATATCCTCCAGGATGGCTATAATTTTAAAACTTAGAAAATGACAAGTGTGGCAATCTGAAACACAGCTTCAATCTTTCTTTGATTTTTTAACCTTTACACTTCAGAAGATTGCAAGACAGTTATTTTGTAAAATGCGCCTCAATTCAGGTTTGTCTGATGATTCCTCCTGATTGGATTTAAGTTATGCATCTTTGGCAGGAATATCACAGAAGTGATGCTCTATTCTTCACACTGCATTTAATCAGATGGCACATGACAGACTTGTTTGATTACTGGTGACTGTGATCTCTTGATTAAGGTGATGACTTAAGTGGGAGACATCTCCACTATAAATTAATTTGTTTTCCTCTTGTAATTAATAAGCACTTTGTGAGGAGGTACTCTGACCCTCTCCCAGCCCTGGAATCAGGAAGAGCTCCTGAGTACCTTCTTCAAGGAGCTCTGATTTGTTTTAATGAAGAGAGGTTCAGTCAGATCTACAAGGTGACATACATCTTCCTAAAGATCACTGCACTATGCAAAGTCATTCAATAAAACCACAGGGCTTATGAGAAAAGTGGGGTTAGAAGCACAAAACTACAAACCTTCATCAGGGCACATAAAAAAATAGGAACCTAATAAAAATGGTATCACAGTTTTATAAATGTTAAAGGTTAAGAAATACATAAATACCATAATAAACATGGCATTTTACTTTTGAAAAAGACCTGAAGTTTGCTTGTGGAAGTGGGTGTCAGAAGGGTTTTAGTTTATGGATTATTGTGAAGTAGTGCAGAGGGCTAGCTATATGAAATCAGGGAAAGTTTACACCAGTTGTAAATGAGTGTGACAAATAACACAAGCAGTAACTGAAGTAGCTGGTAGATGTGTGAGGTGTGCACATGTATGCATTTTGTGTATTTCTACACAGCTCGGTTCAGCTACATACAGTATCCTGAGTTCACCTAGTGTTTCTCAAACACAAAATCATGCAGAAATAAATGTAAAATTTACATTGTATTTCACCTGCTTCTTAACTTATTAACTGCACTGAAATAAACTCATGATGCAAAACAAATGTTACAGCAGAACTAATTATATTTAGAAACCAACAACTGGACACTGAGTGTGCTCACTGTTATTGGGATGTCGATTTCCAGGCCCTCTCAGTGGACAGAGCTAAGCATATGTGTATACATCGACACATGCTACATCTATCAATATATGTTGAAAACCAAGAGATTATAGTAATATCTCTTAGCCAATCTAACACCATTAGGGTTCATTCTAGTTTTCTCCTTCTCCATATCGGTAACTTCCTTCTCTAAAAGTTAGAAACCTGGTTCCCATTACTTTGAACATATTTCCTTATTCGATCAATTCTATGTGTGTAATATCCCATGGTTGCAGTGACCCACCCCCACCCATGCAGATATTATCCTCAAACCATTCAGGCTTAACACCATGTGCTCGGCTTTCGGACTAAATTATCACAGGGGAGTGAGGGGGACAAAAGACTTTTTAAAGAAAGGAAGACATGAAATTTTTTGAGAAAGGAGAAAACCTACTCTCACCACATATTTTAAAATACAAGAAAGGAGGCCGGGCCCGATGGCTCACACCTGTAATCCCAGTACTTTGGGAGGCTGAGGCAGGCAGATTGCTTGAGCCCAGGAGCTCAAGACCAGCCTGGGCAGCATGGCGAAACCCTGTCTCTACAAAAAAATACAAAAAGCAGCTGGGCATGGTGATGCGCACCTACAGTCCCAGATACTCGGGAAGCCTAGGTGGGCGGATTGATTGAGCCCAGGAGGTTGAGGATGCAGTGAGATGAGATCGCACCAGTATACTCCAGCCAGGGTGATACAGGGAGACCCTGTCTCAAAAAAAATAAAATAAAAACAAAAAATACAAGAAAGGAGAAGAGTACAGGACAAACTTGGGTTTCATATCATTCTGTATTAAATATTTTTCTATACTATAAATCCATTTAATCCTTTATAAAAAAACTTTTTATTGTGGAAAATTTCACATGTATATAAAACTAGAGGGGAAAGTATAATGAGTTCTCATATACCTATCAATTAAAAGGAATACAACAAATAAATTAGAGACAGAGAAAGAACCTAGTAGCCAGAATAGATAATAGTATAAGACATACTAGGATCTTGCTTTTAGGAAACTGACATTCTATCAGAAGTTAAGTAATTAAATAAATTGAGACACTTTCAAATAGTCATATGGCAATGAAGAAAATGAAACTAGGTGATATGATAGTTGAACAAGTGTCGAGAGAGTGACTTTAGAATCGGTAGTCAAAGAAAAACTTGGAGAAGGTGGCATTTGACCTGAGAGTTGAAAGATAAGGAGTCAGACTTGCAAAGATGTAAGAGCAGAAGGTACAGAAAATATAAAGGCTCTAAAGAATGATTGACATGTTTCAGGACAGATAGGTTTGAATGGTGGGAAATAGTACTATAAAACAACTATAAGAACAGCAGTTGTGAAAATAAAGTAAAAGTGCAATTTAAAACACATATTCACCAATTTGTTAACCACACAAATATATGTTTAGCAGTGTGCTAGGACTATAAGTAGAACACTTTTCCTTCTCTCAGCCAAAATACAATATACTATATAGATATATATCAAACTGACAGTTAATATGTCACATAATTGAGTAACTGAAATGAGTATTATAAAACTACTAAAAAAAGAGAAAATTAGTCTTCCCCTCAGCTTATTTATTAGTAATGCAACTAAAGTGATAGTTCTAACATTTTCAGCACTGCTTTTTTTTTTTTTTTAAAGACAGGGTCTGACTCTGTTGCCCAAGCTGGAGTACAGTGGCACGATCTCAGCTTACTGCAACCTCCGCCTCCTGGGCTCAAGCCATCCTCTCACTTTAGCCTCCCGAGTAGCTGGGACTACAGGCGCACCACCATGCCCAGCTAACTTTTGTCGAGATGGGGTTTTACCACGTTGCGCAGGCTGGTCTTGAACTTCCGAGTTCAAGCGATTCGCCAGCCCTGGCCTCCCAAACTGCTGGGATTACAGGAGTGTGCCACCATGCCCAGCCCACAGTGCCTCTTTAAAGATGATTGCCTTAACAAGTACTTTTCAATTGCTCTACTTTATTATTTGCTGAATTTCTACGACATGCTAGGTCCTTTGCTAGGAACTTGCATACAACAATCTTGAAATGTGAGTACTGCAATTATCATTTTGTAGTAAGCAAAGTTGGCTCAAAGTGATTGCCAACAGTTGACTAAGGGGCAGAATATGGATTCAAATTCAGATCATGCTGCCAACACAATGTTCTTTCTACATGATGTATGGCTAAACGATCTTCTGCTCTTATTTTTTAAATCATTAAGAGCAACTTTTAACTACTTGGTACTTCTGTAATGCACAATACTTCTATCAACTTCTAAGGCTTAATGTTTCAATATAAAATTACAGAATTATTTTTAAATTCTATTATCTAAAATCATTATCAATAACCTGACCTTTATTATTTTGAGCACTTTCAAAGAGTATAGGCCACAAGTGACAGGCCAGAAGATCTGTGTTTTGGAAATTCTTGTATTTCTAAAAATAATAACCAAATGTTCAATTTTACTGTACAACCAAAACATTCCAGAGGTACAGCTATGGAAGAGCATTCTTCCTCTGGGATCTATTAAATCAAAACATGATAATCCTTAGTTAAAATTATAGTTCATCAAGTCCCTTCACCCCAAACAAGATGTATGGCCACCGAAGAACAAAGGAAAAATTCCTAAAATCTCCAAAGAAACGTGGTAGGGAGACTTACATATAGAAAATAAAAATCAGGGAAGTTTCATATGCTGAAAATCAAACACATAAGCTAAGACTTTTGGTAAAAAGTTGTTACTGCTAAAGCTCTCAGAAAAGATACAGATAAAAATAGGGAGATACCAATACTGTCCAGTTTTATGGTAAACTTCCAAATCCAAATTTTCATATGCATAATTTTAACATCCATACTAAAATTATACCAGAGAATCAACTAATTTAACCACATAATATCAAAAAAAGAAAAGAATAAATAATCCTTTTTAAAATGTAGTTTTCTAAGTTAACAACTATCCTTTATTTTGTCACATTTCTTCTGTTTTTATAGCCAACATTCCTTTTCCATCCCATTGCATCTTCTGCCAGCCATGGTTAGCATCCCAGCCTGTGAGTGAGTGTCAATTCATGCCATAAATATTCAACTTTTACTTAGCTTCAATCATATTTTCACTCATACTATTTCCTTTCACATTTTCTAGCACTCTTGTGTTTCCACTACTAAGTGTCATAGATGATGATATCATTATATTGGTATTTTTTGTATTATAAGTTTCCAAGTTCATATCCCCAGACTTATGGGCGACACGTTTATTCCCCTTAGACATTAATTCTTCCTTTCTCCTTCCTCCTTGATGGAAACAATTTTCAATAGTCTATGTGAAAGATGAGCTCACTGTCCCTTTACATACTTAAAATTATAGACAAGCTTGTGAGATTTATTTCAATGATTATTGCCATCTGCTCTTTCTACTTGACAAGAGAGAGGTTCTACCACTGGAAATTAAAATATTGATTCATTTAAATTATTCTACTTCAGGCAGTGACCTGTATTTGATTTTCCAGTAAGTATGCACTGTGACAAGTATGGAAGAAGAAACAAAAATTTTAAATGCTATCAGTAGGTTTGAATTCCCTTTTATTGTGATTTTATTTATAAAACTAATGTTAATGCTCACCAAATGTGTTTACTGTAAAATATCTTGCTAAAATATTTGCCTTAAGTTTTTAAACAGTAGTAGATAAAAGATATGGCTTCAAAGAAGCTTGAAAGAGACTTCAATTTTCTGTAAAAATCAGAAACCCATATTTTCTAATAAATTCATTCCAACTATTATTTATTAGGTACTGATATAAAAAGCATGTTTGAATAACTGGCTTTATTAGAAAAACTGTAACAAAGAATTCCTCTATTATTAGGCAAGAAAATTTGGTCATGATGATCTCAAATTAAAGTTGTTAATGATTAGACAAAAGATACATAAATAAAATGCCTTGTAGTTTGTGGGTTGAAAAGTATAAAAAATATAAGGCATATTGATAGGAAAGGAAAACTGTAAAACTGTTTCTTCCTAGGCAATATAACATATTATGTAAAAAATTATCAGAAACCTACAAAAGCACTTCTAGAGTAAGTGAATTTAACTAGGTTTCAGGTTAAAGACAATATCCAAAACTCAACTGTATTTCTATAAACTAGCAATAAATGACTGCAAAATAAAATTTAAAACCATTACCATTGATGACAGCATTAATATATGAAATAAGGATAAATTTAGCAACATATGTGCAAGATCTGTATGTGGAAAACTAAAACTACATGGAAAACTAAAAATGTTGCTAAGACAAACTAAAGAAGACCTAAATAAATGCAGAAGTGTATCATGTTCGTGGACTAGAATTGTTGAATACTCAACAATGTTAATATGTCAATTTCTACAAAATAATCTATAGATTCAGTGCAATTACAATCAAAATCCCAGGAGACTGTTTTGCAAAAATTGACAAGTAGATTTAAAAATTTATATGGAAATTTAAGAAAAGTTAAAATAGTCAAACAATTTTGAAAATAAAAAAATCAAATTTATATTGTTTGATTTCAAGACTTACTATAAAGCTACAGTAATGAAGACAAATGTTGCACCTGCATAAAGATAAACCCTATGGAATAAGATAGAGAGCCAAGAAACAGACCTACACATGTATGGTCAATTGATTTTCTACAAAGGATTTCCTACAAAATGCTCATGATTTCCTACATAATTCAATTCTTCCTTAATATATTTGCAAACATGTTAGGGGAAAACACTATTACTCCATGCTATTCTTTTGGAAATAAACAGGACCAAAAACGTGTAAAGGCTTACTTTTCCCTGATTAGTAACATATTAAATCCACATGGAAAGGGATCTCCATGTTCCATTTCTTCAATGATCAGCAATTAGTTCTTCCCCTTTGGGAGCTGGAAAAAAATCAGCTATGCACTACAGAAATAAAGCTGCTCTTTCTTTTCTTTAAATAAAAAGAAAATGGGCCTGTGACTGTATCCAGTGTTGCAGTGCTTCTTATAAAATCATTTTCTTATTAACATGAGAAAGGAGAAAAAGGACAAAAAAGAATAAAAAGTTTCCAAATTAAAAGCAAAAATTAAATTACTTCAATTTCTTAAAAAATATCTTCAAGGAAATACTGACAAGTGCTATGATTCATAGTGTTTTCAATATTCAATAAACATCGTTATTCAAGGTTCTACTATCCCTCTTTGAAATATAATGAAGTATTGGTATTTTTAGATCTGACCCAGCATATTGAATTCAAAAGAAAACCATATTCCCTCAACCCTTCATTTGCCCTTTTAACTACGGTATGTTTTTAATACTGGTGAAAAGTGATAATATTAAAGCATAAAACAGACTTGAAGTTAAAGGTTGCTCTTCTTTCAACAACCCTGATTACGTTAAGCATGGCAGACATTTTGATTATGTTTGAAAAGGTCAAATGGGAGAAAAGGGGAAAGCAGTATTTAATGAATGCCTACTCTGTGCTAGATGTAGTAGTATGCTAATAAATGTTTAACCACCAGCTCCGTGTGTGTGTGTGTGTGTGTGTGTGTGTGTGTGTGTGTGATGTATATGTGTTTATTATAAATTTTACTGATATACAGGATGTACAGCACATAATTTACAAACTATAATAAAAATACAATACTCTTTTTTGTAACTTCATAGAGCCAGGTGAATCTTACAAAATGCTCATGATTTGGAAAACTCATAAGAAATCAACCTAAGGTTGCAACTAATGAATGAGTATAGGTCCAATCTGAATGTCTGATATTTTCGTTTACATTAAAAAAAGAAGAAAGTGAAACAACAAAGATATATATCATAACTTCACTTGTTCACTAATGACATAAGGAACTTCTCTGCTAAATTAGACAATAGTTTAGAACATGTCCTCAATGTTTTGTGCTATTCACAATAATAAGCAACAGACATAAAAAAATTTAAGTTTAATCTGCTTCATTGGCATTTTCTACATCAATTTCTTCCTTTTCTTCTATTTTTTTAGACAGGGTCTTCTTGCTGTGTTGCCTAGGCTGGAGTGCAGTGATGCAGTCATAGCTCACTGCAGACTCTCTCAGACTCAAAACAATCCTCCCACCTCAGCCTCTTGAGTAACTGGGACTAGAGGTGTGCGTCTCCACGCCTGGCTAATTTTTTAAAATTTTTAGTAGAGACAAGGTCTCGCTATATTACCCAGGCTGGTCTCAAACTCCTGAGCTCAAGTGATTCTCCTGCCTTGGACTCCCAAAGTGCTGGGATTATAGGCGTGAGCCACCTCGTCCAGTTTTGTTAATTTCTTAAATCTAGACAGTCAATAAAACAAATCAAACTGTGATTTGCATATTTGCCAATTTCCGTAATATACATACTACCACTGCAGATTTCAAGCTACCAATATGACATCACTGAATACAGAGTTGGGAAGAGATATGCAAGCAGCACATCTTTATACAGTATTTCACCATACAGATATAACAGACATAAATGGCCGAGCACGGTGGCTCATGCTGTAATCCCAGCACTTTGGGAGGCTGAGGTGGGTGGATCACCTGGGGTCAGGAGTTCTAGGCCAGCCTGACCAACATGGAGAAATCCCACATCTACTAAAAATACAAAATTAGCCGGGCGTGGTGGCGCATGCCTGTAATCCCAGCTACTCGGGAGGCTGAGGCAGGAGAATTGCTTGAACCCGGGAGGCAGAGGTTGCAGTGAGCTGAGATGGCGCCATTGCACTCCAGCCTGGTCAACAAGAGTGAAACTCCATCTCAAAAAAAAAAAAAAAAAAAAAAAAAAAAAAAAAAAGACATAAATAATAACACAGAGTAGCAAAATAATTAAGTGATGAGTTTTGAGCATTTATTGACTTTGCTTTTAATATAACCTATTTAATTATAAGCTTATATAATTCTTATTAATGGTTGTGTTTAACAATCAGCCGACAAGATTTCTGAAAATTTAACAATTGGCTCTTGTGAGCTGGTATAAGCCAGCTCCAATATACCACTGGCTAGACACCATAGAAATGTTTCACAGACAAGAGAATTAAAACTTAGCAATGATTTGTCCAAAAATCACACAGGTGGTAAATGGTAACACAGTGATTCAAGCTGGGGTATGGATGACTCTAAATGTGTATGGTACCTACCAGGTTATCAAAGATATAATTTATAGTAAACTTTTATAATATGATTCACATAAGATTTTCTTGTTTGTAAATGTTTAAGTGGAAAATCTGTTTTGTTTTGTTTTGTTTTGGTTGTTGTTCTTCTGATTTCAAAGAACAGACAATCACTTTAAATAAAAGGTTTGTTTCACAGACATAATGGTTTCAGTTGGTGAGCTGGGGTCCCCACCACAGAAACCTTGATAGAGGCATGCTTCATGGGAATTGGAAAGCCATGGCAATTGAGAAACTGACTGGCTTGCTTCGCTTTTATGGCTATAAAGCCTCTATTTTTCTTTGTACATATGTTCTGTTCACTCTGTACAGATATCTGTGCTGTCTCATTGCTTCTACCTTGTAGAGTTCAATTAAAATCAGATTAATTTTTCTGTATCATGTAATATTTAAATAGTAAAAAGCCTTCCCTATTAACTTATTTTTAAAAATCTTCACTATCTAAATTCCAATCAACTTATCATTATTCACTGAGAATCCATTAGGTGGGAAATAGTAAATACTAAATAAATAACGGATAATTTCTGTACTTAAGATCACTAAAAATCTAACAAGGCAAATTACAAACAAATAATAGACTCCTCTGCAAACTTTTAGTGACAAATAAGTACAAATAAACAATGTATTAGCAACTAAATGGATTAGAGGCTTGAAACAATAGGTGCCTCAAAATCAGTTTCCTTTTTTTCTCATGCCCTGAGCACCTTCTGAAAGCCAGTGAAGACTGATAAAAGATACAAGCTAGTTACAGGTAACTACAATAACCGTATGAAGCTAAATTGTTAAGATTACTAGTATTCTTTTTAAAAAATGTATACTTACGTCTAAGTTTTAGGATTCAGTCAATGAAACTGAATAACACTTAGCTTCTTTGGTCAAATCCACTAAATGGTTGTGAAAAAGTAGATGTTAAGAGGGGGAATATGTTAACCATTTCAAATATTAAGTAATTGTGTATTAATTACTAATGATTATGAACAAAAGACCACTATTTGACATTAAAAAATGATTATTAAATTTCAATTTGAAATATTAACCATAAAAATCACAAAGAGGATTTTAATGGTGCTGTACAAAATAAATATATTTTAAAGCCAGGTAGGTAGATGCGCATTTTATATACAAAACAACAAACTTTTAAGTAATTCCTGTACTCAGGTCCCCAACCCCCAAAAAAGATCTTTCAAAGGTTTATGAAGATTACCCAAGGGGATGTATTAATGAATGGCTGAGTTCTAGCAAGGTAATGATTTTTTGCTCATCTGTTTGGTTTTTGCTTGTTTAGGAATACAGCGGATAGTTTTTTAAATGTCCTATTAAAAATCAAGCAAAGTTTTAGTATGGAGATTTCTCAAAGAACGAAAAGTAGATCTACCATTCGATCCAGTAATCCCACTACTATGTATCTACCCAAAGGAAGTCATTATATCAAAAAAAAACCCCTATACAAATATGTTAATTGCAGCACAACTACAAAGATACGGAAGCAACCTAAGTGCCCATCAACTGGAGTGGATAAAGAAAATGTGGTATATATACACCATGGAATACTACTCAGCCATAAGAAAGAACAAAATAATGTTTTTTGCAGCAACTTGTTTGGAACTGGAGGCCATTATTCTAAGTGAAGTAACTCAGGAATGGAAAACCAAATACTGTATGTTCTCACTTGTAAGTGGAAGCTAAGCTATGGGTACTCAAAGGCATACAGAATGGTATAATGGACACCGAAGACTCAGAAGAGAGGAAGGTGGGGGAGGTGAGGGATAAAATACTACACACTGGGTAAAATGCACACTACTCAGGTGACAGGGATTTCTTAACATTCAGTGAGGAAACACTAAAATCTGAAACTTCACCACTATACAATGCATCCATGAAACCAAAACCCACTTGGTACACCTAAAGCTATTTAAATAAAAAAACATAGTAAAATAAAAGTATGGCAGAAAAAGAAAAAAAAGGAACAGATAGAGACTCCAGAAGGACATAGCCCTGCCTTGGTTTTACCTCTGTGAGATCCATTTTGGACTTCTGACCTCCAGAACTATGAGATGATAAATTTGTGTTGTTCTAAGCTAAAAACAAAACAAAACAAAAAGCAAGCAAAGTTTTGGTTCTGAATAAAGTGAAGTAAGTATATTCCACCTGTCTCTCCCAGTGAATTCATCCATAAAACCTAAACAAAATGTATGCAGCAACTATGTGAAGACTCTTAAGGTTTGGAGAAAAAGACAAGAATCAAAGTGCCACCAAACCAGCAGTCAGTTTACCATGTATTTTTCCTCTTCAGTATCTGCTGGCCTGTACTCAATGCTGCCCAAAACCAAGATATAGGCATCAGTGCAGACAGAGTTCCAAAAATCCTCTAAATCTGTCTTGAGGAGAAGGAAAGGGATTTCTTAACATTCACTGAGGAAACATCCCCCCCTTTTCTTCTTTTATCCATTCTCTTGCACCCAAACTCCCATGAAACCCTGTGGTAGTGGTGGCAGTGAGAACAGTAGTAACAGGGGCCTGGAAGAGCCTAAAACACTGAGGAAGAGAAACTTTCTTCTTACAGCAGCGAAGTAGTACTCCCCAGAGAGTGAAATTGACCCCCTACTGCATATTGCATGCTCACTCTCGTTCTCGGACTCTCTTGCTCACTCGTGCTCTCTCTCTTGCTGTCTCTCTCTGTCTCTCTCTCTTCCCCTCCCTCCCTCCTGTTCCACTGCTTAGCTTTGGATACAAGCAAAGTCATAGGAATTGCTCCGCAGAGCAGAATAAATAAAGCCCTAGTTATCTGACCAGAGAACAGAAAAGGGACACTTCAGAGAACTATCAAGGAGAATGCACAGAGAGAAAAGCTTGCATAATCGGATCTGAACCTAAGCAGCACACCACAGACTCTGAAAATTAAACTATGAATATACTGCTGTCCAGGCAACTGACACATATCTGGTCACATGTAGGCCATATCTGAATAGCATATCTTATAGGACATATATGAATAGCATATCAAAGGCTTTGAAAACAACACTAATATTGAAATCACAAATCACACAAGGTTAGTTAGAAATTGTGCCTAAACCAGCCGGGCATGGTGGCTCACACCTGTAATCCCTGCACTTTGGGAGGCCAAGGAAGGTGGATCATGAGGTCAGGAGATCGAGACCATCCTGGCTAACACGGTGAAACCCCGTCTCTACTAAAAATACAAAAAAACTAGCCAGGTGTGGTGGTATGTGCCTGTAATCCCAGCTACTCAAGAGGCTAAGGCTGGAGAAACACTTGAACCCGGGAGGCGGAGGCTGCAGTGAGCCGAGATCGTGCCATTGCACTCCAGCCTGGGCAACAGAGTGAGATTCTGTCTCAAAAAAAAAAAAAAGAAAGAAATTGTGCCTAAACCTGAACAAGTCACTCAACACTCTATACAGGATATAAGCAAGACCTTGAATCTTCTAACATAATATCCAAAATGCCCAAGATACAATCTAAAATTACCTGGCATACAAATAACCTGGAAAATCTCAACACATGGCAGAAGACAACAAATGCCAACTCCAAGATGACACAGATGTTGGAATTATGTAACAAAAACTATCATTAAAATGCTTCACCAAGGAAGGGCAAATATTCTTGAAAGGAATAGAAAGGAATGCTCTGGCACAAAAATATACGATCAAAAGAAGAATAAAAATAAATTCTAAATTAAAAAAAGTTCTAAATAAAAAAGTTAGAACTGAAAAATTTAACAAATAAAATAAAAACTCACCAAATGGGTCCAGCAAACAGAATAGAGATGACAGAGCAAAGAGTGAGTACACCTGAAGACAGATCAACAGAAATTATTCAATCTAAGCCACAGAGGAATAAATGATGGGGAGAGGAAGAGGGAGGATCTCAGTGACTTGAGGGACTGCAAAAAGTCTAACATTCATGTCAACCAAGTTCCCAAAGGAAAAGAAATAGAATGCAGTACATAAAAAATCTTAAGACATAATAGTTAAAAACATCCCAAATTTGGTGAAAGACATAAACCTACATATTCAAGAAGCTGAGTAAACTCCAAATGAGATAAATCCAAAGAAGTCCAAGGCCAGATGGATCATAATCAAACTGTAAAATACTAAAGACAAAATTAACTCTTGAAAGTAGCCAGAGAAAAACAACTCATTGCTTATTTTAACAACTGTGAAATTTTCATCAAAATGTCCAGACATGGAGGTAGATCAAAATTTTTAAAGTGCAACAAGAAAAGAACTGTCAGCCCAGAATACATATCCATTGAAAACATCCTTCAGGAATGAAGGTGAAATAAAGATAATCTCAGAGAAAGAAAATCTAAGAGAATTTGTAGCCAGTAGACTACTCTAAAAAAATTGTTAAAGGAATTTCTTTGGATAGCTGAGAAATAATAATCAGGAAACTCAAAACCTCATCAGGAATGAAGGAAAATCAACAGAAGCAGCAAATATCTGGGTATATATATATAATGAACTATTCTTCTTGAGTTCTATAAAATCTTTGTCAACTGAAAGCAAAAAGTATAATCTTGTCTAATGGAGTTTTCAATGTATGTGGATGTCAACATAAGACAATCACAGCTTAAGAGGAAAGGGAAAGAGACCTATTTGGTGTAAAGGGTTCTATGTTCTATACAAAATTGTAAAATATTAATCCTAAATAGACTGTTTAAAGTGAAGTATGTATATTATAATCCCTGAAGCAACCATTAAAAATAACTGTAGAAACAGATACAAGAAAAAATACAACTGATACATTAAAATACAAAAAATATTAAAATACTCCCCCCCCAAAAAAAAAAGGGAAAATGAACAGAAAACATATGGAAAAGCAAAAAAATAATAATAATAACAAAATGGTAGATCTAAATCCAAACATAACAATCATTACATTAAACATAAATGACCTATCTAAACATACCAATTAAAAGATGGACTGTCACAATGAGTTTTTTAAATGTCCAACTATATATGTTGCCTGCAAGAAACTCACTTCAAACATAATATAAAGTGAAGTTTAAAAGTAAAATGATGGAAAAAGATACACCATGCAAATACTAATCAAAAGGAAGATGAAACTATTAATATCAAAGTAAGCATCAAAGTAAACAAAATTACCAAGGATAGAGATATCACATCTCATAAAAGAGTCAATTCATCAAAAAAAATCATTACTTTGAAAGTGTGGATGCACCTACAACAGAGCTTCAAGATATATGAATCAAACACTGACAGAAATGAAAGGAGAAAGAGATAAATATACAATTATAGCTGGAGACTTCAACATAACTCTTAGTAATCAATAAAATGAATATAAGTAGACAGCAAATCAGCAAGAATATAGAAGAAGTGAACATCAATTAACCAAGTGGATGTAATTAACCTTTAAAGAAAATTTCAGGAACGCCACCAGAATATACATACTTATCCTTTTCAAAATGCACATGGAACTATGTACCAAGACAGACTATATCCTGGGTCATAAAATAAGCCTTACCAAATTTAAAAGAATTGAAATTATGCAAAGTATGTCCTCCTAAACTGTAACAAAATTAGAAATCAATAATGAAAGGATAATAGCAAATTCTCCAAACACATGGAAATTAAACAACACACTTCTATATAATCCATAAGTCAAAGAGGAATATCAAGGGAAATCAGAAAATATTTTGAATTAATAAAAATACAACCTATCAAAATTTGAGGGATACTGCTAAAACAGTGCTTACAGGGGAATTTATGATATAAAATGTTTATATGAGAAATCTCAAATCACTAATCTAAGCTTCCACTTTAAGAAAATAGAAAATGTAAACAAAATGAACCCAAAAGCAAATATTAGAAATAATAGAAATGACCAACATTGAAAACAAACCAAAAAAACCCCCTAATAATCAGTGAAATCAAAAGATGGCTCTTTAGAAAGAGTAATATAATTGATTTAAAAAAAACAAACAAAAAAACTCAAGCAAGACTGACAGAGAAAAAAGAAAAGACACAAATTACCAAAAATAAAAATGAAATAGGGAAGAACTACAGACATTGCAGACATTCAAGGATACTGAGAAAACTACAAACAACTCCATGTGCATACATTTGACAGCTTAGATAAAACAGATCAATTCCTCAAAAACCATACACTACCAAAATTCACCCAAAATGAAACAGATAACCTAAATAGTGTTGTAAGTATTAAATAAATTGAATCATTATTAAAAACCTTCCAAAATGGCCAGGCATGGTGGCTCACGCCTGTAATACCAACACTTTGGAAGGCTGAGGTGGGCAGATCACCTGAGGTCAGGAGTTTGAGACTAGCCTGGTTAACATGGTGAAATCCCATCTCTACTAAAAATACAAAAATTAGCTGGGCATGGTGGCGCATACCTGTAATCCCAGCTACTCAGGAGGCTGAGGGCAGGAGAATCACTTGAACCCAGGAGGCGGAGGTTGCAGTGAGTCAAGATTGTGCCACTGCACCCCAGCCGGGGTGATAGAGTGAGACTCTATCTAAAAAAACAAACAAAAAAACCTTCCAAAAAAGAAATCTTGGCTGGGTGTGGTGGCTCATGCCTGTAATCCTAGCCTTTTGGGAGGCCGAAGGGTGTGGATCACCCGAGATCAGGAGTTCGAGACCAGCCTGGCCAACATGGTGAAACCCCATCTCTACTAAAAATACAAAAAAATTAGCTCGGCGTGGTGGCAGGCATCTATAATCCCAGCTACTCGGGAGAATAAGGTAGGAGAATCACTAGAATCCTGGGGGCAGAGGTTGCAGTGAGCCGAGATTGTGCCACTGTGCTCCAGCCTGGGCGACAGAGTGAGACTCCGTCTCAAAAAAAAGCAGAAATCTCTAGACGCAGATAACTTCAAGGAGGGGATCAACCAACATTTAACAAAGTGATACCAACTCTATACAATCTCAGAAAATAGAAGGAGGTATTATAGATTGAATGTGTCACCCTAAAATTCATAAATACATTGACATCCTAACCCCCAATGTGATGGTATTAGGAGGTGGGCCTTTGGTGAACAATTAGGTAATGATGGCAGAGCCCTTTTGATCAAGATTAATGCCTTTATAAAAGAGACAGGAAGCTTCCATGCCCCTTTTACCATGTGAGGACACAGTGAGGAGACAGTCATCTAGGGGCCAGAAAGCAGGCCCTTCAGACATGGGAATCTGCTGATGCTTTGACCTAAGAATTCCCAGCCTCGAGTGCTAAGAGAAACAAATTTCCCTAACCTTAAATTTCTGTTGTTGATATGTGGCACAGTCTATGTGGCA
The DNA here is from genome assembly GCF_000001405.40 of Homo sapiens. NCBI lineage: Eukaryota > Metazoa > Chordata > Mammalia > Primates > Hominidae > Homo > Homo sapiens. The sequence continues at coordinate 180,740,728 of NC_000001.11, read as the reverse complement.
TTCTGTCATAGCAGTCCAAAAGGACTGAGATGGGAGAGAACACTTCCCAACTCATTTTAGGACGTCAATACTATCCTGACACCAAAATCAGACTAAGACAGAACAAAAAGGAAACTACAGACCAATATCCCTTATAAAGAGATGTAAAAATCATTGAGAAAATATTAGGTAACTGAATCCAACAATATGTAAAAAGAATAGCATACCACAACCTAGTGGGAGTAGATCTCAGGAATGCAAAACTAGCTTAATATTTGAAAATCAAAAAATGTAATCTAAATTACAGTGTAAAGAAAAAAAAAACATGGTCATATGATTTGACGCATAAAAAGCATGTGACAAAACTCCATGTCCATCAACAATAAAATCTCTCAGCAAACTAGAAATAGGAAAAAAGTTCCCCGACTTGATAAAAGGCATCTACGGCAGAGGGGAAAAAACCTGCAGCAAACATTATAACTAATGGTAAAGGCTAAGATGGGAACAAGGAGAAAGAATGGCTACTCTTCACACCTATTCAACATCACACTGAAAATCCTGGTCAGTGCAATAATATAAGACAAAGAAATAAAAGCATACAGTTTGAAAAGGAAGACATAAAACTGTAGACAAGATGACCGTGTAGACAATCCCAAGGAATTTATCAAAAACTCCTAGAAATAGTAGGTGAGTTTATCAGGGTCACAATATACAAGGTCAATATATTTAAAAAAAATTGGTCGGGCACGGTGGCTCACACCTGTAATCCCAGCACTTTGGAAGGCTGAGGTGGTCTTATCACTTGAGGTCAGGAGTTCCAGACCAGCCTGGCCAATATGGTGAAACCCCATCTCCATCAAAAGCGCCTATAGTCTCAGCTACTCAGGAGGCTAAGATGGGAGAATCGCTTGAATCTGGGAGGCAGAGGTTGCAGTGAGCCGAGATCATGCTACTGAACTCCAGCCTGGGAAACATAGTGAGACCCTGTCTGGAAAAAAAAATCAATCATAATTTTATACACTGGCAATGAACAACTGGGAAATTAAACAACATACCATTTACAACAGATTTTTTAAAAGGAAATAATTGGGTATAAATTTAACAAAACTTGTATAGGATCTGTATACGGAAAACTACAAATCACTGATAAAATTTATCAAAGAAGACCTAAATGGAGACACTTTCCATAATCATGTATTGGAAGCCAAAATGCAGTAAAGATGTCAATTCTCCCTAAATTGATCTACAGATTTAACACAGTTCTAATTGATATGCCAGAAATATTTTTTCATAGATATAGACAAACGGAGTCTAAATTTTATATTAGGCAAAATATAAAGGCAAAATAACTAGAATAACTGGATAAAAAGGCAAAAGCCAATAGAAAGACAAAAGAATGAAAATAGCCATAAAATTTTTGAAAAACAATAAAGTCAGAGAAATCACCCTAGACAATTTTAAGACATAATTAAGACAAAGTGGGCACTGTGGTATTTGGCAAAGGAACAGACATATAAACTAATGAAACAGAATAGACAGTCCAGAAATAGACCCAAACAAATACGGTAAATTGATTTTTGACAAAGGTGCACAGGCAATTCAAAGGAGAAGGGAGAGAGACTCTTTTTTAACAAATTATGTTATAACAACTGGATGTCCATATCTAAGAAAATGAACTGGTCTAAACCCCACACCTTTTACAAAAATTAACTCAAAATGGATGACAGAGCGAAATGAAAATTTAAAACTATAAAACTTTTAGAAGAAAACAAAGGAGAAAATCTTTGTGACCATAGGTTAGACAAAAAGATCTTAGGCATGACATCAAAATGAAAAAAAACTGATAAATTGAACTTAATCAAAACAAAAAAACTTGTGCTATGTGAAGGCCACTGTTAAAAGAATGAAAAAACTATAATCTACAGACTTGGACAAAATGTTTGCAAGTCACAAAATCAACAAAAGGACTTGTATCTAGAATATATAAGCACTCTCAAAACTCAAGAGTGAGAACACAGAAAAGCCAAATTTAAAAATGGACAAAAGACTGGGAAATACTAATGGCAAAGAAGCATATAAAAAGATGTTTAATACCATGAGCCCATAGAGAAATGCAAATTAAAACCATAGTGATGAAAATGTTGTAACCTTAAGATTGTGATGGTTACATAACTCTGAATATACTAAAACCACTAAACAACTGAACATTTTAAATGGGTAATTTTTATGTTAGGTGAATTAGACCTCAATAAAGATTCTAAAAAATTAAATATGCAATGAGATCCTATTTATACAAATATTAAGATAGCTAAAATAAAACATACTAACAGTATCAAATGATAAAGATACAGAGCAACTCCAACTCTTATGTTGCTGGTGGGAATGCAAAATGGTACAGCTACTCTGGAAAACAGTTTGGCAGTTTCTTGTAAAGTTATGGGCCAGGTGCAGCGGCTCACACCTGTAATCCTAGCACTTTGGGAGGCAAGGTGTGCAGATCACTTGAGTTCAGGAGTTTGAGACCAGCCTGGCCAACGTGGCCAAACTTCATCTCTACTAAAAATACAAAAATTAGTTGGGCGTGGTGGCGCATACCTGCAATCTCAGCTACTCGGGAGGCTGACGCAGGAGAATCACTTGAACCCAGGAGGAGGAGGTTGCAGTGAGCCAAGATCGTGCCACTGCGCTCCAGCCTGGGTGACAGAGCAAGACTCCATCTCAAAAAAATAAAAATAAATAAATAAAATAAAGTTATGTATTTACCAAATAACCCAGCAATCCCACTCCTTAGTATCTACAGAAATAAAAACTTAACTTTACACAAAAACCTGTACACAAATATTTGAAGCAGCTTCTTTTCATAATCACCAAAAACTGGAAACAACCCACATGTCCTACTGGATAAACAAATCATGGTATATCCATTATGCAACGGAATGCTACTCAGCAACAAAAAGGAATGAATTATTGACAAAAGCAACACCAGCATGAATCTCAGAGGGTTATGCTGTATGGAAAGAGAAAGTATCAAAACATTACATACTGTATTATTCTATTTATATGACATTCTCAAAATGTTAAAAATATAGTAATGACAAACAGATCAGCAGCTGGCGCGGGTTATGCATAGGAGGAGTGTATAACTACAAAGGAATAACTCAAGGAATGTTTTAGACTGATGGAACTCTTCTGTATCTTCATTGTGGTGCTGATTACATGGATTTACATCTGTGTTTAAATTCATAAAACTGTACAAGAAGTCAATTTCACTATATGTTAACTTAAAAAATTTACAATACCAATTTATATGATTACTATTTCAAGAGGCCATTTCCCAGCAAAGAGGAAAATAAAATAAAGAAGGGAAAATAGTATATCACGTTTTAGAAAATGTTATAATAGGTATACATAGCCTGAATTTTCCCCAGCCTTACCAACCTGTAGGTATTTCAATGATAACTCCAGTGTTTGCTACTTGTTGCCCTTACATAACGTAGGAAAACAGCCTATTCCATGGCAAGGGTGATGCCATCTTGAAGCAAAACTGCCATGATGACTAGTGTTTGACCCACCCCCTTCTACCCCTGCCACATACCAAGGTGTTCTGCAGTAAAGTCTTTAAACAAAGGCCTATAACATACATAACTCTCAAAAAGATGCTTATCTAAACTCCCCAGTAGTCACAAGTCTCGGCAAGAAAGTCTGAAGATAGGACCAGATGCATGTTTTACCTTAAAAGCTCACTCTACAAAGAATACTTTCCACAGGGCAGGTGTGAGTATCCACCATCTTGCGGCTGCTTGAGACATCGCTTCTTTTCCTAAGTCCCTATTAAGTATTTCTTTCCGAGAAACTGGACTTGTCAGCCTCTTTTTTCGGCCTGTCAGCTCCCTCAGCCTTGGGGGTAAATCTGCGTATACCTGCTCACTGTTGAACACATAATGTCTCATCTCTTTTTGGTCTCCACTCCTCACCCCAACCCCAACCCTAACCCCAGTTATTTACAGAAGGTCAAGATGTCTTACAAGTGTTTATGTGTTCTTCATTTCTTGTTCCTATTTTGTTGATGTCTCCTTATAAAGTCACTTAACACATTATTAAATGAAATACTGTATGTAAATCATTTAGCTCAGTGCCTGACATACAAACAGAATTTTGGCATTCTATCTTCTTTTGTGACATTAGAGAAACAAGCCCTAGACCATGGTGTGAAGACATCTTTATTCCAATCCAGGTATTCTACTAACAAACTACGGAATGCTGAGCAAATCATGACACTAAGTTCTCTGGGCTTCTATTATCTCATTTGTAAAACAATGTATCTGAAACTCTAATGTGCATCTATGAAGGTTTGCTAATGCTGACCTTCCAAAGCTGCAAACCCTTAAAAGAGTCCTTTAGTCCTCATAAGAGCCAAGCCAGGTTCCTGCAAAAATGAGGAGAATGTCCTCTCACTGTAATTATTTCAGGTAGCCCGAATATACCATGTTCTCAACGCTAGATCTTGGTACATGCTATTTCCTCAGCTTGAAAAACTTCCCCATCCTTCCCCCTAGTTAATTCAACCTTCAAGTATCAGCTAAAACATTAATGTCGTAAGGCAGTGTTTTCCGACCACCCCCATTATGTTACATTCCCATCATATTCTTCTATAGCACTCTATTTCTTCTTCACATTGCTTACATACTTCTAATTATGTATTTAAAATCAGAATGAGGTTATAGACTCCATGAGGACAGGGCTAGTATCTATTTTGTTCATTGCCATATCCCATATCCTGGTGTCTAGTATTCATAGATACTCATGACTGGTTGCTGAATGCCTTGAGGGGTAATGAACTCCAGAGATGGGAAAAGAAGGATATGTGACCATCCATCTCAGTAATAATATAAAAGAGATTCATGTAAAGGATGGGAACTGCAACTAGAAGACCGTCAACAAATAAAAATGATATTTTTACTATAACGTGGATTACAAATTGTCAAATAATTAGGATACGGTGGAAATTATAATGAAACTTGTGAACATAATTTATTCTTAACTATCTTATTTAGAAGTCTGTTTTACAAACTGTAGTGCTTCCGATTTGTTAAAAGCATTGATTATCATTAAATTGTAGATGAAGGGAATAGTTAATAGAGTTCAAGAGAATGTCAGATTGATCAGCTTTCACTATTTAATCAATAAATAAAATGTTAAATTTAATGATTGTACACAAATCAAATACTTCAAGTTGTGGTGTGACACAGTATTATTCACTAAAGGTACTTAAAACATTTTTGAAATAAAAATTCTGAAGAACACTTAATTAAAAACTTAAAGGATCAAGCTCAATCTTGTCTTCCCAATTGAATTAACAGATGTTGTCTGTTTTTGTTTGGAATACATGTCATTTCATGGAATTAATTATTTAGCTAATATTTTCTTTCTTATAAAATCTGGTGTTAATTGGAAATCTTTTTTTCTTCAGTCTAAACAAGTTAAACATCTAGCAAGAGCCATAATGGAATACTCAAATCTGTTTAAAACCATTTAAAGTCACTATTTGATTAGACAGTTTTCAAATAGACTTGGACTATTAAATACAGAACAGACACATTCTGTCTGACAATATGTATTTCTGAAACAAAGTGTGTTTCTGCACTTCAAAGGCATTATTGAAAAGAGCCACAATAAAAACATATTCAAGACCAATTCCTATGAGTAAGTCAAGAGAACTAATTTTTATTTCTGTGATTCCTCACTAGCTCACTCATTACAGATAAAGAATTCTACTAATTATGCACATCTGCCAAGATCGTATTTCCGAATGAGGTCATATTCTGGGTAACATAATGACATCCTTGCTGCTAAGGCAATGGTCCCTTTTCAGTACTTATTTTCTGAGACCTCCTCCACTGTATTTCACAATCCTGACCACTCATAGTTCTTGACACCCCACCCCACTCAAAACCCCATCTTCGTTTCCAAGATACCAATCTTCATGGTAGGTTCTTCCTACTAAAGTCTTTCACCTATACGATGAAGGTTTCAAAATCTTGTTCTCTAGCCAATTACTTACTGGGCTGATACGCCATACTGAAGATCTGCCACTTGCTGTCCCACATGTGAAATTGGCCCACTGTACCACACAGAAATGGCCCCTCCCAGTCTTGAAACTTGAGAAAGTTTCAAGTTACATTTGTCTTATCTGAGTTCCTTTCTCTGCAAACCAACTATCAGGCCTCTCAGATCAAGGAATTGAAACTTCTCAGATCATTGCATTTGAACAATAAGATGCCAGACCCCTCACCCATCATGATTGCCTAACCCACTGCCTGTTTGCTGTTGACCAATTCCTCTTCCTTACCCCTCACTAATTCCTGTTTTCCCACAAATGGTTACATTTCTTTTGCTATATAAACAAACTCCTAATTTTAGTTGGTCAGAGAGATGGATTTGAGACTGGTCTCCTATCATGGTTGCAGAACCTGATTAAAGCCTTCTTCCCTGCCAATACTCCTTTTTCAGTGGTTGGCTTTCTGTGCAGCAAGCAGCAGGCCCTAAACTGAACCCCCGGTGTTTTGGTAACACATGCACCTTAAACTTAACATGTCCAACACTAAATTCAGTAACCTGTAAGTATAATAGTTAGAAGCAAAGGCTCAGGAATAAAGACTGCCTGGGTTGAAATCCTGGCTCTGCCTCTTTCTTATTAAATATCTGACCCTGAAGAAGATACTCTAATCTTTTTTAACTGTTTCTCTCATCAGTAAAACCAAAATAATAATTATAACTGTCCTCAAAGGATTGTTACGAAAATTAAATAAAATTATGTACGTAAAGCATTTAGTGAAATGCCTGATGTACAGGAAGCACTAAAAATATCAGCTATTATTAACGTTATCATCATCTTCAACCTTCCCTCAAAAACATCTTTTTCTGGTTTTCTTAATTCAGTTGCCTTAACTGGCTATCAATTGCCTAAACTAGAAACTGGAAAGTTATCCTTGATTCCTTCCTATTACTTTTCTCCCAAATAAAATCCCGTCTTCCCGAGTTCCTTTAATAGTTCTTAAATCCACTGCTCTACATCTCTACCACCTCTACCTCAAAATAGGTTCCTTTTACTTCTTTCTAGATTATTAACACAGATACTGAACTGTCTTCCTTGTTTCCAGTTGAGCACTTCTTCTAATCTATTGCTGACAAACCCTTCCTTCATATCTCTTATCCCCTTTCTCAGTTAAAAGCTTCTAGCTCCATGCATATCTCCACCTAGTGCTTTTTACCCTCTGTATCTACCAAATATAGCACAATACTGACTGTATTTGTTGGATGAACAAGGAAACTCTGCAAATGTATAGTCAACTTGTAATTTGGAAAGAGCCAAAATGATACGGGAGTACTGGGAAGGGAAGAGCATGGCCCTTTTAAATGATATGGAAGCGGGGAAGGGAAGTGCTGGGTAGAGGAGGGCATGGTTCCCAGCTAGGGCTAGGAACAAAAATAGCCCCCACGGACATAGGGTAAGGACAGGCATTTTTGTTTTCCTGCCCAAATGTTGCATTTCCCAAGACCACCTTGGCCTGCCACGCCCCTATCCAGTGCCTATAGAAACCCCTAAGACCGTAGCAGGCAGACACACAGCCCGCTGGACACAGAAAGGAGCACATCAGTGAAGGAACACACAGGCGGCTGGACGTCGAGAGGAATGCACCGACATGCACCGGCACGCCGGTGGGCCACCAACAAGAAGAAGCAGAACGATGCAGAGGTTGGCTGTGGCAGGGAGATCACAGGCCGTTGAGCGGCCAGACACCAGGGGAAAACCTTCCCACTCCATCTCCCTTCTGGCTTTCCCCATCTGCTGAGGGCTACCTCCACTCAATCAAACCTTGTACTTATTCTCCAAGCCCAAGTGTGATCCGATTCTTCCTGTACACCAAGGTAAGAACTGGGATACAGAAAGACCTCTGTCCTTGCGACAAGGTAAAGGGTCTAATTGAGCTGGTAACACAAGCCGCCTATAGACATCAAAACTAAAAGAGCACATGGTAACACATGCCCACTGGGGCTTCACCTGTCGACATTTACCCCTAGACACTGCCATGGGGTCAGAGCCCCACAACGTGACCATCTGTACGCTCCCCTAGAAGTTTGAGCAGTGGGGCACTGAAGAAGTGAGCCACTCCCCCATTGCACACCCTGTGAGGGGGACACAGGAACTTTCCCCATTTCAAAAACAACATTTATTTGTCAAAAATCACACATCAATAGTTTCACACCAGTATTTCATGAAGATCTACTTCTGGAATATTCAATTAAAGGCCACCTTAAAATTATGAGAATATTATCTAATACAAAACAGTAATAAAAAATACATGAGCTTCTGAAAAATCTTACTAGGAGTTACGCATATTAAGATAAAAATAACCATGAGAAAATGTATCAAATTCATAGTAAAAGGGAAAATTTTAATCATCAAGACCCAGAAAGTTATTTTTACTTGATGTATTGAAAAAAATGTCTTACTTCAGAAAGCATTTTATTTTACTTCTTTTTTTTTTTTTTTTTTGAGATGGAGTCTCACTTTGTCACCCAGGCTAGAGTGCAGTGGCGCAATCTCAACTCACTGCAACCTCCGCCTCCAGAGTTCAAGCAATTCTCCTGCCTCAGGCTCCCGAGTAGCTGGGATTAGAGGCACACGTGACCACGCCTGGCTAATTTTTGTATTTTTAGTAGAGGCGGGGCTTTGCCCTGTTGGCCAGGCTGGTCTTGAACTCCTGACCTCAGGTGATCTGCCCACCTTGGTCTCCCAAAGTGCTGGGATTACAGGCATGAGCCACCACGCCCAGCCTAGAAAGGCATTTCAAAAGGCATTTTAAAAACCCGTAAAAGCTCTAGATCTGTGCTGTCCAATACAACAGCCACTAGCTACATGAATACCTGAAATGTGGCAGCCAGTTCAAATTGAGATGTGCTTTAAGAATTAAAAACACAGCAGATTTTGAAGACAGCATAAAAATGTAAACTATCTCATTGATAATTTTTATATTGATTATGTGTTAAAATGATCATACTTTGGATATGAGTTAAATAAAATAGTATTAAATTTAATTTCACCTTGCTTCTGAAACCAGCCCAATACTCCCACAGACTGTTCTTTTGGATGGACATAGAAATTAACCCTTCTGCTGTTAAAGCTTGACACTTGTATTTGTTTTATCTGAGTTCCTCAGGAAAGGACTTTCAGGTCTCTCAAAAAAAGGTATCAAAGAACTGAAACTCACCAGATCACAGCACCATAGGCCTCCTTGTCACTCCCTAGTTCTTGTTTTCTTACATATTGTTACATTTTTTCCCTGCTATATAAACCCCTTGTTTTAGTCAGTCAGGGAGATGGATTTGAGACTGAGCTTCCATCCCCTCGGCCGCAGCACCTGATTAAAGCCTTCTTCCTTAGCAATACTTTTATTAGTGATTAGCTTTCTGTGTGGCAAGCAGCAGGACCTAGACCAAACCTCTGGTGTTTCGGTAACACTTCTTTTTATTTTTAAAAGTCTACCTACAGAAAATTTTAAACTGCATATGTGGTTCACATTGTATTTCTATTGAATGGTGCAGATCGACACCAATAATTCTAAACTAGGCACTAGTAAAATGGTATATCATAACCACTTTAATTATCTGAATAACCTAATATATTAATACAATGTAACAAATTCTAGAGTAATGAATGAAGTGTTACAGATGCAGGGAACAGAGAATCACCTGAATACACAAAGATTCACCAAAGCAAGGATATTTGCAATGAATTTTTAAAGAAGAAAGTTTTTGATCCAGGAGGCCAAGGGAGGAGGATCGCTTGAGCCCAGGAGTTCAAGACCAGCCTAGGTAACACAGCAAGACCTCATCTCTACAAAAAATAAAAAAAAAAATTAGCTGGGCATGGTGGTGAACACTTATGGTCCTAGCTATGCAGGAGGCTGAGGGGGGAGGATCACTTGAGCATGGATGTCAAGGCTGCTGTGAGCTGTGATTGTGCCACTGCACTCCAGCCTAAGCAACGGAGTGAGACCCTATCTAAAAAACAAACAAAAAAAGAAATAACACAGTGGGGGAAAAATTTGCCAAAAGGAGAAGGGCTTAATACGCAAATGCAAGTAGCTGTGATAGAGCCTGGCTGCCAGACTCTGGCACATTCAGGAAATGGTGGAAACTTTAAGTATGGAATATAGGGGGAAAATTATTCATGTAAATCTTAACACCTCTTCTAAACAGTAAGCTTAATGGAGGCAGAATTTGTGTCATATATATTTCATGTGTAGAATACACAGTTTCAATAAATATTTGCTAATATACTGATAAACAAATTCATCATAAAGGTTTCTCTATAAATCCTTCTTTTGGAAAATGAAAGTCAAGAACTTGAAACTTAGAGGCATCCTATTACCTAACTTCAAACTATACAATGAGGCTACAGTAAACAAAACAGCATGGTACTGGTACAAAAGCAGACACAGAGATCAATGGAAGAGAATAGAGAGCCCAGAAATAAAGCTGCACACCTACACTCTCTGATCTTTGACAAAGTTGACAAAAACAAGCAATGGGGAAAGGATTCCCTATTCAATAAATGGTGCTAGGATAACTGGGTAGCCATACGCAGAAGACTGAAACTGGACTCCTTCCTAACACCATATATAAAATCAACTCAAGATGTATTGCAGACTTATATGTAAAACCTAAAACAATAAAACCCCTGGGAGATAACCTAGGAAATACCATTCTGGACATAGACCCCGGCAAAGATTTCATGCTGAAGGTGCCAAAAGCAATTGCAACAAAATCAAACACTGCCAAATGGGACTTAAACTAAGAGCTTCTGCACAGCAGAAGAAAATATAAACAGAGTAAATAACTTAGAGAATGGGAGAAAATATTTGCAAACTATGCATCCAACCAAAGTCTAATATCCAGAATCTATAAGGAACTTAAATTCACAAGCAAAAAACAAATAATCCCATTAAAAAGTGGGCAAAGGACATGAACAGACACTTTACAAAAGAAGATATACACATGGCCAACAAGTATATGAAAAAATACTCAACATTACCACTCATTAGAGAAATGCAAATGAAAACCACAATGAGATACCATCTCACACCAGTCAGCATGGCATTATTAAAAAGTCAAAAAATAAAAGATGCTGGCGAGGTTGAGGACAAAAGGGAACACATAAACTGCTGGTGGGAATGTAGATTAGTTCAACTATTGTGGAAAGTAGTTCAGTGTTTTCTTAAAGAACTTAAAACAGAACTACCATTTGACCCAGAACTATCATTCCCACTATTGGGAATGACCCAGAACTACCGTTGCCACTTAAAACAGAACTATCATTCTCACTATTGAGTATACACCCAAAGGAATATAAAATGTTTTACCATAAAGACAAATGCACACATATGTTAATCGCAGTACTATTCACAACAGCGAAGACAGGGAATCAACCTAAATGCCCATCAATGGTATACTGGATTTTAAAAATGTGATACATATAACACCATGGAATACTATCCAGCCATGAAAAGTAATGAGATCATGTCCTTTGCAGGAACATAGCTGGAGCTAGAGGCCATTATCCTAAGCAAACTAACACAGGAACAAAAAACCAAATACCTCATGTTCTCATTTATAAGCAGGAGCTAAACATTCAGCACACATGGACACAAAGAAAACAACAAACACTGGGGCCTACTTGAGGGTGGAGGGTGGCAGGAGAGTGGGGACCAAAAAACTGCTATCATATACTTTGCTTATTACCTGGCTGATGAAATAATCTGTACACTAAACCCCTATGACACATATCACAAGCCTGTACATGTATCTCTGAACCTAAACATTCCACAAAAAAAACCTGAAAATTAATTTAACAATTATTGTAATTCCTAATTTTGGCATTCCATGTTTCTAAGAAATTAGGGAAACAATGTGAAGTCTGATATGAGGCCATTTGTATTCGAATCCAGGTTTTGTTCTCACAAGCTTTGGAATACTGAGCAAGTCAACTAAGGTCTCTGAGCTTCCATTACCTCACCTGTAAAATAATGACATACAGCAATGCTTCTCAAACTCTAATGTGCATATATGACTTATCGAGTGATGCCTAAAGTTTTAGCAGCCTCTGGGAGCTTATTTGAAATACAGAATCTTAGGAACCACCTGAGAATTAGTTAATCGGAATATGCGCTTTAACAAGATCCAAGATGATACATCTGTCCAATTAAGTCTGAAAAGTACTGACTTTGAGGATAAATATCACCTATGATCTTGTTTCCGGCAGTTCCTCTAAGTAATTGCATTTTCCTTTCAAGTCTTTATAGCTGGCTGGTATCAGTTTGTGGTATCCTCTCTCACTGCCCACAGCTTGTAGCCCCATCAACATAGTTTTCATTACTACCCCCCCCCCCAGTTATAAACAACTCCTTTTTCTCACTACCGCCATATACCAGTGTTACTTTTTCATTCATATTTTCTGTCTCCAAGACTTTTTCCTAAATCATCCATATCTTTTAAAACACCTTAATTTTCTTTAAAATTGCTCCTGAATACATATTAAATGTAAATCCTTTTGCTTTACAGAAAGACTGGTGATATCAGAGGCGTGTGAACCAGAGCAACTCCATCTTGAATAAGGGCTGGGTAAAATGAGACTGAAACCTACTGGGCTGCATTCCCAGATGGTTAAGCATTCTAAGTCACAGGATAAGATAGGAGGTTGACACAAGATACTGGCATAAAGACCTTGCTGATAAAACAGGTTGCAGTAAAGAAGCCGACCAAAATCAAGATGACGATGAAAGTGACCTCTGGTCATCCTTACTGCTACACTCCCACCAGCACCATGACAGTTTACAAATGCCATAGAAACATCAAGAAGTTACCTTATCTGGTCTAAAAAAGAGGAGGCATGAATAATCCACCCCTTGTTTAGCACATAATCAAGAAATAACCATAAAAATGGGCAACCAGCAGCCCTTGAGTATGCTCTTGTCTATGGAGCAGCCATTCCTTCATTCCTTTACTTTCTTTCGTTTTTTGTTGGTTTGGTTGGTTGGTTTTTGAGATGGAGTTTCACTCTTGCCACCCAGGCTGCAGTGCAATGGTGCGATCTCGGCTCACTGCAACCTCTGCCTCCTGGGTTCAAGTGATTCTCCCGTCTCAGCCTCCCAAGTAGCTGGCATTACAGGCATCTGCCACCACGCCTGGCTAATTCTTGCATTTCTAGTAGAGGCAGGGTTTCACCATGTTGGCCAGGCTGGTCTCGAACTCCTGACCTCAGGTGATCTGCCCGCCTCGGCCTCCCAAAGTGCTGGATTACAAGCGTGACATTCCTTTATTATATTAATAAACTTGCTTTCACTTTGCTCTATGGACTTGCCTCACATTCTTTCTTGCGCAAGATCCAAGAACCTTCTCTTAAGGTCTGGATCAGGACCCCTTTCTGGTAACAGTTACAATATAACCGCTTCAGGCATCCTATATCCCACTTACATTGTATTATTTCTTGTTCTTCATCATATTAGAGATTAAAGCATACGGCCAAGCCAGGCGCGGTGGCTCACGCCTGTAATCCCAGCACTTTGGGAGGCTGAGGCAGGCAGATCACGAGGTCAGGAGATAGAGACCATGGTGAAACCCCGTCTCTACTAAAAACACAAAAAAATTAGCGGGGCGCAGTGGTGGGCGCCTGTAGTCCCAGCTACTCGGGAGGCTGAGGCAGGAGAACGGCGTGAACCCAGGAGGCGGAGCTTGCAGTGAGCCGACAACGCGCCACTGCACTCCAGCCTAGGCGCCAAAGCGAGACTCCATCTCAAAAAAAAAAAAAAGAAAGAAAACATACATTTAAAAATATTCACCTATCAACTTAAACAAAAATAAATCCATTACATGTTAACATAAATGACTCTATTTTACAAAAATAAGTATTCCCTCTACCTCCCTCCAAAATGGTGAGAAGAGTGGCATTATTTTACATTTGTACAAATCTCTCTGATGTCTGGGTTAATAGAAGCTGGATTCTCACATCTGCTTCTGCTAGCCTCTGGAAAACTCCACTTTATACATGTAAGAAAATGAGAGTGAAAAAGGCAAATAAAGTCTTAGTATTATTATGTAAACAGTTTTCAGTCTCAGGGACCCCAAGAGGGGTGAATGGATAACACTTTGATAACTGCTGGCTTATAAGAAACAGAACTGTGTCCGGAGTTTCCGCAGCTGGTTCCTTCCAGTGGGTTCTTGGTCTTGCTGACTCCAAGAATGAAGCCGCAGACCTTCGAAGTGAGTGTTACAGCTCTTAAAGGTGGTAGGGACCCAAAGAGTGAGCAGCAGCAAGATTTATTGTGAAGAGAGAAAGAACAAAGCTTCCACAGCATGGAAGGGGACCCAAGCAGGTTGCGCTGCTGGCTGGGGTGGCCAGCTTTTATTCCCTTATTTGTCCCCACCCACGTCCTGATGATTGGTCCATTTTACAAAGTGCTGACTGGTCCATTTTATAGAGTGCTGATTGGTGCATTTACAAACCTTTAGCTAGACACATAGCGCTGATTGGTGTTTTTTTACAGAGGGCTGATTCGTGCATTTACAATCCTTTAGCTAGACACAGAGCGCTGATTGGCGTGTTTACACTCCTCTAGCTAGACAGAAAAGTTCTCCAAGTCCCCACTCAACCCAGGAAGTCCAGCTGGCTTCACCTCTCAGAACCACTAACATTTGAGTACTTTATGCCAAGCATTATGCTAAACATTTAACATACATTATCTCATTTAATTCTCATAATAATTTGAAGTAGATACTATCAGGGCCATGTCATAGTTGAGGGCACTAAGGTTCAAAGAGTACAAAACTTGCTTAAGGGCACATAGCAATTAAGGAGTGGGGCCAGGATTTCAATCCAGGTTTTCTGACACTGAAGCCCACACTTGGAGCTACTTTGCAGTATCCCCTCTTAAAGCAAGAGATGCCAGGGGAAATTCAGATTTACTTACAACAAAAGTGTTAAAATGAGAGATAGTATATCTAGGTAAGTTCAATGAGACTTCGGTGAATTTGTTCTTATTCAGTAAAATCAGTTTAAGCAGTTACTATGTGTAGTCTTTTGCAAGAGAATGCAAAAATATGTTTCTCTTTAATTAGCTTATAATTCAGCTGAGGGAAGCAAAGCCAAACAGTGAAGGATAAAAAATAATTAAGTACAACAATACTAGAAAGGTTTGGAAGTCATAAAAGATTAATGGATAGAGATGGGGCTTTTTTATTCATGTCAGGGTGATAGTGCAATAGTGTTCACCTACCACTAAATCACTCCACATCCTTTTTTTCCCCCAAATTTTTACCCTTTACTCCCTGTCCCTATACTCTCTCAGTGTCCTTCATCAGGAAGATTAGTCAGATCTTCAAAAAAAATTCACACTATCTTACTGGTTCTCCAACTTTTGAGTCCTTAAAAATAACATTTAAAATGCACATTATTCCAGGATGTATCCACTAAAATGATGCTACAATAAATCTTGGGTATGGTTAAGATTTTTAACCAGAATCTCCAGATGCCTCACAGATTACCCTTTGAGAAAGGGAAGCCTCAGTATTGCTAACTTACACTTTGAATGTGTACGATACCTTTAGGGATCCTTACTCAGTACCACCTATAGACTTTGTTATTGTTTATAACCATGAATAAAGTTAAGGTCTGAAATGTTCAATCCTTGTTTCACCATGGAGGTTCATTCTATGCTATGGTATGAGTTTTATGGCGACGGGTTTGTGGAAACAAAAAATTGCAGCACTTCTTAGAATCAAAAATATATTCTCCATACCACCACATTTTAACTATGTTTCTGTTACCAATGATGTATACATCTTATAATATTTACAAATTAATATTAAATTGATAACTGAGGAAATATTAAAGCAGATATTACCTCTCAATACAATGACTTTTTCATTGACTGAAGGCATCTTTCTTGCTCAGCATATCAAGTGTTATTAGTTCTAGCTAAATAACGTTTATCTGGTCATTGTTGTGCTTCAATGAGTGGCAACACGTGGAAAAGAAACCATATATATTTAACTCCTTAAAATGAATTTGTTGTTTAATTATCAATTTCTTACTTAACATTTTGCCAACTTTAGCCCCTTACACCCACAAACCCTTACTTAACTTTATAGGCAGTTTACATTACGACTTTTCCAAGTCCCAGGCACTTTTGCCTCTGTAAGTCACTTCCTCCATTTAAAAATACTGTATATTAAAAATTATATTTTACAACTTCATTAATATGAAGACAAATATAATTCAGGCTGGATTCATTATTCATTACTATTATACTCATTTTTTCTCCTGTAAAAATTAATTAAAATTAAAGTGAATTTTATGGGCTGCTATAAATAGCATCGGCCCAAGGCACTGTGCTTACTGTGCTTAATGGGTAAGTTGGCCCTGCTTCAAGGCCCTGCTCAAAGGTCACCTCCTCTAGATATTCTTTGATATCCCAAACTCACCTCAAGTCAGTATGCCACCTTTTTATTCTGACAGCACTTGATTCTCTTTTCTTTTAGAACATGTGTCTCACATTAGATAAGTATTCTAATCTATTCTCTCCCCTATAGGACCATAGCTTACTCATTTTTTTGACTACCTTCTCATCTCCAGAAATTGGGATGTAATTCTGGTTTTTTATTAAACTAAGTATTAACATATTCAGAAGAGTATTTAATTTACTCTTCTCTCCATCTTTGTTTGCAAAAAGAAAGGTAAAAATATGAACTGTAAGAACAGAAAAGACTGAAAAGCACTAATGGTCATATACAACATCCAAAAAGAAAGGTTTTCAACCATGTGACACAATAATGAAACGGCCAAATATCTCAAGAGGCAAGCTAACTGCTTCTCCTGGTAAATGATGTATCTGGATGACCCTAGAATGAATTGTTAATTCAATATAATAAAAAATATGATGGAGAATTTTAAAATTAAGATGGCTCTGGATCACCAGGGCATAACAGATAAAGGACAGAGAGGAGGTTCCAGAAGAGTTGAAGACAGGTAAGGGAAGAGAAAAGGAAGAGACTATTTTATTATCAATATCTTTCTGAATGGGACTATATTATGTCATCTAGTCTCTAACCAGATGGGAAGCATTTTCTCAAGAGGCAGGGGCTCTCAAAAAGGAATAAAATGAAAGTAGTTCCTGCTATAAGGAAGAAAGCAGTTCTTTATGTAGAGTTTTACTAGAGAAAACTGCTAACATATATAGATTGACTGAAAGAATTTCATTTGATGCTTTGATTTGGTACCTTTTATGGCAAAAAAGGCCCTGGTATAATAATTGGAGTATATAACTTTGACGTTACCTACATAATTAATATAACAATAGTTGTAAATCTCAAAAATATGTGCACATGCTAAATTTCAGAAGTATTTTAAGTTGTAAAGTTTCTGTTATGCAGTATTGCTAATGGTTACTTTATAACTTTAATTTTTAAAATATAAAATGTAATATAGAAAGTTTCAGCAATGTATGAATGCTCCAATTTTCTACAGGGTTTGACTCCCTAGAACACTTCTATCAAACAAAGCCGAAACGGGGAGGACAGAGAGATATTTGTAAGTTGTATGCTCTGTAAGAAGATACAAAAATGGTCTTTAAAATTTTTCAATGACAAAGCTATGTGGTTTATCGGTAACCCCAAATCTCTGAAAAATTCCTAATATATAGTGGACACCTGCTGCATTAACATACAAAATTAAAGACGATGTTCTCTACTCACCCACATAATTATTTTGCTCTTTTAATTACAAAAAGTGATAAAATGAAATGCATTCATATTAAAGGTCTTGGGGGACAAATAATTCCACTGATCTGTGTAAACATACCACCTGTCCAAAACACACTAGTCTATAAATAATCATGCTCTTCCCAGTCCCCAAAATGGAAACATCATTTCAGAAGGAAAGCAAAGCAAGAGAGACAACTGTATCAAGCTAAAAAACAGCCTGAACTCTATTTTAAGACCAGTGTTTTGATGATCATTTAGTTTTCTTAGGCAAGATTTTTCAAAAGGACAGTCAAATCAAGGTTAATAACTATAAATTAACTTATCAGATAAAAACAAAACTGATAAAATAACATTTGTATTCAACTAAGTTTCATTATATGTCAGATCATTTTACACCACAGGCCAATATGAAATGCACAGTCTCATTTCTCAACTAATTTCTACAATTTCACTTAGTCTTGTCTTAAAATGAAAGTTCTAAATAAAATCAAAACATATAACTGAGTGTGTATGTTAATTTAAAGTAACATTTTAAGGGCCGGGCGCGGTGGCTCATGTCTGTAATCCCAGCACTTTGGGAGGCCAAGGCGGGTAGATCACGAGGTCAGGAGTTCAAGACCAGCCTGACCAAGATGGCGAAACCCTGTCACTACTAAAAATACAAAAATTAGCCGGGTGTGGTGGCGGGCTCCTGTAATCCCAGCTACTTGGGAGGCTCACTGCAGCCTTGACCTCCCAGGCTCAAGCCATCCTCCCATCTCAGCCTCTAGAGTAACTGGGAATACAGGCACACACCACCACACATGACTAATTTTTTTTTTCTATTTTTTGTAGACACGAAGTTTCACCACCTTGCCCAGGATGGTTTTCAACTCCTGAGCTCAAGCAATTCGCCAACCTCAGCCTCTCAAAGTGGTGGGATTACAGGCAGGAGCCACCAAGCCTGGCCTTACGTACATCTTTTGACTCTCCAAAAACTTAACTACTAATACCCTTCTGCTGACCAGAAGCCTTAGTAGTAACATAAACAGTCGATTAACACATATTTTGTATGTTTCATGTATTATATACTGTATTCTTACAATAAAATAAGCTAGAGAAAAGAAAGTCGTAAGAAAAATATATTTACTATTAATTAAGTGGAAGTGGTTACTATAAAAATCTTTATCCTCAATGACTTCACATTGAATATGCTGAGGAAAAGGAGGAAGAGTAAAATGGGAGGTTGGTCTTGCCATCTCAAGGGTGGCAGAGGTGAAAGGAAATCCAATATAAGTAGACCTGCACAGATCACATCTATGTTGCTCAAGGGTCAACTGTATAACAAAATGTAAATTTTAGAAAGACATGTTTTACATATAGTAGGACAATGACTTTCAAACCATGAACCACATAGCCAGGAGTAAAATGACGGTTTCAATCCTGGCTCAAATCCAAGGCAGGTACAATTTCTTTCTTCCCTTTTCTCAAAACTTACTTTAATATTTTATGTCAACTGACATTCCAGACCAATTAAGAACAACCACCTGAGTCAACCCACAGTCTGTCAAATCTAACACTCTCAGACTTGTTAGCTAAATGTCAACAAATGGCACCAAAAAGAAAAAATGATATGATAAATTTATTTAAAACACTAATATTCAACCTGGATTTCACCAATGTCAGTGTAAAATGGGAGAATTTCCTTCTAGATTTTTTTTTTTTTTTTGAGACAGAGTTTTGTTCTTGTCACCCAGGCTACAGTGCCATGGTGTAATCTCAGCTCACCGCAATCTCTGCCTCCGGGGTTCAAGCGATTCTCCTGCCTCAGCCTCCCAAGTGGCTGGAATTACCACGTCCCAGCCAATTTTTGTTTTTACTAGAGATGGGGTTTCACCATACTGGCCAGGCTAGTCTTGAACTCCAGATCTCAAGTGATCTGCCTGCTTCAGCCTCCCAAAGTGCTGGGATTACAGGCATGAGTCACCACGCCTGGCCTCCTTCTAAATTTGAATGACATTTAACCACAAAAGGCTCTCATTTTACCCTCTGATTCTTTTATACATACTGATATGGAGATATATATAAAGGCATGATAAGGGCACATAACTCTTGAATAGAAAGCATACACAAAATTTAATTTATTGGCTGGTACAACAAAAGGCAATAGTATTCTAAATCCATGGTTTCCAAACTTAAGCATGCATTCAAATCCCCTGAAGACCTCGTTAAAACACCGATAGCCAGGCCCCACCCCAGAAGTTTCTGATTTAGTAGATCTGGGGTGAGGTCCAAGAATTAGCATTTATAACAAGTACCCAGGTGATGCTGTTGGTCTAAGAACCACACTTTGAAAATCGCTACTCTAGTAATATATTAAATTATAATATTCATTTTTCATGCCATATAAAACCATATCTCTAATTCATCAATTTATAATTACTCTAATTCATCAATTTATAAATGCTGCTTTACATCAATGATTTTCAAATTTCTTTTACTGGATGACAGATAATTACCATGACCTATTTCCTCAAGTCTTTTATGTTGTATCTCTACCAAAAAAGCAAAACTTCCAAAAAGGCTAAAGAACTGTCACATTACCAACTGTTTTAAGACAATGGAATTTGAAAGTCTAGAAATTCTACCCTTTGTCAATATATTATTACATTTGCCATCCCTCATAATCAGGTTTATTCTCCAAGGCACTCTGCCTTGGTTTAATTATTTTTTATTTTTAATAATTACTGAAAGATAACCCAATGAACTTTATTACCACCTTCTTTTTTAAAAGCATCCCCTCTCCTATCTCGTAACACCACCCCCACGCCCCCGGCCCTGCTCCCTGCTTTTCTTCTTTCTGTCAGAACCACTTACCTTGTTGTAAACCATTCTAAATATTTTGGCTCTACTAATCCCCAAGAAAAAAAAATTAGAAAGATGCTAAAACACATCAATATTCATTAAATATCAAATTCAAACATTTTGGTCTACTAGACAGAGCCCTAACATACCCATCCAATCTTATCTTTCAGATATGTCAGATCCTGTTATAAGTCCAGTGTTTTATTTGCTCAAAAGAGAATACTTAAGAGCATCTAACTTAAAATGAGATGAAATGACTGAACAGTTTATGTAAGGTAGGATTATTATTTATCTAATCATTTTCTCTACATTACAGCTAATTTAAATGTGTGATTTTTTAAGATGCTCGCAACACAAAGAAGTGATAAAACGTTTAAAGTAACAGATAACCCAACTATCCTGATTTGATCATTACACATTGCATACATGTATCTAAATATCACTCTGTACCCCACAAATATGTACAATTATTAAGTATCAACTAAAAATAAAAGAAGGCGGAAAAAAGAAAATACCAAAGCCAGAAAGCAACAGAATAGCATCTTTAAATTGCTGCAAGAACAAAGGTCAACTTTTTATTGAAATTTCAAAACTAATAAAGCAAAAAGTACAGAGAATAATATTCTAAGCCCCAACATGTCCAATGCTCTGCTTCAACAATTATTAACATTTTGCCAATGTCATCAACTGATGCCAATATCATCAGTCACATTTTAATCCTAAGAAATAAAATTCTAAATATACTTCCAACTTTTTTCTTTATTGTTTCATAAATTTTTAAAATGCATTTTTATTTAATCATATTGGACTTTAAATAAATTACTGATAATCATTATGAAATTATCACATAAACATTTAACTAGTGTTTCCAGAATTAGAATCTCTGTTCTCAGGTTCAATAAATCTATGTCTGTACATTTCCTTGGTATTTATATATCCCAGGTTTTCTATGTATTTTACAAATGCAGATCATTCAAAATCTGTTCCAGGAAAACAAAGCGTTACCATTGAATGGTCAGAATTATGTTGTAAAATTAATTTGGAAAATACATTATAATCTAATTCACAAACTTTGCTGCACATTATCATGACCTGAAGAGCTTTAAAACATACAGATCCGGCTGGGTACAGTGGCTCATGCCTGTAATCCCAGCACTTTGGGAGGCCAAGGTGGGCGGATCATGAGGTCAGGAGATTGAGACCAGCCTGGCCAACATGGTGAAACCTCGTCTCTACTAAAAATACAAAAATTAGCCAGCTGTGGTGGTGGGCACCTGTAATCCCAGCTACTTGGGAGGCTGAGGCAGGAGAATCGCTTGAACCCCAGAGGCAGGGGTTGCGGTGAGCCGAGATTGCGCCACTGCACTCCAGCCTGGGAGACAGAGTGAGACTCTGTCTCAAAAAAAAAAAAAAAAATACAGATGCTCAAGTCCCAAGATTCTGATTTAGTCAGCTTAGGGTGCATGCAGTCTGTCCAAGATTTTTGTTTTTTAATGTTGCCCAGGTGATTCTAATGTGCAACCACAGTTATGAATCACTGATCTAGTCCTCTTCTTGCCAAATGCAAAAATTCTCCCTAATGTCCCTATGTGGTAGCTACATAACATTCAATTCCAAAATTTAATGACATCTCCAACAATTTTATTTGGGGGCAAATTTAACTACGTGAAAGTTCTAACAAGCGAAATTTGCCACTCCATACCCACTGGTCCAAATACTATTTTATGTGGTCACATAAAATGATTCTAATTTTTGTTCATTATCAGAGCTATGAAGTATCCCCTAAGTACTCTATGTTAAACTTTTCTTCAATCATTATCTTTACAACAATTTTCAAACCCATTCCCATGTATTGATGGCTCATTTCTAGAAAAGTTCAGTGACCTTTTAAAAACACAGCACCTATCATCAATACCCAATACTCCAGAAAAGGACAGTCTGATTAATGCTCTGCACAGTAGTACTACCACCTTTTTTTGCTGTATAAAACTTAATACATAGCATTAATGTTTTTTAAAGTTGTATCTTATTACTGGCTCATACCAAAGAAACAGCTAAACCCTTAGATTATATTAACTGTAATCATGCTACCATTCTTCTATCCTACAGATTTTTTTAAACTTCATATCTATTCAATTCTATTAAATGTAACTATTGGGTTGGTGCAAAAGTAATTGCGGTTTTTGCCATTACTTTCAATGACAAAAAACACAATTACTTTTGTACCAACCTAATAGTAGTGTGCTAGAAAATGTTTCCTGGGGTGGTGGGCAGGTTTGCCAATTTCTATAGTGTAAATACTCCTATCATGGCCAATTTCAAGCTACCAGCAGTGAACACAGGGTTGAGAAGAGATAAAGACAATTATCATAATCTTGTGTGAGACAGTTCCAGCGTGCCACTAAATTTAATTCATCATTCTTAGCCAGAAGTTTCCATCACAGACTCTAAAAACATATTTTGAAAATAATATTTCCCAATCCACACCCAAGATTCTGATGTAGGAGATATAGACTGGGATCTCGGTATTTGCATATTTTTAGCAATCCCCAGGTAGTTCTGAGGTACATGTTCAGAAAAAAAACACTTTTGGCTGCCACTAATCTGTCAATACTCTTTGGTTATAAGTTGTTCAATCAGCTCCAAATCCTCCTAACTATATTATCATTCATCTCGTATATTTTGGTCCTCCACAAGAACAGCATGACAGGTTTTAAAAAACAGTCTTCTTAAATTTTATGCCTATGACATTCTCCTATTCAATTAAGAGAACTAACTTCAAAAGAAAATTAGGGCTAGGCACAGTGGCTCATGCCTGTAATCCCAGCACTTTGGGAGGCCAAAGTGGGCGGATCACCTGAGGTCAGGAGTTCAAGACCAGCCTGACCAACATGGTGAAACACCTTCTCTACTAAAAATACAAAAATTAGCTGGGTATGGTGGCAGGCACCTGTAATCCCAGCTACTCGGGAGGCTGAGGCAGAAGAATCGCTTGAACCCAGGAGGCAGAGGTTGTAGTGAGCTGAGATTGTGCCATTGCACTCCAGCCTGGGTAACAAGAGTGAAACTCCATCTCCAAAAAAAGGAAAAAGAAAATTACGTGTGTTTGGCATGGCTTGCTTCTGTGAATCAATATGAGCTTCTAGAAGACGAGCAGATTACTGAATATTGAAAAATAATCCATTTAAGGAGGGTTCACTTCCAGGCAAGAAGGAGGACCTGGAGGCCAACTACCACCTACAAGTTAAACAAACAGAAAACTGAATAATATACCTAAGTCATTTGTTTCAAGGTAGCAAATAGCTGCTGAAAGAGCAAAAACTAGAGGTAAAAGACCTAATTCCAGAGGGGAAGAATCTTAAGAGAGGTGAACTTACTTTCTGAAGACACTTAGCCTAGAACATTACCAATTTGACAATCAGGTGTGAAGTTTAGAACCTGAAATTTATACCTGCAGAGGGCTGATGGTAAGAGCCAAAAATAAAGCAACAGAGATTTTAGCAGAGACAAAAGCTTATACTTTTAAAAACCAGAAAAGGCAGGATAAATTAAACCCAAAGAGCACAGAGCAAGGAAATAATAAAGAGTGGATATCAATAAAATACAAAATAGGTAAACAATAAAGAAAAGTGATGATACCAAAACAGGTTAGTTTGACAAGATCAGACAGGCTTGAAAATTAGACGGTAAATATTCTGAGGCCATGCAGTGGCTCATGTTTATAATCCTAGAACTCTGCAAGGCTGAGGCAGGAGGATCACCTGAGGCGAGGAGTTCAAGACCAGTCTGGGCAACATAGTGAGACCCATCACTACAAAAAGAAAAAAAAAACTAGCCAGGCATGGTGGCACCCACTTGTATCACTTGTGCCCAGTAGTTCGAGGCAGCGCCACTGAACTCCAGCCTGGGTGACAGAGTGAGACCCTGGCTCCAACAAACAAACAAAAAACCCCCCAAAACTCTGTAGCTGATATAGCCCAAAGTTTATCTGATACATGGATCTATCTATTATATGACATTCCACTCTAGGGATTGTCCACTCCCTTGATGGCTACCTCCAAGAATTGAGAGCCACATACATAGCTCAAGAAGCTTTCATTAAAACAACTTCTCAGCCGGGTACGGTGACTTACACCTGTAATCCCAGCACTTTGGGAGGCTGAGGTGGGCTGATCATCTGAGGTCGGAAGTTGGAGACCAGCGTGAGCAACACGGAGAAACCCCGTCTCTACTAAAAATACAAAAATTAGCTGGGTGTGGGGGCGCACACTTGTAATTCCAGCTACTCAGGAGGCTGAGGCAGGAGAATCGCTTCCGGGAGGCAGAGGTTGCAGTGAGCCAAGATCGCACCATTGCACTCCAGCCTGGGCAACAAGAGTGAAACTCTATCTCAAAAAAAAGAAAGAAAGATAAAGAAAAAAAAAACAACTTCTCTGTAACTCTTGATTGTTGATCATTGACCTTTTCCCATACAGATAATTTCAAGACCTCCTATAATCTTCTTCTGAACTATATTTTGATGACAAGATGGTTCAGTGGAAAGAATGCTGAAATGCCCTCCAGAAACTGAAAATCCAATCTTCAACACTGTCACCAATTATTTGTGTAACACTGGATAAACCAATAGACAGCTCCTGGCTTTGGTTTCCTATGATAAAAAATAAGGCAATCTCTAAGATCCTTATCCATTCTAAGATTCTATGAGTCCAAGATTCGTTATAGCATGGTCTGTCCACTTACAAATTTGCCTACTCTGGCCAACAGAATTCTAGTGTGTCTAAACCCAGCAGAGTGACGCTCATAAATAAATACAAGATTCCTGAGGTAGCCTATTCAGTAAAGAAGTGTGAGATAATTACCTTCCTTATTTCTGAACACTTTATTTACATTAATATTTTCATCAGATTAGATTATCTGGGGCTATATTACATTCAAACAACCATATACTTAGTAGTATCCAAACCAGGCACTTTGGATGCTACTGCCTACATTTAACCAATACTGCACTAAAAATCTTGTTCTCCCTTTTCCCATATTTTCCTAAATGATTTTTTGGTATTGAGCAGAGAATTTGAGATTTTTCTTAATTAGCCCACATCTTAATATATTTAGGCTACCATCTTAGCTTCTTGGATTCTAACATTCCAGAATATCAGCTATTCTTTCCAGCTAATAAACTAAATTGATTCTAAATAGCATACTACTGTATATCAGCATTCTCTTCAAAAACACTGATTAAAATTGCCAAACAACAGAAAAGGGTCGCAACAGAAATACATTTTCCACTTTAAAAAAAAAACTAGAAAAAGAGGAAATTAACTCAAAGAAAGAAGGAAGAAAATAGTAACAATCGAAGAGGAAATCAATTAAAAAGAAAACAGGGTCAGGTGTGGTGGTTCGCACCTGTAATCTGAGCACTTTGGACGGCCAAGGCAGGAGGACCCCTTGAGCCCAGGAGTTCAAGACCAGGCTGGGCAACATAGTGAGACCCTGTCTCTACAAAAAATGGAAGACTTAGCTGGGCATGGTGGCATGCGTCTGTAGCCCCAATTATTCAGGAGGCTGAGATGGGAGGAATGCTTGAGCCCAGGAGGTTGAGGTTACAGCGTGCTATGATTGTGCCACCGCACTCCAGCCTGGGCAACAAGATGAGACGAGACAGACAGACAGACAGACAGACGACAGAGAGAGAGAGAGAGAGAGAGAGAGAGAGAGAGAGAGAGAGAGAGAGAGAGAACAGGGAAAAAATATGAGAGAAAAATCAAGGAAATGACTAAGACAGTAAAATTGATAGATCTCTAACCAGACTGATAATGATGATGCTAGAGAAGGATGAGAAGGAGGAGGAAGGGAACGAAGACAACACAAATGGCCAATATCAGGAATGTGAGAGTTGACAAGGCTATAGCTTCTATCACTATGTAAAGGATAATAAGGAAATATTATAAATAACTTTAAGCCAATAAATTTGACAATTTTAATTAAATAGACAAATTCCTTGAAAGATACCAACTATCAAGAGTTCACTCAAGAAAAAACAATAACCTAAACAATCCTATTAAAATCTTCCCATGAAGAAAGTTCCAGGTCCAGATGACTTTATTAGTGGATTCTACCAAACAGTTAAAAAGAATAATACCAGATATATACAAACTCTTCCGCACTAATGAAAAGAATTCTTTCTTTTCATTAGTTTACCTCATTCTATGAGGTAAACATTACCCTGATACCAAAACAAGACAAAGACATTATAAGACTTCTAGAGAACAATATCCCATATAAATACAGATGTAAAAATTCTAATACAATTTTAGCAAATCTAATTCAACAACATATAAAAAGGATATGTAATGACCAAGTGGGGTTTCTCCTAGGAATGCAGGGTCAATTTAACATGTGAAAATCAATGTAATTCGCCACATTAACAAACTAAAAGAGAAAAGCTATATGATCATCTCAATAAATATGAAAAAAGCACCTAACAAAGTCCAATGTCTACTTACTCCTAATAAAAACTCTCAGCAAACAAGGGATGCCCACTCACACCACTTCTACCCAACATTGCATTAGAGATTCAGCCCAGCGTAACCAGGCAAGTAAAAGAAATAAAAAGGCACCCAGCTTGGAAAGGTAGAAGTAAAACTGTCTTCATTGGCAGATGACACTTGGTCTATATAGAAAATCTGATGGAATCTATTTTTAAAAAGCTACTGTAACTAAAAAGTGAGTTTAGCAAATTTGCACAAGATCAATATATAAAAATCTTTATATATATAGTACTTTTGCATAATAGCAATGAACAATTGGAAATTGAAATGGAAAGACAGTATCATTTGCAAGAGCATCAAAAAAAATTGAATACTTAGAAATAAATCTGATTAAAGATGTGGAAAACCCATATACTACAAAACACTGCTGAGAGAAATTAAAGAAGACCAAAGAGAAATATATACCTTACTCTCAGGTTGAAAGATTAAATATTAAGATGTCAACGTTTTCCCCAAATTTATCTAGAGATTCAATACAATCCCAATAAAAATCTTACCAGGCTTTTTTTTATAGAAACGGATAGAGTATTCCAAAATACATAAGAAAATGCAAAGGACCTAGAATAGACAAAACTACTTTGAAAAAAAAAAAAAAAGAACAAAGCTGGAATAAGAACAATGCTAATTGATTTCAAGACTATTACTAAAGCTATAGTAATCAAGAAATAGACCTACATATACATGAACAACTGATTTATTTTTTTATTTTTATTTATTTATTTATTTATTTTTGAGACAGAGTCTCATTCTGTTGCCCAGGCTGGAGTGCAGTGGCACAACCTCACCTCAATGCAACCTCCGCCTCCCAGGTTCAAGCGATTCTCCTGTCTCAGCCTCCCGAGTACCTGGCACTACAGGTGCACGCCACCACACCCAGCTGATTTTTGTATTTTTAGTAGAGATGGGGTTTTACCATATTGATCAGACTGGTCTTGAACTCCTCACTCAGGTGATCCACTGTCTCGGCCTCCCAAAGTGCTGGGATTACAGGCATGAGCCACCGTGCCCAGCATGACGTTTTGACAAATAAAATAGCCCCCTTAAACTATGGTTTCACTTTCCACAGTTTCGGTTACCATTGTCAACAGCTGTCTGAAAATATTAAATAGAAAATTCCAGAAATAAACAATTCATAGGGATTTTTTCATGTCATTCTGAATAGCACTGTGAAATCTCACACCTTCCTGCTCCATTTTGCCTGGGATGAGAATCATCCCTTCGTATAGGGAACAACACTAACACCCTTTAGTCACTTAGTAGCCATCTCAGTTATCAGGCTATCATGGTACTTCAGTGCTTGTGTTCAAGTAACACTTATTTTATTTAATGGCCACAAAGGGCAAGAGTAATGATGCTGACATACTGTTATAATTGTTATATTTTATTATTGTTAGTCTCTTATTGTGCCTAATTTAGAAATTAAACTTTATCATATGTATGTATAAATGTATAGAAAAATATTGTATATATAATTTGGTACCATCCACAGTTTTAGGCATCCACTGGGGGTCTTGGAATGCATCCCCAGCAGATAAGGGGCAACTACTGCATACAAAAGCAATACAGTGGAGACAGGATGGTCTTTTCAACAAATGGTGTTAGAACAACTGATATGTGTATATAAAAAATGAATTTTGTTCCACGCCTCACACCACATACAAAAAATTAACTCAAAATGGACACAGACCTAAATGTAAAACCTAAAACTACAGAGCTTTTAGATGCAAACAGAGGAGAAAATCTTTGTGACCTTGAATTAGGCAAAGAATTATAAGATTTGACCAAAAACATAATCCACAAAAGAACTGATAAATTGGACTACATCAAAATTTAAAAGCTCTACTTTTGAAAAATCTTTGCAAAATCTACATCTGATAAAGGTCTTGTATCTAAAATATAAAAAGAACTCTCCCCCCTCTCCCTCTCCCCCTCCCCACGGTCTCCCTCTGACGCCGAGCCCAAGCTGGACTGTACTGCCCCCATCTCTGCTCACTGCAACCTCCCTGCCTCATTCTCCTGCCTCAGCCTGCCGAGTGCCTGCAATTGCAGGCGCGCGCCGCGATGCCTGACTGGTTTTCGTATTTTTTTGGTGGAGACGGGGTTTCGCTGTGTTGGCCAGGCTGGTCTCCAGCTCCTAACCGCGAGTGATCTGCCAGCCTTGGCCTCCCGAGGTGCTGGGATTGCAGATGGAGTCTCGTTCACTCAGTGCTCAATGTTGCCCAGGCTGGAGTGCAGTGGCGTGATCTCGGCTGGCTACAACCTCCACCTCCCAGCCGCCTGCCTTGGCCTCCCAAAGTGCCGAGATTGCAGCCTCTGCCCGGCCGCCACCCTGTCTGGGAAGTGAGGAGCGTCTCTGCCTGGCCGCCCATCGTCTGAGATGTGGGGAGCGCCTCTGCCCCGCCGCCCCGTCTGGGATGTGAGGAGCGCCTCTGCCCAGCCACAACCCCGTCTGGGAGGTGAGGAGCGTCTCTGCCCGGCCGCCCCGTCTGAGAAGTGAGGAGCCCCTCCGCCCGGCAGCCACCCGTCTGAGAAGTGAGGAGCCCCTCCGCCCGGCAGCCACCCCGTCTGGGAAGTGAGGAGCCCCTCCGCCCAGCAGCCGCCCTGTCTGGGAAGTGAGGAGCGTCTCCGCCCGGCAGCCGCCCCGTCTGGGAGGTGGGGGGCAGCCCCCACCCGGCCAGCTGCCCCGTTCGGGAGGGAGGTGGGGGGCAGCCCCCGCCCAGCCAGCCGCCCCATCCGGGAGGTGGGGGGGCGCCTCTGCCCGGCCACCCCTTCTGGGAAGTGAGGAGACCCTCTGCCCAGCCGCCACCCCATCTGGGAGGTGTACCCAACAGCTCATTGAGAGCAGGCCATGATGACAATGGCGGTTTTGTCGAATAGTAAGGGGGGAAATGTGGGGAAAAGATAGAGAAATCAGATTGTTGCTGTGTCTGTGTAGAAAGAAGTGGACATAGGAGACTCCATTTTGTTCTGTACTAAGAAAAATTCTTCTGCCTTGGGATGCTGTTGATCTGTGACCTTACCCCCAACCCGGTGCTCTCTGAAACATGTGCTGTGTCCACTCAGGGTTAAAGGGATTAAGGGCGGCGCAATATGTGCTTTGTTAAACAGATGCTTGAAGGCAGCATGCTCGTTAAGAGTCATCACCACTCCCTAATCTCAAGTACCCAGGGACACAAACACTGCAGAAGGCCCCAGGGTCCTCTGCCTAGGAAAACCAGAGACCTTTGTTCACTTGTTTATCTGCTGACCTTCCCTACACTATTGTCCTATGACCCTGCCAAATCCCCCTCTGCGAGAAACACCCAAGAATGATCAATTAAAAAAAAAAAAAAAACTAAATTAAACAGGCCAGGTGTGGTGGCTCACACCTGTAATCCCAGCACTTTGGGAGGCGAAGACGGGGAGATCACAAGGTCAGGAGTTCGAGACCAGCCTGGCCAACATGGTGAAGCCCTGTCTCTACTAAAAATGCAAAAATTAGCCAGGTGCCTGTAGTACCAGCTACTAGGGAGGCTGAGGCAGGAGAATTGCTTGAACCTGGGAGGCAGAGGTTGCAGTGAGCTGAGATCACGCTATTGCACTCCAGCCTAGGTGACAGAGCAAAACTCCATCTCGAAAATAAAAATAAAAAAATTAAAAAAAAAAAAAACCCTCAAAACTCAAGAATAGGAGAAAAACAACCCAATTTTTCAAATAGGCAAAAGATTTGAACATTTTCCTAAAGAAGATATACCAACGGCAAATAAATAGGAAAAGTCTCAATATCGTTAGTCATTTGGAAAATGTAAATTAAAAACACAACGAGGTAACACCACATTCCTATTGTAATGACTAAAATTAAATAGATTGACAATACCAAGTATTGGTGAAGACATGGAAAAAAAATGAAACATTGACACATTCTAAGTGAACGTAAAATTGCACTGCTACTTTGGAATCTCAAAATAATTAGGTTGACTGAAAGAAGCCAGACAAACAAGAGTACATACTGTCTAAATACATATAAAACTTTAGAAAATGTAAACTGATCAACAGTGAAAGAAAGCCAATCAGTGTTTGACTGAGAAGGGATAGAGTGAGATGCGGTGGGAAGCAGAGATTACAAAAAGGTATGAGGAAACTCTTGGGGGTGATGGATATGTTCACTATCTTGAGTGTGGTTATGGTTTCGCCAGTGTATACAAATGTCATAACTTATCAAATTGCACACTTTAAATATATACAGTTTATTAAATGTCAATTATACTTCAAAAAAGCTGTTTAAAAAACACACTAACCAGGAGAGATAAAAGCTGCTTTTCTTTAAAACTTTACATGCTTATGGCCGGGCACGGCGGCTCATGCCTGTCTGTAATCCCAGCACTTTGGGAGGCCGAGGCGGGTGGATCACCTGAGGTCAGGAGTTTGAGACCAGCCTGGCCAACATGGTGAAACCCCATCTCTAGTAAAAATACAAAAATCAGCCGGGTGTGGTGGTGGGCGCCTGTAATCCCAGCTACTCAGGAGGCTGAGGCAGGAGAACTGCTTGAACCTGGGAGATGGAGGTTACAGTGAGCCAAGATCGTGCCACTGCACTCCAGCCTGGGCGACAGAGCGAGACTTGTCCCCGCCCCCGCCCCCCCCCCCCCAAAAAAAAAAAAAAACTTTACATGCTTATAAGACTACAGCTATCTGAAGATAAAGATTTAAAAATTATCTTTTAAAAATGCAAATTCGACATTTCATTTTGGGGAAAATTTTTGTTAAAAAACAATATTTAACTTTACAACATAAAAAATTAAACATTACCTTTATGAAAGAGTTTGAAATTTTTAGTTGCATGATATTTCAAATAAAACATTCAAAAAATATTTAAGGAAAGTCATATGCAGAGTCACGTTTTCCTGTTCTTTTGAATATTTAGGGCTAAAAATAGGAGTCAGTTATGCCAGGAATATAGGTTAAAAAAAAAAATCACCTTGCAATAAAATCTCCACTAAAAAATTTTAGAACTAAATCTTCCAGAAACGTAAATTTACTGATAAAATTTGTCCTGCCTTTTATTTATTGTGGTAAAATATATATAACATTAATTCTACCATTTTAACCAATATTAAGAGTACAATTCAATGGCATTAAGTACGTTCATAATGTTGTGCAACCATCATCACTATTATCTCCAAAATTTTCATCACCTCAAACACACATAGTAAGGAATTACAAAGTGTTTATTAAACAAAACAAAAACAGGAAATTGAACATACTTCTTTAGATGCAGTCTTGTAAATCACAGATGACATGAGAGTCAGATGCTACTATCCACAAAAACAGTAGGCAAAAACCACTGGCTACTGATTACATCCACCTGAAAATTCTGAAAACTCCTATTTGTAATAGATGTTCAATTAAACTTCCTTTTACTTATTAATCTAAAAACAGTATCACGCAGCTAATTAAAAATCATGTATCTATTTTTTCCAGTTTTTTCATATTGGCCGAATATTGTGCCTAAATAGTCTATTCAGCTTTTCTAAATTCATTTGACCTAATTGTTTTATTTAAATTTCCAACTAGGCGTTCTAAAAGACCTCAACAAGAAATGCTAATTAGAAATACTACTGCCATCATCCTCACATCACTACTTCAGCACCAATATCACTACCTCCAAAAAGACAAAAAGAAACAATGAGAAAAATTAGTAATGGATAATAAAGATCTCCACAACCATAATCAGGACCCTGAAAGGTCTCTTACTAAGAAATAAAAGTTAAAATATTTCTAAAATATTTTGCACAAAAGATTAGGATTTATGTTTACAACAAACAACACTTCTCTTCTACCAAGGTGTTTCCAATAAACATTCTGTAGGTTTTCTGGAGAGTTGCAGTAAAGACAAGAAAAAGAAAACTAAAATCAGGAAGCACAATCCTTCTAGGTTCACAACACAAAATCTATAAACAGGAACAGGGGAGAATTGGGTCTGCCTATATTCCACAGCCCTATTCAGATAGTGTTATGTAGGTACTTTAAAAAGGTAGAATCTCTCAAGTCCAAAGGACAGCAGGGACAGGTATAACTTGAAAAACAATTCCACTATTAAAATTAAACCACTGCACTTCATTCTATTTGTGTTCTCACTTATAAGTGGAAGCTAAATGATGAAAATACATAGATACATAGAGGGGAGCAACACACACTAGCCTATCGGAGGGTGGAGGGTAGGAGGGAGAGGATCAGGAAAAATAACTAATGGGTACTAGGCTTAATACCTGGTTGATGAAATAATCTATACAACAAATCCCCATGATTTAAACTTACCTATGTAACAAACCTATACATGTAAGTCTGAACTTAAAAGTTTTTTAAAAAATGATTTAAAAATCTATCCTGGTTTTCTCACCATGTAACTATTCTTCCAACTACTGTCAAGATAAAAATTCTATTCTGACCGTTATTTTTGTTGATTCTCCAAAATTAGAAATCTTAACTCTTAATACAAGTAAATATTTCTTTTTTAAAATACATATTTCTACAACTGATATTGACTGAAAAATTAGCTAGAAAAACATATGCCAAAATATTACTTTATAGAAAATACTGTTTTCAGCTTAAATAAATTCCATTTAAGAATGCTTCTGTAGGGCTGGCCATGGTGGTTCACGCCTGTAATCCCAACACTTTGGGATATCGAGGTGGGCAGATCACGAGGTCAGGAGTTCGAGACCAGCCTGGCCAACATGGTAAAATCCTGTCTCTACTAAAAATAAAAAATAAAAAAAAATAGCCAGGCATGGTGGCTTGCACCTGTAATCCCAGCTACTCAGGAGGCTGAGGCAGGAGAATTGCTTGAACTCGGAAGGCGGAGGTTGCAGTGAGCAGAGATCATGCCACTGCACTCCAGCCTGGGTGACAGTGCGAGACTCTGCCTCGGGGAAAAAAAAAAAAAGCTTCTGTGTCTTGATAGATGTAGATGTTGTACAACAGTGAATGTACTAAATGCAATCAAAATGGTTATTTTGTGTTATGTGAATTTTCACATGAAAAAGACAGTATTTCTATGCATATTCTGGGTCATACAGCTAATTGAAAATCATGCATCTATTTTTTCCAGTATTCCTGAAGAAGGGAGCATATGGCTCTAATTGTTGCTGACAGATACCTGGAGAACTCCAACATGGATAATGACACAGCTGTAAGAATCATTTTAAAAAGTAGAGCCGGAAACTCAATGGGACCATACCTGAAGCCTGCATTCCTTAGACTTAATCAGTTCAAGACAGCACAAAGCCTATATTTTTATGGATACTTCTGAATCAGAACAAGGAACCCACGAAGGTCTATAAATCCAGTCTGCATTAAACTAGTAACTCCAAATCTTAGAATACACTAGTCTACCAAATAAAGTCCAACTTTTTAAATTATTTAAGCTCCTTGGGAAGCTGGCTTTATCCATACAGCTAACTATTCTCCAGTGATAACCCTCCATGCTTCATTTTAAGTGTTCTACTAAATCTTCCCTGAATGTCTTAGAAATGTGCATTCTTTTGGTTTCGTCTTGTTGCTTCTCTGTGCTTAGAAGGCCCTCTCCTAAGGCTATCTAAATGTTAACCATGCTTCAAGATCCAGTTCAAATCCCTTTTTCTCCATTAGTCATTCTCTTACTACTACTTTTAGGAAGATTCTTTCATGGCCATTGCGAATAAACTGCTTCTGAGGATATCTACCTAATATATTGTGTTACTTTTGTATTGTTAAAAATTCTTCTTTGCTGTAAATTTATTAACCTAACTTTTTTTTGCCATGTCAAGAGTGAATCATATCATAGTTTTCCTTAAGTGGAAATTATAGTCTTATAGAAAGACGACATATTGTTTTGCTAACATGTTAGAGGATCCCATACAGAAAAAACAGGAACGTGAAAATAATAAATCTTACAATGTAAATTATCTTATTTTGATGTATCCTTTAAAATTAACTATCTCATTTTCTTGTTGTAATGGCCAAAAGATTCCTTTGTGAGGAACCTAATAAGAACATATTTTGGAACTGCACAGCAATTGTGGAACAAGAGAAAATTTGAAATGTATTTAATCACACTACATTTCCAACACTTTGTTTCAGAGTAAATATAGGCATCTCAACCTCAAATAAAATTCATGTGCATTAGGGTATTTGCAAAATTAACTGCATGGGATAATACACCAATATAAATTCAATTTCCTTTTCCAATTTCACTGATTGCACCTCTTACAGTAAACACATAGCTGGTCAATTTCTCATCAGGAAACACGAATTGGCACTCTGTTTCGAAGGTGACAAACAATCTTTCACCTTTCAACCTTCAATAAGAAAATGAAATTTTAATCAATACAGGTAGATCCCCCACCCCCAATACCCTAATCCCAAAAAGTTATGCTTGTGGTTGCCATGCCTAAGAGTATTACTTAATGCTTAAAATCATCGCAGTTTATCTTTTCAGCTACAGTAGACACATTTTGTCAAATCCAAAGTGTACTAAGACTTTAAGCTTTAAAGAATAAAGAATTTTATCCTAAAATATATATATACATTTATATTTATAAGAGTGTATATATGCATGCATTTCTGTTCCATGAAACAGAAAGCCTGAAACAGTGAATAACCCAGTAGCAATGATACTTCCAAAGCAGTGTCCAGTATGTGGTGTCTAAAAGGAAGTAAGATTCCATGATTATTACTTAAAAAAAAAAAAAAAAAAAAAAAAACAACCAACAGTCCCTGGAAAAATGGCTGATTGGAGGTCCCAGGCTGGAAATATATATGTCAAGTCTGGAAATTTTTGTAATATCAAATAGAAAAGAAGTTATAATAGGATACTAAGAGTCTATCAAAAGGAATGAGAAAACCAACTGAATAGGCTCCCACTGGCCAAAGATGAGAATTTAATCATTAATAGGGATAAAACTGCACTGTACCAAAATATACCAAATATATTGAAATATACAAATTGAATAAGACACTTAAAATGTTTCACTGGTCATCTTTGGAAAAATGTTACAGAATCAACATTATTTTGAAAAAGGTAAACAAAGGGAAATAATTAAGCATTTATGCTATCTTTCCTATACAATCTGTATGTAAGAATAACCAAATAATTGACAAAGGGAAGTTTCCCTTTATAGAAGAATTCTGGCTAATAAACACAGGAGCATTAGGATATCACCATTTTGTAAACCTTAATGAATTAAAAGATCTAGGGTTAGGCAATGATCACCAGTAGTAACAAAACAGATAATCTGATAATATATATATATATATATATATATATATATATCCAGCACCTATAGTGTTCTTGAGAAAAATACATACACACATTATATATAGTCAGAATAGAAACAAGCTTCTAGATTTAACTACAAATTTACTGTAAATAAAGAGAACAGAAACTATGCTAAGATGCACCACAGGAGTACAATCAGCAAAATCCAGACTCTGGGAGACAAAAACAAAAAACCTGAATAAGCCAGTTTCTTCCATCAAAAAATAACAACAACAATAATAAAATTGTAAAAAGACAAACCAAAAATTCAAGAAAAAAAAGAGATGCAGCAGAAACCTATAAATTAGCTCTAACAAACAGAATTTTCTGTAATAAGAGAAATAATCTGTACTGTCCAGTATGGTAGCCCCTAACCTCATATCGCTACTGAGTACTCGATATATGGGTAGGGCAACTAAGGACCAGATTAATTCATTTCAGTTTTAATCAATGTAAATAGCTACATATGGCTAGTGCCTTCTGTACCAAATGGTGTCATTACAAACCAATGAAAAATTAAGAGACCTACTAATCAATCACAATATATTGTATGATGAATCTTATTTGGGTCCCTATTCAAGCTAATAAATCTTAAAATACACATAAAACAATTAGGGGCCATGTAAAAAATCTGGGGGCATGAGGGTAGTCCTGCCCTTGTTCACCACTGCTGCCAGTAGCTGCGCCTGTCATCAGGATGACTGAGGACTGATCTGCCCTGCCTACCATTGGTGCATTATGTGCATAATCAGGGGCCTGAGAAGAGGTCTGCCCTGCTAACCATGGCCAACACCTGCGCACATCATCTGGGAGCCTAGGAACTGGGAAATACCCACCCAACTGATGCTGGCACCCGCATGCGTTATCCAGAGGCCTGCAGATAGGTCTGCTCTGCCCACTGCTGACATACATATATGATGTCTAGGAACTGAAGACAAGCCCACTCCACCCATCACCACCACTGCTTGAGTCTGAGCGTGCCAACTAGTGACCTGGGAATCAACCCACCCTGATCACTACTGCTGGCATCCACACATGCCATCCAGTGGCTTGGGGACATGTCCACCTTGCCCACCTTGCCCACTGCCACCACCACTGGTGCCCAAGGACTAGCTGGTCTAGTGTTTTCATCCCTAGCAAAGCCTCAAACAGCCTTCACTAAAAAACACAGTCTAAGCCAATGAGAAACTCATAGATACCACTGACACTAATTAAAGCTACATAAATAATTCAGAAACTACACTACTGCCCTACCCAGAATCAAAACCAAAGCAACCTACCCAATCAACACTACAGTTATGCCTACAGGAAAAAGTCTTTCTCTAAGAAAGTCAATCCATAAAATTGGAAGAAGTGACTGTTAAATCAGAGGTGCAGATATCAGCATAAGGATGCAAGAAACATGAAAAAGCAAGAAAATATGATATCTCCAAAGAAACACAAGTTCTCCAGTAAAAAGAAAAAAAATCCCAAAAAAGAGAAATTTATGAAATGCCTGAAAAACAATTCAAAATAATATTAAAGAAACTCAATGAGAACACAGATAAACAATATAAAGAAATCAGGAAAATAATTCATGATCGGAATGAGAAAGTCAACAAAAAGATACCATTTTTAAAAATCAAAAAAATCCTAGAACTGAAGTAGTCAATGAATGAAATAAAAGATACAATCGAGAGCTTCAACAACAGACTAGATCAAGCAGAAGAAAGAATTTCTGAACTTGAAGACAAGTCTTTTTAAATAACCCAGTCAGTACAAAAAAAAATAAAGAAAGAAAGAATTGAACTCAGCTCTGCACCAAGCAGACCTAATAGACATCTACAGAACTCTCCACCCCAAATCAACAGAATATACATTTTTTTCAGCACCACACCACACCTATTCCAAAATTGACCACATAGTTGGAAGTAAAGCTCTCCTCAGCAAATGTAAAAGAACAGAAATTATAACAAACTATCTCTCAGACCACAGTGCAATCAAACTAGAACTCAGGATTAAGAATCTCACTCAAAGCCGCTCAACTACATGGAAACTGAACAACCTGCTCCTGAATGACTACTGGGTACATAACGAAATGAAGGCAGAAATAAAGATGTTCTTTGAAACCAACGAGAACAAAGACACCACATACCAGAATCTCTGGGACGCATTCAAAGCAGCGTGTAGAGGGAAATTTATAGCACTAAATGCCTACAAGAGAAAGCAGGAAAGATCCAAAATTGACACCCTAACATCACAATTAAAAGAACTAGAAAAGCAAGAGCAAACACATTCAAAAGCTAGCAGAAGGCAAGAAATAACTAAAATCAGAGCAGAACTGAAGGAAATAGAGACACAAAAAACCCTTCAAAAAATCAATGAATCCAGGAGCTGGTTTTTTGAAAGGATCAACAAAATTGATAGACCGCTAGCAAGACTAATAAAGAAAAAAAGAGAGAAGAATCAAATACGAGGAGGAACTAGTACCATTCCTTCTGAAACTATTCCAATCGATAGAAAAAGAGGGAATCCTCCCTAACTCATTTTATGAGGCCAGCATCATTCTGATACCAAAGCCGGGCAGAGACACAACCAAAAAAGAGAATTTTAGACCAATATCCTTGATGAACATTGATGCAAAAATCCTCAATAAAATACTGGCAAAACAAATCCAGCAGCACATCAAAAAGCTTATCCACCATGATCAAGTGGGCTTCATCCCTGGGATGCAAGGCTGGTTCAATATACACAAATCAATAAATGTAATCCAGCATATAAACAGAGCCAAAGACAAAAACCACGTGATTATCTCAATAGATGCAGAAAAAGCCTTTGACAAAATTCAACAACCCTTCATGCTAAAAACTCTCAATAAATTAGGTATTGATGGGACGTATTTCAAAATAATAAGAGCTATCTATGACAAACCCACAGCCAATATCATTCTGAATGGGCAAAAACTGGAAGCATTCCCTTTGAAAACTGGCACAAGACAGGGATGCCCTCTCTCACCGCTCCTATTCAACATAGTGTTGGAAGTTCTGGCCAGGGCAATCAGGCAGGAGAAGGAAATAAAGGGTATTCAATTAGGAAAAGAGGAAGTCAAATTGTCCCTGTTTGCAGACGACATGATTGTTTATCTAGAAAACCCCATCGTCTCAGCCCAAAATCTCCTTAAGCTGATAAGCAACTT
This sequence comes from Homo sapiens, assembly GCF_000001405.40. Classification (NCBI taxonomy): domain Eukaryota; kingdom Metazoa; phylum Chordata; class Mammalia; order Primates; family Hominidae; genus Homo; species Homo sapiens. Next base: position 180,701,085 of record NC_000001.11, on the reverse strand, counting down.
CAGCAAAGTCTCAGGATACAAAATCAATGTACAAAAATCACAAGCATTCTTATACACCAACAACAGACAAACAGAGAGCCAAATCATGAGTGAACTCCCATTCACAACTGCTTCAAAGAGAATAAAATACCTAGGAATCCAACTTACAAGGGATGTGAAGGACCTCTTCAAGGAGAACTACAAACCACTGCTCAAGGAAATAAAAGAGGACACAAACAAATGGAAGAACATTCCATGCTCATGGGTAGGAAGAATCAATATCGTGAAAATGGCCATACTGCCCAAGGTAATTTACAGATTCAATGCCATCCCCATCAAGCTACCAATGACTTTCTTCACAGAATTGGAAAAAACTACTTTAAAGTTCATATGGAACCAAAAAAGAGCCCGCATCGCCAAGTCAATCCTAAGCCAAAAGAACAAAGCTGGAGGCATCACACTACCTGACTTCAAACTATACTACAAGGCTACAGTAACCAAAACAGCATGGTACTGGTACCAAAACAGAGATATAGATCAATGGAACAGAACAGAGCCCTCAGAAATAATGCCACATATCTACAACTATCTGATCTTTGACAAACCTGAGAAAAACAAGCAATGGGGAAAGGATTCCCTATTTAATAAATGGTGCTGGGAAAACTGGCTAGCCATATGTAGAAAGCTGAAACTGGATCCCTTCCTTACACCTTATACAAAAATCAATTCAAGATGGATTAAAGATTTAAACGTTAGACCTAAAACCATAAAAACCCTAGAAGAAAACCTAGGCATTACCATTCAGGACATAGGCGTGGGCAAGGACTTCATGTCCAAAACACCAAAAGCAATGGCAACAAAAGCCAAAATTGACAAATGGGATCTAATTAAACTCAAGAGCTTCTGCACAGCAAAAGAAACTACCATCAGAGTGAACAGGCAACCTACAACATGGGAGAAAATTTTCGCAACCTACTCATCTGACAAAGGGCTAATATCCAGAATCTACAATGAACTCAAACAAATTTACAAGAAAAAAACAAACAACCCCATCAAAAAGTGGGCGAAGGACATGAACAGACACTTCTCAAAAGAAGACATTTATGCAGCCAAAAAACACATGAAGAAATGCTCATCATCACTGGCCATCAGAGAAATGCAAATCAAAACCACTATGAGATATCATCTCACACCAGTTAGAATGGCAATCATTAAAAACTCAGGAAACAACAGGTGCTGGAGAGGATGTGGAGAAATAGGAACACTTTTACACTGTTGGTGGGACTGTAAACTAGTTCAACCATTGTGGAAGTCAGTGTGGCGATTCCTCAGGGATCTAGAACTAGAAATACCATTTGACCCAGCCATCCCATTACTGGGTATATACCCAAAGGACTATAAATCATGCTGCTCTAAAGACACATGCACACGTATGTTTACTGCGGCACTATTCACAATAGCAAAGACTTGGAACCAACCCAAATGTCCAACAATGATAGACTGGATTAAGAAAATGTGGCACATATACACCATGGAATACTATGCAGCCATAAAAAATGATGAGTTCATGTCCTTTGTAGGGACATGGATGAAATTGGAAACCATCATTCTCAGTAAACTATCGCAAGAACAAAAAACCAAACACCGCATATTCTCACTCATAGGTGGGAATTGAACAATGAGATCACTTGGACACAGGAAGGGGAATATCACACTCTGGGGACTGTGGTGGGGTCGGGGGAGGGGGGAGGGATAGCATTGGGAGATATACCTAATGCTAGATGACACGTTAGTGGGTGCAGCGCACCAGCATGGCACATGTATACATATGTAACTAACCTGCACAATGTGCACATGTACCCTAAAACTTAGAGTATAATAAAAAAAAAAAAAAAAAGAAAGAATAAAAGAAACTAAAGAAAGCCTATGTGACATATGGGACACTATAAAGCAGACAAATATTCTAATTCTAGGAATCCCAGAAGGTGAAATGATGGGTAAAGATATAAAAAGCCTATTTAACAAAATAACTGAAAACTCTCCAAGACTTGCAAGAGATTTGGTTATCCAGATCCAGAAGCTCAATAATTCCCAAACAGATTCAACCCACAAAGGTCCTCCGCCAAGCATATTATAGTCAAACTATCAAAAGTCAAAGACAAAGAGAGAATTCTGAAAACATCAAGAGAAAATTGTCAAGTCACGTATCAAGTAATTACCATCAGACTAACAGCAGATTTCTCACTACAAACCTTACAGGTCAGAAGATAATGAGATGATATATTCAAAGTGCTGGAAGAAAAAAACCTGCCAGCCAAGAATACTATGCCCAACAAAGCCATCCCTAAAAAATGAAGGAGAAATATTTTTTTTTCCAAATGTGCAAAAACTGAGGGCATTCATTCATCACCACTAAACCAGTCCTAAAATACTTAAGGGAATTCTACATCTGAAAGCTAAAGAATAATATCTACCATCATGAAAACACACTGAAGTATAAAATTCACTGGTACAGCAGATACACAAAAATGAGAAAGAAAATGGAGACAAATGTTGTCACTACAGAAAACCACCAAACCACATGATAAACAAGAACAGAAGAAAAAAGCAAAGGATGTATAAAATTAACAGAAAATAATGAACAAAATTACAGGAACAAGTCCTCACCTATCAATAATAACCTTGAGTGTAAATGGATTAAATTCCCCACTTAAAAGATACATACTAGCTGAATGGATTTTTTAAACATGATCCACCTATATGCTGCCTACCAGAAACCCATTTCACCTGTAAAGACACATATAGACTGAAAGGGAAGGAAAAAAATATCTCCCGCAAATGGAAACCAAAAGTGAGCAGGAGTTGTTATCAGATAAAACAAACTTTAAGTCAAAAACTGTAAAATGAGACAAAGAAGGTCATTAAATAATGATAAAAAAATCAATTCAGCAAGAAGATGTAACAATTCTAAACATGTATGTACCCAACACCAGAGCACCCAGATATTTAAGGCAAATGCTAGATCTAAAGAAAGAGATTCCAATACACTAATAGTTGGGAACTTCAACACCCTACTCTCACCATTGGATCAATCATCTCGACAGAAAATAAACAAATAAACATCTTAACTGCACTTAAACTAGATGGACCCAACAGACACTTATAGAACATTTCACCCAACAGGTGCAGAATAAACATTCTTCTCATCAGCATATGGAACATTCTCTAGGACAGACCATATGTTAGGCCACAAAACAAATCTCAAGAATTTTTAAAAAATCAAAATAATGTCAAGTAACTTCTCAGACCACAATGGAATAAAACTATAAATCAATAACAAGAGGAACTTCGGAATCTATACAAATACATGAAAATTAACAACATGCTCCTCAATGACCACTGGGTCAATACAGAAATTAAAAAGAAAAATTTTAAATGTCTTAAAACAAGTGAAAATAGAACCACAACATACCCAAACCTACAGGACACTGTTAAAACAGTGCTGAGGAAAGTTTATAGCAATAAATACCTATATCAAACAAGTAGAGGGATTTCAAATTATTTAATGATACACCTCAATGAACTAGAAAAGCAAGAACAAGCCAAACCCAAATCAGGAGAAGAAAAGCAATAATAAAGATCAGAGCAGAAATAAACAAAAATAGAGACTAAAAAAATATACAAACAATCAGCAAAATAAAGTTTTTGAAAAAATAAAATGGATAAACTACTAGTCAGACTAACCATGAAAAAAAGAAGACCCATATAAAATTAGAAAGAAAAAAGGAGACACTATAACTGATCCCACAGAAATACAAACTTATTAGACACTATTATGAACAAATTAATGCTAACAAATTTTAAAACTTGGAGAAAATGTTTAAGTTCCTGAACAACCTACCAAGATTGAATCAGGAAGAAACAGAAAACCTGAAAAGACCAATAACGAGTAGTAAGACTGAATCAGTAATAAAAAGTCTCCCAACCAAGAAAATTCCAGGATTGGATGGCTTTACTGCTGAATCCTACCAAACCTGTAAATAACTAACAATAATTCTCCTCAAGCTATTCCAAAAAACTGGAGAGGAGAAAACTCTTCCTAACTCATTCTACAAGGCCAGCATTACCCCAATAACAAAATCAGACAAAGACACAACAAAAAAACTACAGGCCAATATCTCTGACAAACACAGAAGCAAAAATCCTCAACAAAATATTAACAAACAAAATCCATCAATACATCAAAAAGATAATGCACCACGATCAAGTGGGATTTATCCCAGGGATGCAAGGATGGCTCAACATACACAAATCAATAAATGTGAAATATCACATCACCAGAAAACAAAAACCGTATGCTCATCTCAATAGACACACACAAAAAAGCATCTGATAAAATTCAATGTCCTTTCATGATAAAAACTCTCAACAAACTAGGCATAGAAAGAGCATATCTCAACATAATAAAGGCCATATATGACAAACCCACAGCCAACATCATACTGAAGGGGAAAGGTGAAAGCCTTCCTTGTAACAACTGCCCACTTTCACCATTCTTGCCCACTTTCACCATTCTTGCCCACTTTCACCATTCTTATTCAACATAGTACTGAAATTCCTAGCCAGAGCAATCAGGCAAGAGAAAGAAATAAAAAGGAACCCAAATTGGAAATGAGAAAGTCAAGTTGTCCTGCTTTATAGATGACATGATCTTAGATATAGAAAAACCTAACAATTCCACCAAAAAAACCTCTTAGAAGTGATAAATTCCGTAAAGTTGTAGGATACAAAATAAGCATACAAAAAATCAGTAGGGTTTCTATACACCAATAATGAACTGAAAAGAAAGCAATCTCATTTACAATAGCTACCATAATATATATATATATATATATATACACACACACACACACACACACACACACACACACACACACACACCCAGGAATAAATTTAACGAAGGAGGCAAAAGGCCTCTACGATGAGAACTACAAAACACCAATGAAAGAAACTGAAGACAACACAAACAGAAAGATATCCCATGCTCATGGGTCAGAAGAATTAATAGCATTAAAATGACCACACTACCCAAAGCAATCTACAGATTCAATACAATCCCTATCAAAATGCAATGATATTCTTCACAGAAATAGAAAAAAAAATCCCAAAATTTGCATGGAACCACAAAAGACTCCGAATAACCAAAGCAATCCCAAGCAAAAAGAACAGAGCTGAAGGCATCACACTACCTGACTTCAAAGTATACTACAAAGCTATAGTAACCAAAATAGCAAGATACTGGACTAACTACATACACACAGGCCATTGGAACAGAATAAAGAATCCAAAAATAAACCCACATATTTACAGAAAACTGACTATCAACAAAGGCTCCAGAACATACACTGGAGAAAGAACAACCTCTTCAAAAAATGGTGCTGGGAAAACTGGATATCCATATGCAGAAAAATGAAACTAGATCCCCCTCTCTCACCACACACAAAAATCAACTCAAAATGGACAGAAGACTTAAATGTAAGACCTGAAACTATAAAACTACCAGAAGAAAACAAAGGGATATGTTTCAGAACATTGGTCTGAGAAAACATTTCATGACTAAGACTTCAAAAGCGCAGGCAACAAAAGCGCGCGCGTGCGCGCGCATACACACACACACACACACACACACACACACACAAATGGGACTACATTAAACTAAAAGGCTTCTGCACAGCAAAGGAAACAATCAACAGAGTGAAGACAGCACCTGCAGAGTGGGAGAAAATATCTGCAAACTATTCATCTGAAAAGCAAATAGTATCCAGAATACCCAAGGAACTCAAACAACTCAATAATGAAAAAGCAATCCCATTACAAAGTGGGCAAAGGATTTGAATGGACATTTCTCAGAAGAAGACATACAAATGGCCAATAGGTATATGAAAAAAGTGCTCAATATCACTAATCATCAGGGAAACGCAAATCAAAACCACAATGAGATATCAACTTACCCCAGTTAGAATAACTATTATCAAAAAGACAAAAATAACAATACTGCTGAAGATGCAGAGAAAAGGGGACTCTTATTCACTGTTGGTGGGAATGTAAATTACTACAGCCACTGGGAACGACAGATTGGAGGTTTCTGAAAAAAACTAAAAATAGAATGACCACTTAATCCCCCAATCCAAAGAAAAGAAAATTAGTATATCAAAGGGATATCAGCACCAACATGCATATTGCAGCACTATTCACAATAGCCAAGATATGGAATCAACAGATGAACAGATAAAGAAAACATGGTGTGTGTGTGTGTGTGTGTGTGTGTGTGTGCACACAACAATCAGGAGTCGGGGTGACACAAGATTAGCCCCTTCACTGATAATGGTTAAAGCTCGATTGTTGAAAAATGGGGTTCTTTATACATCCTCACCACTTTTTTATGTCTTTAAAAAGTTCCACAATCAAAAAAAAAATTGGGGAAGGGGAATACATTGATCCAGTGTACTAAAAAGAGATTTGTGGTCCTTGTTTCCCCCAGGAAGGATATCAGAAATAAAGATAAATTTGAGGTATAACTTGGAATATTTTGCAGGTAACTATCACTAGAGGCAGATAAATGGTCCTTTACTATATTTTATACACTCAAGTCTGACTAATATCTATTGGCCAGTTTTTCACTTTCCGGGATCATACCTGAATATTTCTTTGACACCATTTGACTGCTCCTTTCACAATACAGCAGGTAGAAACACGTGAAGCAAATGCCTCATTTGGACTTCAAGCTCTAGTTCACAATTTGAAGAACATTATAATATTTTTTTAAATGTAAAAGCATGGATATAGTAGGCTGAGAATGGCAGCTCATGCCTATAATCCCAGCACTTTGGGAGGCCAGGCAAGAGGATCGCTTGACCCCAGGAGTTCAAGATCAGCCTAGGCAACATAGCAAGACCCTGTCTCTACAAAAAAATTTCTTTAATTATCCAGGCACACTGGCATGCGCCTGTAGTCCTAGCTACTCGGGAGACTGAGGTGGGACAGTCTACTGAGCTCCGGAGTTTGAGGCTGCAGTGGGCTATGATTTTGCCACTGCACTACAGCCTAGATGACAGAGTAAGATCCTGTCTCTAAAACAACAACAACAACAAAAATTTTTTTAAGAATATGGTAGGCACAAAAGTGTTCCTTCCCCTCCACCAAAAAAAGATATCTATATCAAATCCCTAGAATCTGTGATGTGATCTTATTGGAAAAAAGAGTCTTTGTAATGTAATTATAGATCTTGAGATGACATCATCCTGGATTGTCCAGGCAGACCTTAAATCCAATGACAAATGTCCTTAGATACCCAGAGGACAGACAAAGGACAAGGTAAAGAGGCACGGATTGGAGTGGCCACAAGCCAAGAAAGCCAGCAACCACCAGAAGCTGTAAGAGGCAAAAAACAGATACTCTCTCAGAATTCCAGAAGGAAGGTAGCCCTGCAGACACCTTGATTTCAGACTTCTGGCCTCCAAAACTGTGAGAGAATAAATGTCTGTCATTTTAAGCCACCAGGTCTGTGGTTTTTACAGCAACCGAAGGAAACTAATGCAAGAGGTTATCTACTTTTCCAATTATTGACTACCTTTTTTTCTTCATACTGCCTCAGATAACTGAAGTCAATGCTACTCCAAATGATTTTTAGAGTATCTCTTCCATTTCAGTGGCAGGAATTTTTCCTTTATTCAATGATACCTAATACTGGAAAACCACTACTCTCTGATCACAACTTCATATGCTTCTTTCTAGCTTTCTCGTTGTTTCTTTACTGAACACCTTAGGTGGTCTTGCCTAAAGAAAATGAAAACAACTCAAAAAGGAACTTCCCTTACTTTGAACTCTGCCAACTTTAAACTTTAACAATTGCTCCAGCTTTCTAATGTCTACTTCAGGAAATTCTATCTGAAATCATCAGATTCATCTGCTGGTATCTTTTCCTCTACAACGTAGAGTCTACATTTGTAATTCCCAGAACTTTTTTGTTCCATGATTTAATGTTTTATCATTATCTCTTCCCTATTTCATTACCTTCTCTCAAACTTGACAATAAAAAGGAAATGACACTGTGTGATAACTAAAACAGTGACTTCATATATTAGTGACTTTTACAGGTGATGAAATATTTTAAACACTAAAGATGCATTAAACAGTGTCACAAAGAAAGGATTATAAACCCGTGTTTATAACATTTCTTCATTGCTTCCAGCTTCCTACCTGTATGCTACTAAAAATTATATTTGTTATCATAACATAATTTTACTATTTATATCATTATCTAACGTCATAACAATGAGCATTAAATTAGATCTAATTCTCTTTCTGTGAAAAAGAAGTAGATATTTCTTCAAATCAAATAGCAATGCTATTTGTTCTTCAGAAGTACACCTTGCCTCTTAGTGAACTAGACTGAAGTTAGTGACATCTTTATAGAATATACGAGTCCATTTTTGAAGTTAATAGTTCTTGTTATCTACAAGCTGTCATTTTCATAATACAAATGAATATGCAAATCACTTTCCAATGTAAACATGAAACAAATAATAAGGCACACCCTTCAGAAATAACTCCATTACATGACTTTGAGTATCAATCAGAACTTTTCATCCTTCCTAAAGGGAGTTAATGAAGAATAAAATATATCATTCTTAAAGAGATGGCAACTATTTTGTTGGCTTGCTATTGTCTCAACCTCCACTCTTAGCCATCTGTATTTCTTTATGGCTCTCACAACAAGGCTCAGTGCCTACAGATAGATCTACCACTTCATTCTTGGGGTTAACCTCACTACTAGTCCCTTGTATAGTCTTCTCATGCAACATTATCCCACTTCAAGCAGAGACAATAAATGACTAGGGTACCTTACTGACAAAACAATGCTAACAGAAAAATGGAACTTAGAAAAGCTACTCTCCTGCCTTTGCCCAGCTGAAAATGTAGCAAATTAAATATAGCTCTGCCTATTATAAACATCAAACTGTTTTATAGCTAGGTCAGAAAAGTCATGTAAATAATTTTTTTAGAGACAAATATGCAGGATAACAAAGTGGAAACTGGGGAGAGGGGACAAGATTTAAAATAACATGAAAAAGTAATGTTATATAAATGCACATATTTGACAGTAATCCTATAAATGCAAAAACTACTTCATGAATTTTAGAAATGCAATTCAGTCTTCCATTCTCCAGAATTAAAAAGCAAGCTCACATCTGTTAAAACAACAAAGATCTAGGGACAGGGGTGACATGGAAGAAGATGCTTGAAGTAGACCCTGTCCATTGAAGCGTATAATAAGAATGAATAATTTACAAGCGCACTTTCATCTTCAATGTCACTAAGAACTGAATTCTAAGGAGCTTAGGGAGACTGTAACACATCTGCTAACCAAGCAGAATAAGCAGAGAGAACCTAAGCCAAAATTTCTAACAAAACCTGTTCACAAGACTGGAGAGGGAACAGGGAGACTAAAGAAGAAATGGCAGAAAAACAGAGACTAGTGTGGTGGCCAGTTACTTATGTCCTTATCTCTATTTATTCATCCAATTTCAGAAAGTCAGATAGCTGTATTAAGCTGAGTCAGAGATGAATTAAGCTAACATTAGCTATGTACACTCTCCATCAAAAGGAATGTATTGTAAGATAAAAAGATAAGCAAAATATACAAGGAAAACTATCAAGCAATAGGTCTATTTTAATTTAAATAGTCTAAAAAATACATTCCACTGAGTAGATATATATCAAAAAATCCTCTAACAACTCACATATGGTCTTTCAAATCTATGCCAATTTCATGTATCTTTGAAAGGAGGCATACTAAACATAAAAACACAAAAAGAAACGGTTTAATTGGTGTTTTGACAAAATACATAGTCTCTCAATACTTCATAAAATATAGTTTCTCAGCAATAAAACATGATGCCACAAAAACAAAAAACCTTTAAAATTATAATCTTGTATCATCTGCTCCTCTACTAATTTTAAAAAATACCGTATGTGTCATCTCAGACTATACCTTATGAAACCAAAATGCCAGTACTGTAAAACAACAACTACTAATAATATGTTTGGCCATCTAACCAGCAGGTAAAATTCTGCATCTAAACATAATAGATCAAGAGAATTTGAAAAATTTTTAAAACACACACACACATAGAGAAGCAACCTAGGTTAATTTACTCCTTTTTTTATAAACAGTACATTGGCTTCAAGGAATTGAGGAAAAGGATTCACTTTTATTCCTACTCAATGATGTGTCAAGTAAATATGTAAACTACATGCCTATTTCGGATACTAGATATAAAAATTTTAAAAAGTCATAATCACTAGTCACAAGAGACTTACATCCCAGAAAGAGAATTAATCAATTTTTAAAACAAGATATCAGTAAGTAACAAATGCTATGCAAAGAAATAAACTACAGTGAAGCAATATAAAGTGACTAAGTGGCTATATTAGACTGCAAGAGGAAGCTTGGCCTGATTTAGGTAAAGAAAGGAGCCTAGGAAAAAATGGGGGAAATGTAGAAGGTGAGATCATGGACATTTATGATTTAAGACCAGATTATTTAGGAATTGTAGTTCATAGTAATACATTTTTACATTACATCCTTGGATTATAAGAAGCAGCCTATTAAAACTCACCGTCATGTTCTTTGTAAAACTATTGTTGGAGATACTGTTCAACACAGAAACAAAAGACTCTCCATGAGAGTCCAAGGAAGAATTTCCTCTCAAATTTCATGTTCAGTAAAAGCTACTTTTTCTGAGGAACTGGTGTAAATTCACCTTATATCAATTTTGAAATAATGTCTTCTTCTATCCTCTGAAAATTCAGAGCTGAATTTACATTCTGTCAATGGTACAAAACCTTACGGTATCTATTTTATTTAAATACACTTTTTTTTTTTTTTTAGACAGAGTCTTGCTGTTTCACCCAGGCCAGAGAGCAGTGGCACAATCTCAGCTCACTGCAACCTTCATCTCCTGGGTTCAAGCAATTCTCATTGCTTAGCCTCCAGAGTAGCCAGGTTTACAGGCATGCGCCACCACACCCAGCTAATTTTTGTATTTTTAGTAGAGACGTGATTTCACCATGTTGTCCAGGCTGGTCTCAAACTCCTGACCTCAAGTAATATGCCAGCCTTGGTCTCCCAAAGTTCTGGGATTACAGGTGTCAGCCATCACAAATGGGCAAATAAACTTTTAACCTTAGAATAGTTTTAGATTTACAGAAAAGGTGCAAAGATAGTACAGAGAGTTCCAATATCCTCTAAACCCAGCTGCCCCTATCATTAACGTCTTACATAAATATGGTACATTTGTCGCAATCAATGAATCAATAATGATACATTATTATTAACTAAAGTCCATACATTACCCAGATTTCTCTAGTTTATGCCTGATGTTCTTTTTCTGTTCCAGAATCCTCATGGTATCTATTCTATGTATTAAATTTACTCTAGTTTTACTCTCACTATTCTGTCTTCATTTTCCCCTTATTCTAAGCTCTGTATCTACTGTTATCTAATATGTGCTATCTTATTCTATAAACCTTCCCCAATACTTCTGGGAACTATATGGAGTAATAAAAAAATTAGGAGAGAAATTTATTGAAAGAGACAATTTGCTTTTTTCTAACAAGTTAAATAGTCTAGTATTTTTCAAAGTAATGTTTTAAAAAATTCTTAAATCTTTTAAAAATAGAGACACAAGGAAATGTCCAATTAAAATTATATTCAAATATATCATTTAGAGAAAAATGCAAAGTCATTTTTTAAAAAGTCTTTTTATATTAATCTCCAGAATTCTCTTTTGTTGTCAAATAGAGCATTAATAATCCCAACTGTCATTACTGAGTCATGCAACCTTAAAGTGGTCTCAGAATGCACAAATCTAAAACAAAGGTTAAGCAAAATTATCTTTTAATGTCCCTTTCCATTAGAAATGTCAATTTCTTAGTTCCGTTACCTTGGTTGACTATTGGATTCTCATATTTTTCCATCACAAATAAAGAGTAGAAAACACTTATGCTTTTAAACAAAAAATACATTTTAAAAAGAATACGACAAAATGAAGTTTGAAGCTTTCCTTGCAATTAATTCAGAGTAAAAACTAAAATAGATTAATCAAATACAGCATGTAATTTATATATATCTAATTTCAAAAGTATCCTGGGAAAGAGGGAAGACAGGCAGTTTAAAAAAAAATAAAGATGTAAGGATGTGAGCATTTACCCACGTAGATTAATTCCATAAAATTACTGAGACAGCAAACTGGGAGTGGGGAGCATGAGAAAAGGTAAAAGATATTTCACTTTATATTTTCCACAGTTCTGTATCACTGAAAACTTGACACAATGTCAAACGGGTACTATATGTAAGAATTGTTATACTTAACCTATAAAGGTAAAAAATTATCTTGCCTCAGAACAATCCTGATTATTAAGGTATGACTGACTGATGCACTGATGGGAAACCTCCAGTTTGCAGTTTAATATAATTTGTTACAAATATCAAGAGGTAGTATACTCACTGACATCAGGAATTATAAAAACCCCACAATTCTAGTCACTTTAATCCCCTAATCTACTGCCATGTATTCTATATTTACAAGTCTTTCTGCAGAAAAGGATAACAAAATAGTAAAAATTTAAATATGCATTATTTAAAAAATCAATAGGCTGGGCGCAGTGGCTCACACCTGTAATCCTAGCACTTTGGGAGGCCAAGGTGGGTGGATCACTTGAGGTCAGGAGTTCGAGACCAGCCTGGCCAACATGGCAAAACTGGCCATGTTGGCCAGGCAGGTTAACATGGCAAAACCCCATCTCTACTAAAAATACAAAAATTAGTCGGGCATGGTGGCAGGCACCTGTAATCCCAGCCACACAGGAGGCTGAGGCAGGAGAATCACTTGAACCCCCAGGAGGCGGAAGTTGCAGCGAGCCGAGATCACGCCACTGCACTCCAGCCTGGGAGAGAGAGCAAGACACTGTCTCAAAAAAAAAAAAAAAAAAATTAATAACATACTGTATAATCTGTAACACAGAATTCTAAGTCAACATCTCAGTCACATATTTCCAATGTAAATGGTTACACAAAAATACCAGTGATTACATAGAAGAGTAGGTAATGAAATATATCAGAATTATATCAGAAATACCAGTGATTACATAGAAGAGTAGATAATGAAATATATCAGAAATATATCTAAAATATATATTTACATATATATTGATAAGGAATACCTGAGAGTAAATCCTTATCTATATTATTTCAGAATATTAGCACTTCCTAGTTATAATCATAAAACATTTATTTTAAATAGAGATTTGTTTGCAATGTATAACTGATTCATGAAATTCACTCTCAAAGGACGAAACAAAACAACTAGGAATTTGAATGTGTTTATTTGTTTGAGTAACAGAGAGCAAATTAAAGTAAACATAATTTCTCAATACACTGAAATTGTTTTGTTGACTTACTTTTGAGAAAAAGCCTATTTTATCAATGAAGTAAAGGTACCACCCTGAAATGTCCTACTAAGAAGCTACTAATTCACTATAAAACTAGTTTTATAGTATGTTTACATGAAAGTATAAAGAAAGAATGTGTGCAGATGTTTTTCTTGTGAAAGTAGTACATGTTCCTACAATACTTCCCCTATAACATGGCCCAAAGAAGTTAATGTCTCTGGATAATGAAAGAAAAGGCTCTTAACTATAAATATTTGTCATTTTGAGCGTACTTTCACAAAATTCAGTTTTTCTCTAATAATAGCTGAAAGAAAATTTAAAAAATACAAGAAACATGCTCCAGCATAAAGGGGATGAATAAATATCATCATCATTTTCAATATATCTCAGAGTATCTTTGTTACAAACAGAATAGTAAAATAAGAGAACCAATATTAAAGCAACTTACTCAGGGTAAGGAATCAGTTCAGCTTCTATGGAATTTCATTTTTCTTATATTTTAAAAATAGTTAAAGGAGGTATTCTTTACGGCATATAAAATAAAAGATAACCCAACAGAAAACTAAACTTACTGTTAAACCTTAAGTGTCTTGAGTTAAATATTAGAGAATTAAATATATTATAGTCTAAAATTCAGTGACATGAAACTAAATGCCAATTCCTGACTTAATATAAGGCAAGAGATTTTTACACGTTCAGAGGAAATACATTTTTAATTCAGAATGGTTTGAGATGAAAGATGGATATTTTTATATAATTGATGAAATGAGACTTTCTACTATAAATCTACAGTTTTATTAAATAACTTCATTAACTTTTGTCATAAGAACAAGTCTCTAATAGCTTGTCACTAGAATAACTTCATAGAATTTGGTGTCTTATAAAGGTATTATTCTGTACATCCAACTTAGAATATTCTCGATATATATTTTTTTGCACTCAACTCTCATTTTAAAAACCTGATGTGGAGTGTTAAAACAATATCCAGCAATGGGAGACTTTAACACCCCACTGTCAACATCAGACAGATCAACGAGACAGAAAGCTAACAAGGATACCCAGGAATTGAACTCAGCTCTGCACCAAGCGGACCTAATAGACATCTACAGAACTCTCCACCCCAAATAACAGAATATACATTCTTTTCAGCACCACACCACACCTACTCCAAAACTGACCACATAGTTGGAAGTAAAGCACTCCTCAGCAAATGTAAAAGAACAGAAATTATAACAAACTGTCTCTCAGACCACAGTGCAATCAAACTAGAACTCAGGATTAAGAAACTCACTCAAAACCGCTCAACTACATGGAAACTGAACAACCTGCTCCTGAATGACTACTGGGTACATAACAAAATGAAGGCAGAAATAAAGATGTTCTTTGAAACCAGCGAGAACAAAGACACAACATACCAGAATCTCTGGGACACATTCAAAGCAGTGTGTAGAGGAAAATTTATAGCACTAAATGCCCACAAGAGAAAGCAGGAAAGATCTAAAATTGACACCCTAACACCACGATTAAAAGAACTAGAAAAGCAAGAGCAAACACATTCAAAAGCTAGCAGAAGGCAAGAAATAACTAAGATCAGAGCAGAACTGAAGGAAATAGAGACAAAAAAAACCCTTCAAAAATTAATGAATCCAGGAGCTGGTTTTTTGAAAAGATCAACAAAATTGATAGACCACTAGTAAGACTAATAAAGAAGAAAAGAGAGAAGAATCAAATAGACACAATAAAAAATGATAAAGGGGATATCACCACCGATCCCACAGAAATACAAACTACCACCAGAGAATACTATAAACACCTCTACGCACATAAACTAGAAAATCTAGAAGAAATGGATAAATTCCTCGACACATACATCCTCCCCAAGACTAAACCATGAAGAAGTTGAATCTCTGAATAGACCAATAACAGGCTCTGAAATTGAGGCAATAATCAATAGCTTACCAACCAAAAAAAGTCCAGGACCAGATGGATTCACAGCCGAATTCTACCAGAGGTACAAAGAGGAGCTGGTACCATTCCTTCTGAAACTATTCCAATCAATAGAAAAAGAGGGAATCCTCCCTAACTCATTTTATGAGGCCAGCATCATCCTGATACCAAAGCCTGGCAGAGACACAACAAAAAAAGAGAATTTTAGACCAATATCCTTCATGAACATCGATGCAAAAATCCTCAATAAAATACTGACAAACCAAATCCAGCAGCACATCAAAAAGCTTATCCACCATGATCAAGTGGGCTTCAACCCTGGGATGCAAGGCTGGTTCAACATACGCAAATCAATAAATGTAATCCAACATATAAACAGAACCAAAGACAAAAATCACATGATTATCTCAATAGATGCAGAAAAGGCCATTGACAAAATTCAACAACGCTTCATGCTAAAAACTCTCAATAAATTAGGTATTGATGGGACGTATCTCAAAATAATAAGAGCTATCTATGACAAACCCACAGCCAATATCATACTGAATGGGCAAAAACTGGAAGCATTCCCTTTGAAAACTGGCACAAGACAGGGATGCCCTCTCTCACCGCTCCTATTCAACATAGTGTTGGAAGTTCTGGCCAGGGCAATCAGGCAGGAGAAGGAAATAAAGGGTATTCAATTAGGAAAAGAGGAAGTCAAATTGTCCCTGTTTGCAGATGACATGATTGTATATCTAGAAAACCTCATCGTCTCAGCCCAGAATCTCAAGCTGATAAGCAACTTCAGCAAAGTCTCAGGATACAGAATCAATGTACAAAAATCACAAGCATTGTTATACACCAATAACAGACAAACAGAGAGCCAAATCATGAGTGAACTCCCATTCACCATTGCTTCAAAGAGAATAAAATACCTAGGAATCCAACTTAAAAGGGATGTGAAGGACCTCTTCAGGGAGAACTACAAACCACTGCTCAATCAAATAAAAGAGGATACAAAAAAATGGAAGAACATTCCATGCTCATGGGTAGGAAGAATCAATATTGTGAAAATGGCCATACTGCCCAAGGTAATTTACAGATTCAATGCCATCCCCATCAAGCTACCAATGCCTTTCTTCACAGAATTGGAAAAAACTACTTTAAAGTTCATATGGAACCAAAAAAGAGCCCGCATCGCCAAGTCAATCCTAAGCCAAAAGAAGAAAGCCGGAGGCATCACGCTACCTGACTTCAAACTATACTACAAGGCTACAGTAACCAAAACAGCATGGTACTGGACCAAAACAGCATGGTACTGGTACCAAAACAGAGATATAGATCAATGGAACAGCACAGAGCCCTCAGAAATAATGCCGCATATCTACAACCATCTGATCTTTGACAAACCTGACAAAAACAAGCAATGGGGAAAGGATTCTCTATTTAATAAATGGTGCTGGGAAAACTGGCTAGCCATATGTAGAAAGCTGAAACTGGATCCCTTCCTTACACCTTATAGAAAAATTAATTCAAGATGGATTAAAGACTTAAATGTCAGACCTAAAACCATAAAAACCCTAGAAGAAAACCTAGGCAATACCGGTAATTCAGGACATAGGCATGGGCAAGGACTTCATGTCTAAAACACCAAAAGCAATGGCAACAAAAGCCAAAATTGACAAATGGGATCGAATTAAACTAAAGAGCTTCTGCACAGCAAAAGAAACTACCATCAGAGTGAACAGGCAACCTACAGAATGGGAGAAAATTTTTGCAACCTGCTCATCTGACAAAGGGCTAATATCCAGAATCTACAATGAACTGAAACAAATTTACAAGAAAAAAACAACCCCATCAAAAAGTGGGCAAAGGATATGAACAGACACTTCTCAAAAGAAGACATTTATGCAGCCAAAAAACACATGAAAAAATGCTCATCATCACTGGCCATCAGAGAAATGCAAATCAAAACCACAATGGGATACCATCTCACACCAGTTAGAATGATGATCATTAAAAAGTCAGGAAACAACAGGTGCTGGAGAGGATGTGGAGAAATAGGAACACTTTTACACTGTCGGTGGGACCATAAACTAGTTCAACCATTGTGGAAGTCGGTGTGGTGATTCCTCAGGGATCTACAACTAGAAATACCATTTGACCCAGCCATCCCATTACTGGGTATATACCCAAAGGATTATAAATCACGCTGCTATAAAGACACATGCACACGTATGTTTATAGCAGCACTATTCACAATAGCAAAGACTTGGAACCAACCCAAATGTCCAACAACAATAGACTGGATTAAGAAAATGTGGCACAGATACACCATGGAATACTATGCAGCCATAAAAAATGATGAGTTCATGTCCTTTGTAGGGTCATGGATGAAACTGGAAACCATCATTCTCAGCAAACTATCGCAAGGACAAAAAACCAAACACCACATGTTCTCACTCATAGGTGGGAATTGAACAATGAGAACACATGGTCACAGGAAGGGGAACATCACACACCAGGGACTGTTGTGGGGTGGGGGGAGGGATAGCATTAGGAGATATACCTAATGCTAAACGACGAGTTAATGGGTGCAGCACACCAACATGGCACATGTATACATATGTAACAAACCTGCACATTGTGCACATGTACCCTAAAACTTAAAGTATAGTAATAATAAAATAAAATAAAATAAAAAAGAATATCCAGCCTGAGAAGGAACATTCTCCCTCAAGAATAGTTGTTGAATTAGCTCCTATTTACTGACACGAGAACATGTACACATGTATACATAAACATGCTTACACACACACACACACACACGCACACACACACACATCCATTGTAAACATTCTCCATTGTTTTACTGGTCCCACTCTAAAGGCATGACATAAATAGAAAGGAAAAGCTATGTTGTGTAATTTATGGACGGAGGAAGGAGGGGAGGGGAGGGAAGGCAAGGAAGCATTACACAGAAAAACTTCTGACTAAACCAATATATACGATTCACAGTCCTAAGGTGACACAAAGACATAGTAAAAGATCCGTCATAGGGTAAAGGTGAGCTAGACAAGAGAAAAATTTAGAATAAAATATAAAATAATCATAATATATATTATTAAAAGGGAAAAAAAGACCTATATAATAGGACAGGTTATCATATTAGTTTTATACTCTGCAGTACAAAATATCTTTCCTTAAAAAGAGGTTTTCTGTGACTAAACTTAAGGGTTAATTCATCTTACCTTCCACAGAAGGTGCCTGGTCCTGAGCTGAATACAGCATATCCTTGAAAGCCTATTAGAAAGAAAGAAAAACAATATATGAAATCATGAGTAAGCTTTATACTGAATGTATCTGAAGCTAAACAGTTCTTTTTCAATATTCAATGACCACTCATAGCTCCCTAAATTGATAAATACTTCAATTAACATTTATAAACTAAAATCCAAACATTATAACTTCACATCAATCCAGTATTGTCCAATTTTTAAGATGAGGGCTAACTTGTATACTTTAAAATTAAGGAACAGCTGGAAAAGGATGAAAAATCACCTGAGAGATTATAAACTCTCTTGACTAAGAAAAAACACTGAAGAAAACAGAACAAAAGTCCTAGAGAAAAAAACTAGTAGACTGCATAAGAAACTATCAGGAACTGGATACAAGTATCTTTTTAAAATTGTAGTAAGGTACATGTAACATAAAATTCACCATTTTAACTATATTTAAATGTACAGTTCAATAGTGTTAAGTACATTCACATTGTTGTGCAACCATTCTCCAGAACTCTTTTCATCTTCAATACTTTTTTTAATGAAATTTTATTTTTTATAGCCAGGCATGGTGATGCCCTAGCTACTCAGAAGGCTGAGGTGGGAGGATCGCTTGAACCCAGGAGGCGGAAGTTGCAGTCAGCCAAGACTGTGCTACCACACCCCAGCCTGGGAGAGAGAGTAAGGCTCTGTCTCAAAAATAAATAAATTTTAAAAAGAAATTTTATTTTATTTATTTATTTAGTCTTGCTCTGTCGCCCAGGCTGGAGTGCAGTGGCACGATCTCAGCTCACTGCAAGCTCTGCCTCCCAGGTTTATGCCATTCTCCTGCCTCAGCCTCCCAAGTAGCTGGGACTACAGGCGCCCGCCACCACGCTCGGCTAATTTTTTGTATTTCTTAGTAGAGACAGAGTTTCACCGTGTTAGCCAGGATGGTCTCGATCTCCTGACCTCATGATCCGCCCTCCTCGGCCTCCCAAAGTGCTGGGATTACAGGCGTGAGCCACTGCACCCGGCCAGAAATTTTATTTTTAATCCACAAATAATAACTGTACATATGCCTGGGGTACACAGTGATATTTCAATACATATGGTCTATAGTGATCAGATCAGGGTAATTAGGATATCCATCATCTAAAACATCTATAATTTTTTTGTGTTGAGAACATTCAATATCCTCCTTCTAGGTATTTGAAACTATATACTATTGTTAACTATAGTCAGCCTACAGTGGTACAGACCACTAGAATTTATTCCTCCTATCTAGCTGTAATTCTATATCCTTTAACAAATCTCTCCCTATCCTCTGACCTGCCCTCTTCCCTTCCCAGCCTCTAGTATTCTCTGCACTACTTTTTATTTCTATGAGATCAACTATTCTTAGGTTCCACATATGAGTGAGAACATGTGGTGTTTAACTTTCTGTTCCTGGCTTATTTCACTTAACCTAATGTCTTCTAGTTCCATTCATGTTGTCACAAATGATAGAATTTCATTCTTTTTATACTGAATAATGTTCCTTTGTGTATATATACATCACATCTTCTTTAGCCATTCATTTGTTGTTGGACACCTAGGTTGATTCCCTATCTTGGCTACTAGTTAGTGTTGCAATAAGCATAGGGGTACAGATGTCTCTTTGGTTTACTGACTTCCTTTCCTTTGGATAAATGCCCAGTAGTGGGATTGCTGATTCATATCTTATTAATAGTTCTATTTGGGCCGGGCGCAGTGCTCACGCCTGCAATCCCAGCACTTTGGGAGGCCGAGGAGAGCGGATCACGAGGTCAAAAGATCGAGACCATCCTGGCCAACATGGTGAAACCCCGTCTCTACTAAAAATACAAAAATTAGCTGGGTGTGGGGCATGTGCCTGTAGTCCCAGCTACTCGGGAGGCTGAGACAGGAGAATCGCTTGAACCCGGGAGGCAGAGGTTGCAATGACCCAAGATCGCACCACTGCATCCCAGTCTGGCGACAGAGCGAGACTCCACCTCACAAAAAAAAAAAAAAAAAAAAAAAAAGGTTCTATTTGTAGTTATTTGAGGAATCTCCATACTGTTCTCCATAGTAGCTGTACTAGTTTACATTCCCACCGAGTATAAGACTTCTTTTTTCTCTGCATCCTTACTAGCATTTTTATTGTTTTTGTTTTGTTTTGTTTTGTTTTTTGTCGTTTTGATAACAGCCTAACTGGGGTGAGATGATACCTCACTGTGGTTTTGATTTGTATTTCTTTGATGATGAGTGATGTTAAGCATTTTCTTTATTTGTTAGCCACTTGTACGTCTTTTGAGAAATGTCTGTTCAGATCACTTGCCCATTTTTAAATCAATTTTTTTTTGCTGTTAAGATGTTTGAGTTCCTTGTATATTCTAGATATTAATCCCCTGTAGTGTGAGTAGTGTCCAGATATTTTCTCTCATTTTATAGGTTCTTTTTTCACTCTGTTTCCTTTGCTGTCCAGAAGCTTTGTAGTTTGACATAAACCCATTTATTTTTTTTCTTTTGTTGCCTGTGATTTTGAGTTCTTACTCATGAAATCTTTTCCCAGACCAATGTCCTAAAGCATTTTTCAGTGATGATCTGGAAAGTCTTCCCTAAGGGTTTAGGACTATAAAGACAGTATCGGTTTACTTTATAGTAATAGTTTGTTTTTGTTTTTGTTTTTTCCCCCAAAACCACACTCTAGATTAGCTAACAACCATATTTAGGTAATCTGGATGGCTGCAGTTTAATCTCTCAATAAGTCATTGGGGAACAAGAATGAGAAATAGTTCTCTGTATCTATCAAAATGGTAAAATCAGTTCAGTGGATGAGGATATCCATAGCTTCAAAGCTTGAAATACCATCTAAAGACTGGTGATGCCCATATTGGCCTACAGCAGGATTCCTCAAACTCAGTAACATTAGCATTTTGGGCTAGATAATTTTTTTGCTGTGGGGGCTGCTCTGCGCATTATAGAATTTTTAGCAGCATTCCCGGCATCTAGAGACCCGTTAGATAACAGTATCAATCCTCACCCTCCAGCTGTGAAAACTAAACATTGCCGAATGTCCCCTGAAGGCAAAAAGGTCCCTCCCCAGAACCAGCACAAATATTCAAGCATATAAATACCAAAAAGGAAGAAGTAAACTTCCATGGTAACCCACCGTTTTTTTTGTTTGTTTGTTTTTTTGTTTTTTGAGATGGAGTCTCGCTCTGTCACCCAGGCTGGAGTGCAGTGGCGCCATCTCGGCTCACTGCAAGCTCCGCCTCCTGGGTTCACGCCATTCTCCTGCCTCAGCCTCCCGAGTAGCTGGGACTACAGGTGTGCACCACCATGCCTGGCTAATTTTTTGTATTTTTAGTAGAGACGGGGTTTCACCATGTTAGCCAGGATGGTCTCGATCTCCTGACCTCGTGATCCACCCGCCTCGGCCTCCTAAAGTGCTGGGATTACAGGCGTGAGCCACCATGCCGGGCCGAACCAGCACAAATATTCAAGCATATAAATACCAAAAAGGAAGAAGTAAACTTCCAGGGTAACCCACTCTTTTAAAGAAAAGAGTACAGATACTCAAGTCCAGTAAATTATATTCTTCCCAAGTGAATTTACTATTTGCTTTGGATTAGTGGCCAAACTGTCAGATCCATGACTAACCAGGCCTAATAATATACAGTAAAAAATTTCCAATGAAACAACAGAAATTAAAATTTTTAAATTGATGTATTTTTGTTCATTTTAACCAATGTTTTATTAAAATGTTGGATGTACAAAAATGGAAAATGATGTATGATGTACAAAAATTTTTAATGTCACATATGCTTAAATCCAAAAACATTCAGTAATATTCACTACTTATACAGAATTTGAAGCAATACAATAATGCAACTGAGGTATAATAAAAAATTAATATTTGGTCTTTGTGTCCAGTACCCGGCATAGAGCTCCAAAAACCTTTGGAATGTACTGTCTTTTATATACTAATGAGATAGCTCAATGGGAGGCAGTGGGACAAAGGGTCCTAGATGCTTCATGGTGGCTGGTCACCAAAAAAAATCAAGTGATTAGAGGATTAGAACTTTCAGCCCCACCTCCAGACCTCTGAAGAAGGGAGAAGGATTGAAGACTGAGTTCAATCACTAATAGAATAGGATTTAATCAACTGTGCCTATGTAGTGAAACCACCATAAAAACCCTTAAACATCAAGGTTCAGAGAGCTTCCAAGTTGGTGAACACATGAATGTGCAGGCTCTGTGCCATCTCCATCCTAACATCTTGCACTATGCATCTCTCCATTAGGCTGTTTTTAAGTTGCATCCTTTATAATACATCTGTAATGGTAAGTACAGTGCTTTCCTAAGTACTATGGGTAGTTCTAGCAAATTATCAAACCTGGAGGTGGGGATCATGGGAATCCTCAAATCTGCAGTCAGCCAGGCAGAAACTGAAAACACCTTTGCAAAAACTATAACTGAGAAAATTATTACAGTACAAAAGATCTGATCTAACCAACTCTACCTTGCTTCTAACCTCCAAATTGTCCTTGTTCATTCCAGGGCATAGACCAAACTAACTTTGGGAGGAACGTAGTTTATAGTGCCACTTTGGGAGGAACGTAGTTTATAGTGCAACTTTGAAACAAAGATTATATTAACCCTTTCCCAAAACAAACTACCTTCTTGCCTGGAGACTAGACTGTCTTTGTAGTACTAACTAGTCACAAGATTAGAAATTATGGTTTAGAAGTCATGCAGCTGGAGGCTGCAAGATTCTGAACCTCCCCAAATTGCTCTTGGGGATAACATCGCTATTATAAAACTAAGATCAGTGCCTGAGATACTTTGCAGACCCTGTCCTCTGAGCTGGCACCACCCAGATCAATAAACTGGCTCATCTGGTCTTATGGCCCCCACTCAGGAACTGATTCAGCACCAAGAGGACAGCTTTGACTCTCTATGATTTTATCTCCAACCCAACCAATCAGCACTCCCGATTTACTGGCTTACTACCCACCAAATTATCCTTATAAACTCCAGTCCCCGAATTTTCAGGGAGACTGATTTGAGTAATAATAAAACTCAGGTCTCCTGTATAGACGGTTCTATGTGAATTAAACTCTTTCGCTATTGCAATTTTCCTGTCTTAATAAATTGGCTCTGTCTAGGCAGTGAGCAAGGAGAACCAGTTGGACAGTTACAAAATGTGGGTAGCCTGGGCATCCCATTTGCAGCTAGCATCTTAAGCAGGGGCGGTCTTATGAAATGGAGCCCTTAACCTGTGGGATCTGTACTACCTCCAGGTAGTCAGTGTCAGAATTGAACTCAATTGTTGGACACCCAGCTAATGTTAGCAATTTGGTTTCTAGTGTCACAAAAAAGATAACACATTTGGTCCCAGAAGTGGTGTCATCAAACATCATACTATTCTGTTCAAACCAGTACCCCACCCCACCCAAAAACAAAAAACACCACACCACAGATTAACCTTATGGGAAAACCTTTATTAATGGACCACATCTTTTCTAAGATTACATTACATTACATTTTCTAAGATCACATTCTTAAACATGTTATTAATTCAACATACAAACATGTTTAAGAATTAATATTCTGTAAATATGAGGCTGAATATGACAAAATTATGAAACCTCTTCTTAAAAAATGTATATATACTCAGTATTTTCTTTATAATTTCTTGTGTCTCAGGGAACATTAACTGCCAGACTAAAATAAGAAGTTAGTCAAGAAGAGCTTATCAAACATCAGAAAGTCTTTTGTACCCACATTAGAATTTTATATTAAAGTCCTCTACAAGTATAGAGTAGTGGTAATATTTTGGTTCTTCAATAGGATATTTCCAGAAGGTAAATGAACAAAAGATTGCTAAAATCAGAGTAAATCTCTAGAAGTTAAAAACAAAAAAAGTACCAGAAAAATGTAACGAGAAAGGAAAAATTGGTCCAGCCAGAGAATAGTTACAGAAATAAATCCATTATAGGAACAAATAATATCAGAGATTCAAATGTTTGAATGAAGTTCTTCCACTTCTTGGGTATAGTAGGAATGTGTAGCAAAATTAAATAATGCTGTCAGGAACCAAATACATCACCAATGACTTGCAGTGACTTATACACAGTAGGCGCTCAATAAATAGTTATTGAATTCAAAAGCATTCCTTCTCTGGAGAAATTACTTTAAAGATGATTAACAAAGCACATTAAGTAGAATCTCTGATATGTAATACACATAAATTTAATTTGCAAAAGGAAACCTTTCCAAATTAAATTCTGAAGATGATGAATTTGAATTTTATAAGGAGAAAAATGACGAGTCTTCATTCTGATTATAAAACTGAATCAAATTTTCGTTTAAGTCAAGACAAATCTCACTGAAATCATACGGAACTCTTTTTGCTTCTTACTACTTTGTGTTCATCTGATTAAGAGGCCCTATATTTTTGGTAGTAATGATCTCTAAAAGAACTCCATGAGTAAGATAACATTCTGTGCCTGTGAACAAGAGAATAGTCCTCAATCAGAAACAAGGGAGGAAACAAACCCTCTGAAGTATTGTCTATATTATTACCTATGGACTGTTTGTCTATGAGTCACCCAGACCACATGCCTGGGTTGGGAGCCATACATCCAAGTCACAAAACAACAAATTAAAAGAGTTTCCTCAACTCATGCTGTTTAAGGAAATCCAGCACTTTATATAAAACTCCGAATTTGTATAGTAAATAAATCAATGTGTATTCATATGCATTACGTGAGTTCTTTGATTTCCAAAGGATTAAAAGCAATCCTTTGCATCAGCATCCCTACTCTAATTTCTGTTAACTTATTTCTGTTATAATTGTGAAAGGAAAATAAAAACTTGTGACCCCAATTCACTATGCCAAAAGAAAAAAATTAAGCTGAAAACTAAGTAATATAAGAAAAGGTGTTTCCTTTTGTTCCTCGGCAGATAGCTACAGATAAAAGGTTAAATATCTCCAGAGGTAGCTACTCTATGTTATCCTTATCTTATGTAAAGTGCTGCTTTACTGAGCAAGAGACTAATACATAATTGACTATTACCCTGTCTGCTCCTTTTCTTTTGCAACATGGGGATTACCATACCCTCCCTCTTTCTCCTCCAGCCCATTTTTCCCCTTTAAATATTGAAGCCCTCAGAATTATCTTTGGAGAAAGACACAGACCACAGACTGTTTCTGTGATTCTGTGTTTATTTCTTCCAGGCATGTCTTAAACTTGGTAAAATAAACTTCTAAATTGATTAAGACATGTCTCAGATACTGTTTGGTTTACATAATGTTATTAAAATATATATAAATGTAAACTAGAACAAACTCCTAGTACTTATAACAACTCATATAACAGTAAAATCTTACAAACTGAATCCAAAGATAACCACAAACCAATAATATTCAACCAACATTACCATGACAGGAAAAAAAATGGTGTTTTGCTGAAATGAAATCTCAAATTGTAACATCAATGTGGTGCTGACTGCCAATATACATGTTCTTTTTAGCTTGGAATGGCTATATTACTGTGTCAAATGTGATGTAATTCTACAAGTACTTGTCTCTACAGTGAGGCAGCATAACAGAGTGGCTGGTTGCTATGATGTCAGACAAGCATAACAGAGTGGCTGGGAGCTATGATGTCAGACAATGTGTATGAAAACTAACTCTTAGCCAGGTATGGTGGTATGTATTTGAAGGCCCAGCTTCTAAGGAGGCTGAGGCAGGAGGACCACCTGAGACTGGGAGTTCAAGTCCAGCCTGCACAACATAGTAAAAACCCTGTCTCTTAAAAAAAAAAAAAGTTGGCTGGGTGCAGTGGCTCACGCCTGTAATCCCAGCACTTTTGGAGGCCGAGGAGGGTGGGTCACCTGAGGTCAGGAGTTCAAGACCAGCCTTGCCAACATGGTGAAACCTTGTCTCTACTAAAAATACAAACATTTGCCAGGCGTGGGGGCAGGCGCCTGTAATCCCAGCTACTCAGGAGGCTGAGGCAGGAGAATCACTTGAACCCGGGAGGCGGCAGTTGTGGTGAGCCGAGATCGTGCCACTGCACTCCAGCCTGGGCAACACAGCGAGACTCCCTCTCAAAAACAAACACAAAAACAAACAACAACAACAACAAAAGTTGTATAACCTTGGGAAAATTAACTTCTCTGTACTTTAGCACCCTCATCTGTAAAACAGGAATAGTGATGGCACATACCACACAAGTCTTTAATGAGGACTATCATAAAAACTCTTAAAACAATATTAAGTTTGATTCATGATCATACATGCATAACACTTAGAACAGTGCCAAGAACATGGAAGATGCTCAAAAATGTTAGCTAATAGAATATGAACTACCACAAAACTTACATCACAATGTTGTGACATTATTTGACCCTGTATTTTCCAAAAATGAATCATTTATGCATGAGATATGTCTCAGTTCTTAAAAGCTCATCACAAAGTAGTACAGTTCTACCTGGAACCAATAGCAAAACAAGCATACACATGGGCACTGCAATCTACTGGTATTACTGGTTTATTAAATGGTCATCTAGATCAGTGGTCCCCAACCCTTTTGGCTCCAGGGACTAGTTTCACGGAAGACAATTATTCCAAAGACCAGGGTGGCAGGGGAAATGAAACTGTTCCACTTCAGATAATTAGTTAGATTCTCATGAAAAGCACACAACCTAGATCCCTTGCGTGCACAGTTCACAATAGGGGTCGTACTCCTATGAGAATCTAACGCCGTTGCTGATGTGATGGGAGGCAGAGCTCAGGCGGTAATACACACTGGCCCACTGCTTACCTCCTGCTGTGTGGCCCAGTTCCTAACAGGCCATGGCCCAGTACTGGTCTGCGGCCTTGGGGTTGGGGACCCCTGATCTAGATGATATAAAATATGTTCCTACTTTATTTTTAGATGATTGCTGATGTGAACACACAATATCTTTCATTCTCATAGGAAACCTACAGACTCCAAAGAAAATATATGCAGATCCCAGTTTATGATTTTAATAATAATGTATCCTAATTATATTATTCAATCTAAAAAATTACTTAAATTTTGTACAATATACCTTTTTTTGTAAAAATAGGGTATACTTAAAAGTTAACATGTATATTCAATGAGAACAAATTTCTCATGTTGTTCATTTTTAATAACCCATATTAGATCATCTCTAATCTCCTTTCCAAGGCACAAATGGGTTTCACAAACCATTTAAAGGAGATCAGAAGCTAAAAAACTCCTACTTCCTATCAGCTAACCATTATGTCTCATACACAACATACTATAAATATTATGACAATCATCAACAAAATGTCTACTGTTATGTTGCTCTCATTCGCTTCAACAGTCATTCAAAGTTAGCACTTTACAATCTACTGGATTAATAAACAATAAAATAAATAAAGAAAAGCATATGAAGAGAAAGGGCAAGGAATATTTGTGCTCATAAACCTTAAAGGAGTCATAACCCCTGTTAATAATGTTTCACAACTGAATAAAATTACAACAGATACTTTTTTATCTGAACAACCTTTCCAAATGGAAACCTTGAAAAATAAAATTTGAATATATTATTTTAAATATGTGCATTATGTGCTCATCTACAATACCCCAGAAATATTCTCCAATTATCTTTTTCAGTTTCCACTTCCTCTTTTTGTATTCTGTTTTTAAATTACTTCACCAGAAATATTGGGTGAATAATGTACAAGTCAGTTACATCTAATATGGTTTGTCTCATCATCTAAAAATTATAAATGTTTTCCTAATACTAAAATAAACAGGACAGTTTTGTAAATCAAATTATAAACCTCAAAAGAGGACATCCAGCATTCTCATGTGTACTATACAAAGAATCAACATACTAAATAATCTTCATTTCTATCCCAAAATACAAATAAACTTACTTAGCTTTGGTTCTAATGATAGAAATAAAATCAGCAAAGCCAAGAAAAACTCTTACACAAATTCTCATATTAAAATTTAAGATTAATATACTCTTGTACATACTTAACAAGCTAAAGCCTAGAGTATATAAGCATTAAGCCTGACTCATTTTCAAGGAATTCAAAAGAACCCAGTCAGTAAATGGCAATTCAATATGGAGAAGTTGTTACAACACTAAAGTTTTATTGTACTGATTAAACTAAATGTATATTAAATATATAAGATATATGTAATCTGTAATAGGAGGAATCAATTTGGAATATGTCATGTTATAGTCACACAAATTTTTGCACTAATATTCTCTGACATCTATTGACATGGCTTTTATTCTTTCCATGTGGGTATCTCCTGAATTTAGATCCTTGGCCACATGTCTGATAACACAAACTCAGAATGTTCAAAATTCAATTCATTTTCTTCTTAAGGCTTTATTTCTGTTAATGTCATCACCAGTATCCAAATCACACAGATTAAGAATCTCAGTCAAAACAATCTCACTCATTCAACAAATATTTAAGAATATATTGGCTAGACGCGGTGGCTCACACCTGTAATCCCAGCAAAACTCTGTCTCTTTAAACAAACAAACAAACAAAAAGTTGGCTGTGTGCGGTGACTCACACCTGTAATCCCAGCACTTTGGGAGGCCGAAGCAGGCAGATCACAAGGTCAGGAGTTCAAGATCAGCCTGGCCAACATGGTGAGACCCTGTCTCTACTAAAAATACAGAAATTAGCTGGGCTTGGTAGTTGACACATGTAATCCCAAGGCTGAGGCAAGAGAATCATTTGAACCCAGGAGGTGGGGGCTGCAGTGAGCCGAGATCATGCCATTGCACTCCAGCCTGGGTGACAGGACGAGACTCCGTCTCAAAAAAATATATATATATTATGTGCCAGCCACTGTACTAGATACTTCAGATATATCATGAGGAAAATAAAAATCATTATCCTAGTGTAGTTAACATTATTACGTTTTCTTTCTTTCCACTCATGCATGTACAGATCTGATACAGTCAATTCCACTGCCACATCCTCTTTTGCCTTCATAATCTCCTATCCATCTAAACTATTTCAACAGAATTTTAACTGGTTTAACCACCTATGAGTTTTGATCTCTCTGACAGATCTTACAAAATGCTGCCAAATCAATCTTCCCAAAGCAGTAGCCCGATTCTCCTACCCAAAAACTTGCAAAGATTTCCTCAGGGCCACAAAATAAAGTCCATACTCCTCTGCTGGCCTCTAAAACACAAAGAATGGTCCAATCTACCTTTCTAGGCTTATCTTTCAAAATGGAAAAAACCACTTTGATTTTCATAATCTAACCCTCAAAACAAAATAAATTACATATTACTCATTTTAGAGACCTCAGTATTTCTTCTATCTTTGCCTTTTTTTACTGTTGCCTCCACCTGGAATCCCTTCCCTTTATCCCCATCTTTTAATCCATCTTGTAAATCTTAACCATCCTTCAAGATCCAGGTCAAATTGCCAACATAGTCAAAGTACTAAAAGAGAAAAACTATCAACCAAGAATCCTATGTTCAGCAAAAACGTCCTTCAAAATTGAGGGAGAAATTAGGACATTCTCAAACAGCTGAAGAAGTTTGTTACTACTAGGTTTGCCCCTGTAAGAAATATTTAAGAGAATCCTGCAAAATGAAATGAAAGAACACTAGACAGTAACTCAAAGCTGTATAAAGAAATAAAAGTTCTCAATAAAGATAAATATATGGGCAGTTATAAAAGCTGGTATTATTGTAACAACAGTTCTTAACTACATTTTTTATTTTCTACATGATTTAAGAGTCTAACACATTCAAAAGAATTATTATTTTAAGTTTCTGGGCACACAGTATATAAAAATGTAATTTTATGACATCTGCACAACTGAAAGTGATGAAGATGGAGTTGTAAAGAAGCAGTTTTTGTATGTTATTGAAGTTAAGCTGGTAAAAATTCAAATTAGAGTGTTTTAACTATATGATGTTAAATGTACTCCTCATGGTAACCACAAAGAAAATATTTATAGTCCACACAAAAGCAAATGAAAAAGAAATGTAAACATTTCACTACAAAAAATCAACTAAACACATAAGGAGGAAATAAGGGCCAAAAAAATCTATAAAGAATATAGAAAATTGGAAAATGACATAATTACACCTTGTATCAGTAATTACTTTAGATGTAAATGAATTAAATTCTCCAATGAAAAAACAGAAATTGGCAGAACAGATAAAAAATACATGATTCAACTATAAGCTTCTACAAGACACTTTAGATCTAAAGACACAAACAAATTGAAAGTGAAAGGATGGAAATAGATACTTTGTACAAATAGTAACAACAAAGATTTTAAGAAAAACTTAAAAGACACAAAGGAGAATATCATATTTTTTTAAAGGTTCAATACAGCAAGAAAATATAACATTTACAGTAGTCACCCCTCATACAGTTTCACTTTCCACAGTTTTGTTTACCCATAATACAGTACATTAAGATATTTTAAGAGACAGAGACCACATTCACATAACTTTTATCACGGTATATTGTTGTAACTGTTCTATATTATTATTAGTTATTATTGTTAATCTCTTACTGTGTCTAATTTATAAATTAAACTTCATCATACATATATATGTATGGGAAAAAACATAGTACCTATAGGGTTTGGTACTATCCATGGTTTCAAGTATCCACTGGGGGTCTTGGAACATCCCCCATGGAGAAGCAGGAACTACTGTATAAACATTTATACGCAGTGGCTCACATCTGTAATCCCAGCACTTTGGGAGGCCAAGCCAGGCAGATCACCTGAGGTCAGGAGTTTGAGACCAGCCTGGCCAACATGGTGAAACCCGTCTCTACTAAATGGTGGTGCATGCCTGTAAATCCCAGCTACTCAGGAGGCTGAGGTAGGAGAATTGCTTGAACCCGGAAGGCGGAGGTTGCAGTGAGCCAAGATTGCGCCACTGCACTCCAGCCTGGGAGACACAGCGAGACTCCATCTCTACAAAAAAAGAAAAAAACAAAACAAAACAAAACAAAATTTATACACTAAAGACAGACCATCAGAATATATGGAGCAAAAATTAACAGAATTGAAGAGAAAAAAATACATACTTATACAATAATAGCTGGAGACTTCAATATCTCTCGACCAATAATAGATAAAATAACCAGACAGCAGACATACATGTAACACTCTACCCAATGACAACAGCATATGCATTCTTTTCAAGTGCATGTGGTACATTTTCCAGGATAGATTATTTGTTAGGCCAGAAATTAAGCCTCAATAGATTTTTTTTTTTTTTTTTTTTAGACAGAGTTTCGCTCTTGTTGCTCAGGCTGGAATGCAATGGTGCGATCTCAGCTCTCTGCAACCTCTGCCTCCCGGGTTCAAGCGATTCTCCTGCCTCAGCCTCCCAAGTAGCTGGGATTACAGGCGCCTGCCAGCAGCCCAGCTAATTTTTATATTTTTAGTAGAGATGGGATTTCACCATGTTGGCCAGGCTGGTCCTGAACTCCTGACCTCAAGTGATCTACCCACCTCGGCCTCCCAAAGTGCTGGGATTACAGGTGTGAGCCACCGTGCTCAGTCTCAATAGACTTTAAAAGAAATAATCATACAAAGAAAGTATTTTCTCTGATCATAACAGTATGAAATTAGAAATCAATTAACAGAAATAAAACTTGAAAATTCACAAAATTATGGAAAGTAAACAACACATACTTCAATAACTCATGGATCAAAGAAGAAATCACAAGGAAAATTGTAAAACATTTAGAGAGGAATGAAAATAAAAACACAACATACCAAAACCTATGAGACACTGTGAAAGCAGTGTTAGGGGCAAATTTATAGCTGTGAATGGATTTCAAATTCAAATTTCAAATGGATTTCAAACCTAACATGACAACTTAAGGAACTAGAAAAAGAAGAACAAACTAAATCCAAGGGTAACAGAAAGAGGGAAACAGGCTGGGTGCAGTGGCTCACGCCTGTAATCCCAGTGCTTTGGGAGGCTGAGGCAGGCAGATCACTTGAGGTCAGGAGTTCAAGACCAGCCTGGCCAACATGGTGAAACCCCGTCTCTACTAAAAGCCCACAAATTAGCCAGACGTGGTGGCATATGCTTGTAATCCCAACTACTTGGGAGGCTGAGGCAGGTGAATCACTTGAGCCCAGAAGGTGGAGGTTGCAATTGACTGAGATCACACCACTGCACTCCAGCCTAGGCAACAGAGCAAGACTCTGTCTTAAAAAAAAAAAAAAAAAAAAAAAGATAGAGGGAAATAAATATGAAAGCAAAGATAAATAAAAAAAATAGAGAATAGAAAAACAATAGAGAAAAATTAATGAAACCAAAAGTGGGTTCTTTGAAATGATTAACAAAACTGACAAACCTTTAGCCGGATGGACTGAGAAATAAAAGAGAGAAGACACAAATTGCTAAAATCAGAAATGAAAGTAAGGACATTACTACTGATTCTATAGAAATAAAAAGTATTATAAAAGAGTACTGTGAACAACTATGCACCAAAAAATTGGATAATCCAGATGAAATGGACAAATTCCTAGGAAGGTAAAACCTGTTAAGACTAAACCATGAAGAAACAGAAAATCTGAACAGATCTATAAATAGTAAGAAGATTGACTCCATAATTCCAACAAAGAAAAGCCCTGGACCTCATGGCTCTTTGGTGAATTCTACCCAACATTTAAAGAATATCAACCCTTCCCAAACTTTTCCAAAAAACTGAACAGGAGGAAATGCTTCCTAACTCATGCTATGAGGCCAGTATTACTTTGATACCAAAGTCAGACAAATACGCTACAAGAAAACAAAACTATGGGCAAATATCTCCAATGAACTTTGATGCAAAAATCCTCAACAAAATACTAGAAAACCAAAATCAGCATCATATTAGAAGGATTATACACCATGACCAAGTGGGATTTATTACTGAAATAATTCCTGTGTTGAAATGATAGTTCAACACAGGAAAATCAATCAATGTAATACACCACATTAACAGAATGAAGGGGGGATATCACATGATCACTTGAATTGATAAACACATTTGACAAAATCATGATTAAAAAAAAATTCAAAAGACTAGGTATAGAAACTACCTCAAGATAATAAAGCCATATCTGAAAAACCCACAATGAATGGTGAAAGACTGAAATTTGACCAGGCTCAGTGGCTCATGCCTGTAATCCCAGTAAGGGGAAGCCAAGGCAGGCAGATCGCTTGAGTTCAGGAGTTTGAGACCAGGCCATGCAACATAATGAAACCCTGTCTCTACAAAAAAAATACAAAAATTAGCCAAGTGTGGCATGCACCTGTAGTTCCAGCAACTCGGGAGCCTGAGGTGGGAGGAAAACTTAAGCCTGGGAGGTGGAGGTTGCAATAAGCCAAGATTGCGCCACTGCACTCCAGCCTGGGTGACAGAGTGAGACCTTGTCATGGAAAAAAAAAAAAAGACTGAAAATGGTTTCCTCTAAGATCAGGAACAAGGAAAAGATGCCCATTTTCATCATTTCTGTTCAATGTAAGTTCTAGCCAGGGCAATTAGGCAAGAAAAAGAAATGAGAGACATCCAAACTGGAAAGTAAAATTATCTGTATTTGCATATGCTAATTTTATATGTAGAAAAACCTAAAGATTCCACACCAAAAAAAGAAAAACTAATCAATGAATTCAGCAAAGTAGCTGATACAAAGCTGACGCAAAGTGGGATATGAAGTCAACATGCAAAAATCAGTTGCATTTCTATACACTAACAACCAACAATCTGAAAAGGAAACAACAAATTGCAGAAACAATCTGAAAATGACAGCAATTCCATTTAACAATAGCATCGAAAAGAATAAAATACTTAGTAATTAACTTACCCAAATAAGGGAAAGACATGTACAATATAAAGAAGAAAATGTTGCTGAAAGAAATGAAAGACAAATAAATGGAAACACATCCTACGTTCATGTGTATTATAAGACTCAATATTGTTAAGATGTCAATACTACTCAAAGCGATCTACAATTCAGTCCAGTACCTATCGAAATCCTAAACATCTTTCTTGCAGAAATGGAAAAACCCCATTGTCAAATTCATATGGAATCTCAAGGGACGCTGAACAGCTACAAGAATCTTGAAGAAGCACAAAGCCAGAGGACTCACACTTCCTGATTTCCAAACTTACTACAAAGCTACAATAATCCAAATAGTATAGTACTGACATAAAGTTAAACCAGTGGAATACAGTCCACAAATAAACCCTCCTATATACGGTCAAATAAATTTTTATGAGGGTGCCAAGATCACCCAATGGAGAAAACAGTCTTTTCAACAAATAGTACTGGGAAAATTGGATATCTATACCCAAAAGAAGGAAGGTGGACCCTTACCTAACACCACACACAAAAATTAACTCAAAAATCATAGTTAGGGGAGGCAGAGCAAGATGGTAGAACAGAAGCCTCCATCAATCATCATCCCCACAGGAACATCAAATTTAATGACTATCTACACAAAAAAAGCCTTCATATGAATCAGAAATCAGTTGAGTAAACACAGTAACTGGTTTTTACTCTGTATCACTGAAAAGAGGCACTGAAGAAGGTAGGACGGACAATCTTGAATTGCTGACACTACCCCTCCCCCAAACCCCAGCAGTGTGGCCAGCTGTGTGGCACAGAGAGAGAATCTCTGCACTTGAGGGAGGGAGAGTGCAGCAATTGTGAGACTTCACATTGGAACCCAGTGCTGCCAACACTGGGCTGAATTCAGCCAGCACCCATGGAAGGAGCATTTAGTCCAGCCCTAGCCAGAAAGGAATAGCCTATCCTAGTAGCAGGAACTTGAGTTTCAGCAAGCCTTTCCACCAAGGGCTAAAGTGCTCTGGCACTCTAAATAAACATGAAAGACTGTCTAGGCCAGTGGTTCCCAATCCCCAAGGCCCTGGACCAGTAATGGTCTTTGGCCTGTTAGGAACCAGGCCACACAGCAGGAGGTAATATGGTTTGGCTGTGTCCCCCACCCAAAATCTCATCTTGAATTGAAATTCCCATAATCCCCACGAATGTCAAGGGTGGGACCAGGTGGAGGTACTTGGATCACGGCGGCGGTTTTCCCCATGCTGTTCTTGCGATAGTGAGTGAGTCTCATGAGGTCTGATGGTTTTATAAGCGTCTGGCATTTCCCTTGCTTGCACTCACTCCATCCTGCCACCCTTTGAAAAAGGTGTTTACTTCTCCTTTGTCTTCCACCACAATTGTAAGATTCCTAAGACCTCCTCAGCAATGGGAAACTGTGAGTCAATTAAACCTCTTTCCTTTATATTTAATAATTGGATATTTCTTCATAACAGTGTGAGAATGGATGAATATAGGAAGTGCGAGGTGGGCAAGTGAGCATTACTGCCTGAGCTCCACCTCCTATCAGATCAGCGGCAGCATTAGATTCTCACAGGAGCACGAACTCTTGTGAACTGCACATGGAAGAGATTCTAGGTTGTATGCTCCTTGTGAGACTCTAATGCCTGATGATCTGAGGTAGAACAGTTTCATCCGGAAACCATTTCTCTTCCTCCACCCCATGAAAAAACTGACTTCCATGAAACCAGCCCCTGGTGCTAAAAATGTCGGGGAATGCTGGTCTAGGCCACAAGGACTGCAACTCTTAGGCAGGACCCTGTGCTGTGCTAGGATCAGAGCCAGTCGACTGGGGGGACACGTGACCTAGTAAGACAGCAGCCAGGGCAACTAAGGGGGTGCTCATGTCATCTGTCTCCCAGTGCCAGGCAGCAAGGCTTGAAGCTCCAAAAGAAACCCCTTCCTTCTGTGTGAAGAGAGGGTAGGGAAGAGTAAAGAGGACTTCATCTTGCAACTGGGATACCAACTGAGCTACAGTAGGAAAGGACACTGGGCAGTGTCACGAGGCCCCCCATTCCAGGCCCTGGCTCTCAGACAACATTTCTAGACACACCCTTGACCTGAAGGGAACCAGCTGCCTTGAAGGGAAAAACCTAGTTCTGGCAGGATTCATCATCTGCTGAACACAGAACCCTTGGGCCCTGAATAAGCAGCAGTGGTAAACAGGTAGTATACACCATGGGCCTTGGGTGAGACTCTGAGACATGCTGGCTTCACGTGTAAGCCGGCACATTCACAGCTGTGGTGGCTATGAGGAGGGACCACTTCAGCTTGAGAAAAACAGAGGGAAGAGCAAAAGGAACTTTGTCTTGAGCTTAGGTACCAGCTCATCGACAGTAGGAAAGAGCACTAAGCAGGCTTTTGGGGTCCCCAATACCAAGTCTTGGCTCTTAGACAGCATCTCTAGACCTACCCTGTGCCAGAGGGGAGTCCACTGACCTGAAGCGTGAGTCCCAGGCCTGGCAGCATTCACCACAAACTAAATGAAGAGCGCTTGGGCCATAAGTGCACATTGGTGGTACCCTGGCAGTATTTCCTGTGGCCCTATAGTGTTGGTGGACATGGGGAGACTCCTCTGCCTGAGAAAAGGGAAGGAAAGAGTAGAAAGAACAATGGTTTCAGCGCCTGCTCAGCCGAGGTAGAAAAGAGCACCAGGTAGATTTCTAAGGTTTCAGAATGCAAGCCCTGGCTCCCAGAGAGCATCTCTGGACCTGCCCGGGGACTTGGGGAACTTGCCACCCTTAAGAGAAGAACACAAGCCTGGCTGGATTCACTACCTGCTGAATATAGAGCCCTAGGTCCTTGAGCAAATATAGGTAATAGGCAGGTGGTGGTTATAGCAGTCCTTCAGAAACATCCAGTGTTGCGCTAGCTTCGGGTCTGACCCAGTGTGGTCCCAGTGATGGTGGCCCAAGGGGTGCTTGAGTCACCCATCACCAAGCTCCAGGCACCTCAGCACAGAAAGATAAACTCTGTTTATCTAGGACAAAGTAAAAGATGAGAACAAGAGTCTCTACCTGACAATCCAGAGAATTCTTCTGGCTCTTATCCAAGACCACCAAGGTGGTACACCTCTATGAGTCTGCAAGAACCACAATGTTACTGGGCTTGGGGAACCCCCTAATGCAGATAACAGATGCAGTCACTAAAAACTTATATCACTACACCCAAGTCTCTTTGAATACCTGGAAAGCCATTGCAAGAAGGGTGGGTATAAACAAACACAGATTGCAAAGACTACAATAAATAACTCTTGAATGCCCAAACACCAACGAACAATCCACAAACTCAAGACATCCAGGAAAACATGACCTCACCAAAGGAACTAAATAAGGCACCAGGAACCAATTCCAGAGAAATGGAGATATGAGACCTTTCAGATAGAATTCAAACCAGCTGTTTTGAGGAAACTCCCAAGAAATTCAAGATAAAGCAGAGGAGGAATTCAGAACCCTATCAGATAAATTTAACAAAGAAACTCAAATAATGAGAAAGAATCATGCAGAAATTCTGGAGTTGAAAATGCAACTGACATACTGAAGAATGCATTAGAGTCTCTTAATAACAGAAGTGATCAAGCAAAAAAAATAGTGAGCTTAAAGACAGGCTATTTGTAAACACACAGTCAGAAGAGATGAAAGAAAAAGGAATAAAAAAAGTAAAGCATGCCTACAAGATCTAGACAAGAACCTCAAAAGGGCAAATCTAAGAATTACTGGCCTTAAAAAGGAGGTGGAGAGAGACTTGGGGTAGAAAGTTTATTCAAAGAGATAATAACAGAGAACTTCCTAAAGCTAAAGAAGGATATCAATATTCAACTACAAGAAGGTTATAGAACACCAAGCAGAATTAAACCAAAGAAGATTACCTTAAGGCATTTAATAATTAAACTCCCAAAGGTCAAGGATAAAGAAACGATCATAAAAGCAGCAAGAGAAAAGAAACAAATAACATACAATGGAGCTCCAATACATCTGGCAGCAGACTTTTCAGTGGAAACCTTACAGACCAAGAGAGTGGCATGACACATTTAAAGTACTGAAGGAAAAAAACTTTCATCCTAAAATAGTATATCTGACAAAAATATCCTTCAAATATGAAGAAGAAATAAAGCCTTTTCCGGTCAAATAAAAGCTGATTATTTCATCTGGAATAACAAAATAAAAATAAAAGATTATTTCAGGGCAAATAAAAGGTTTCACCAACACCAGAACTGTTCTGTAAGAAATGCTAAAAGAAGTTCTTCAACCAGAAAAAAAAAGGACAAGAATGAGCAGTAAGAAATCATCTCAACATACAAAACTTACTGGTAATAGTAAGTACACAGACTATTATAACACTGTTATTGTGGTGTGTAAACTACTCATATCTGAAGTAGAAAGATGAAAAGATGAACTGATCAAAAATAATAACTACAACAACTTTTCAACACATAGTAAAATAAGATATAAATAGAAACAAAGTTAAAAAGTGGGGAGACAAAGTTAAAGTGTAGAGTTTTTATTAGTTTTCTTTTTGCTTCCTTTTTTATGCAGTCAGTGTTGTCATCAGTTTAAAATAACGAGGGTTTTTTTGTTGTTTTGTTTTGTTTTTGAGACAGAGTCTCATTCTGTCATCCAGTCTGGAGTGTAGTGGCATGATCTTGGCTAACTGCAACTTCCACCTCCTGGGTTCAAGCGATTCTCCTGCCGCAGCCTCCTGATTAGCTGGGACTACAGGTACGTGCCACCATGCCCAGCTAATTTTTGCATATTTTTTTTAGTACAGACTGGGTTTCACCATGTTAGCCAGGCTGGTCTTGAACTCCTGACCTCAGGTGATCTGCCCCCCTTGGCCTCCCAAAGTGCTGGGATTACAGGCGTGAGCCACCACACCCAGTCAGTTTAAAATAATGAGTTATTAGATAATATTTACAAGCCTCATGGTAACCTCAAATCAAAAAACATACCACACACACACACACACACACACACACACACACACACACACACGAAAAATTAAAACATACCAGCAGAGAAAATCACCTTCACTAAAAAGAATACAGGAAGGAAGGAAAGAAGGAAGAGACTACCAGAAAACAAATAACGAAATGGCAAAAGTCCTTACTTATCAGTAATAATACTGAACATAAATGGAGTTTAAGAGTGATTGAATGGGTTAAAAAAAACAAGACCCTGTTTTTTTTTAACAAGATCTGTTGCCTACAAGAAACACGCTTCACCTATAAAGACACTCTAAGACTGAAAATAAAGGAATGGAAAAAGATTATTCCATGCCAATAGAAACCAAAAAAGAGCAGGAGTAGCTACAGAAAATACAAAATACACCAAAGATTCCAAAACAAAAAATATAAGAATAGATAAAAATGGTCACTATATAATAAGAAGGTCAATTCAGAAACAGGCTATAACAATTATAAATATATATGCATGAAACACTGGAGCACCCAGATATATACAGCAAATATTATTAGAGCTAAAGAGAGAGATAAACTCCAGTACAGTAAGAACTGGAGATCTCAACACCCCACTTTCAGCACTGGACAGATGATCAAGACAGAAAATCAACAAAGAAATGTCAGACTTAATCTGCACTACAGACCAAATGGACCTAATAGATATTTACAGAACATTTCATCCAATGGCTGCAGAATACACATTCTTCTTCTCAGCACATGGATCATTCTCAAGGATAGACCATATGTTAGGCCACAAAATAAGTCTTCAAACATTCAAAAAAACTGAAATAATATCAATTATCTTCTCTGACCACAACGGAATAAAACTAGAAATCAATAACAAGAGAAATTTTAGAGACTATACAAACACATGAAAATGAAACAATATGCTCCTGAATGACCAGTGGCTCAATGAACAGATTAAGAAGAAAAGGGAAAAATTTATTGAAACAAATGATAATGGAAACACAACATACCAAAACCTATGGGAAACAGCAAAAGAAGTACTAAGAGGAAAGTTTATAGCTATAAGTGCCTACATCAAAAAAGAAGAAAAACTTCAAATAACCTATTGATGCATCTTAAAGAACTACAAAAGCAAGAGTTAACCAAACCCAAAGTTACCAGAAGAAAAGAAATAATAAAGATCAGAACAGAAATAAATGAAATTAAAATATAAAATTAATGAAACAAAAAGTTGGTCTTTTGCAAAGATAAACAAAATTGACAAACCTTTCAGCCAGACTAAGAAAAAAAGAGAAGATCCAAATAAATAAAATCAGAGATAAAAAAGGAGATGATACAACCAATACCACAGAAATTCAAAGGATCACTGAAGGCTACTATGAGCAACTATATGCCAGTAAGATGGAAAATCTAGAGAAAATGGATAAATTCCTAGACACATACAACCAAACAAGAGTGAACCATGAAAAAATTCAAAACCTGAACAGACCAATAACAAGTAAGAAGATTGAAGCTGTAATAAAAAGTCTCCCAGCAAAGAAAACACTGGGACCCAATGGTTTCACTGCTGAAATCTACCAGATGTTTAAAGAACAACTAATACCAATCCTACTCACACTACTCCAAAAAATAGAGGAAGAGGGAATACTTCCAAAACTCATTCTATGAGGTCAGTTATTATCCTGACACCAAAACCAGAAAAAGACCCCATCAAAAAAAGAAAACTAGGCTGGGCGTGGTGGCTCACGCCTGTAATCCCAGCACTTTAGGAGGCTGAGGCAGGTGGATCACGAGGTCAGGATTTCAAGACCAACCTGGCCAAGATGGTGAAACCCCACCTCTACTAAAAATACAAAAATTAGCCAGGCATGGTGGCAGGTGCCTGTAATCCCAGCTACTCGGGAGGCTGAAGCAGGAGAATCGCTTGAACCCGGCGGGGGGTGGGGGGTGGGGGTGCGGTGGCTGGGGGGTGTGGTGGGTGGTGGTGGTGGAGGTTGCAGTGAGCTGAGATTGCACCACTGCACTCCAGCCTGGGCAACAGAGAGGGAGGAAGGGAGGAAGGGAGGAAGGGAGGAAGGGAGGAAGGGAGGGAAGAAGGAGGGAAGAAGGAAGGAAGGAAGGAAGGAAGGAAGGAAGGAAGGAAGGAAGGAAGGAAGGAAGGACGGAAGGACGGACGGAAGGACGGAAGGACGGAAGGAAGGACGGAAGGAAGGAAGGAAGACAGACTACAGGCCAATATCCCTAGTGAACACTGATGGGAAAGAAGGGAGGGAGGGAGGGAGGGAGGGAGGGAGGAAGGAAGGAAGGAAGGAAGGAAGGAAGGAAGGAAGGAAGGAAGGAAGGAAGGAAGACTGACTACAGGCCAATATCCCTAGTGAACACTGATGGGAAAGAAGGAAGGAAAGGAGGGAGGGAGGGAAGGAGGGAGGGAGGAAGGGAGGGAGGGAGGGAGGAAGGAAGGAAGGAAGGAAGACTGGCTACAGGCCAATATCCCTAATGAACATTGATGTAAAAATCCTCAACAAAATAC
This sequence comes from Homo sapiens, assembly GCF_000001405.40. NCBI lineage: Eukaryota > Metazoa > Chordata > Mammalia > Primates > Hominidae > Homo > Homo sapiens. The sequence goes on along the minus strand of NC_000001.11, from coordinate 180,659,013 downwards.
TAGCAAACCAAATTCAACAACACATTTAAAAGATCATTCATCACAACCAAGTGAGATTTATCCCAGGAATGCAAGGATGGTTCAACATCTACAAATCAATGTGATACATCATATCAACAGAGTAAAGGATAAAAACCATATGATCGGCCGGGTGCAGTGGCTCACTCCTGTAATCCCAGCACTTTGGGAGGCCGAGGCGGGTGGATCACGAGGTCAGGAGATTGAGACCATCCTGCCTAACACGATGAAACCCCGTCTCTACTAAAAATACAAAAAAAAAAAAAAGCTGGGCATGGTGGCGGGCGCCTGTAGTCCCAGCTTCTCGGGAGGCTGAGGCAGGAGAATGGTGTGAACCTGGGAGGCGGAGCTTGCAGTGAGCCAAGATCGCGCCACTGCACTCCAGCCTGGGAGACAGTGGCGAGACTCCGTCTCAAAACAAAACAAAACCAAACAAAAAAAAACCATATGATCACTTTGGTTGATGTTGAAGAAGCATTTGATAAAATTCAACATCCTCTCATAATAAAAACCCTCAAAAAACTCGGTATAGAAGAAGCATACCTCAACACAATAAAAGCCATACACAACAGACTTACAGCTAGTATTATACTGAATGGGGAAAAACTGAAAGCCTTTCCTCTAAGATCTGAAACATGATGAGGATGCCCACTTTCACCATTGTTGTCCAACATAGCACTAGAAGTGCTAGCTAGAGCAATCAGACAAGAGAAAGAAATAAAGGGCATCCAAGCTAGAAAGAAAGAAGTCAAACTATTCATGTTTGCAGATGATATGATCTTATAATTGGAAAAACCTAAACATTCCACCGAAAAGACTATTAGAATTGCTAAACAAATGCAGTAAAGTTGCAGGATACAAAATCGACATGCAAAAATCAGTAGCATTTCTGTATGTCAACAGCAAACGATCTGAAAAAGAAATCAAGAAAGCAATCCCATTTACAATAGCTACAAATAAAATTAAATACCTAGGAATTAACCAAAGAAGTGATAGATCTCTACAATGAAAACTATAAAACATTGATGAAAGAAACTAAAGAGGACACACATGCAAAAAATGGAAAGATATTCCATGTTCATGGATTGGAAGAATCAATATTGTTAAAATGTCCATATTACCCAAAGCAATCTACAGATTCAATGCAATCTCTATCAAAATATCAATGACATTCTTCACAGAAATAGAAAAAAAATCCTAAAATTTATATGAAACCATAAAAGACTCAGAATAGCCAAAGCAATCCTGAGCAAAAAGAAAACTGGAGGAATCACATCACCTGACTTCAAATTATACTACAGAGCTATAGTGACCAAAATAGCATGGTACTAGCATAAAAACAGACACACAGAACAATGGAAAAGAATAAGGAATCCAGAAACAAATCCATACATCTAAACTGAACTCATTTTCAACAAAGGTGCCAAGAACATACATTGGAGAAAGGACAATCTCTTCAGTAAGTGGTACTGGGAAAACTGGATATACCCATGCAGAAGAACAAAACTAGACCCCATCTCTCACCATATACAAAAATCAAATAAAAGTGGATTAAAGGCTTAAATCTAAAACCTCAACCTATGAAACTACTAAAAGAAAACACTGAGGAAAGTCTCCAGGACACTGAACTAGGCTAAGATTTCTTGAATACCCCACAAGCACAGGCAACCAAAGCAAAATGGACAAATGGGATCACATCAAGTTAAAAATCTTCTGCACAGCAAAGGAAACAATCAACAAAATGAAGAGACATCCCACAGAATGGGAAAAAATATTTCCTATAATAACTCTATAGGAAAAAAAATCTAATAATCCAATTAAGAAATGGACCAAAGATCTGAACAGACATTTCTCAAAAGAAGAAATGCAAATGGCAAACAGGCATATGAAAAGGTGCTCAACATCACTGATCATCAGAGAAACGCAAATCAAAACTACAATGAGATATCATCTCACCCCATTTAAAATGAATTATATCCAAAAACAGGCAATAATAAATGCTGGCAAGGATGTGGAGAAAAGGGAACCCTCAAACGCTATTGGTGGGAATGTAAATTAGTACATCCACTATGGAGAACAGTCTGGAGCTTCCTCAAAAACTAAAAATATAACTACCATATAATCCAGCAATCCCACTGCTAGGTATATACCTGGAATAAAGAAAATCAGTATATCTAAGAGACATCTGCACTCCCACATTTGTTGCAGCACTGTTCACAATAGCCAAGATTTGGAAGCAACCCAAGTGTCTGTCAACAGATGAATGGATAATGAAAATATTTTATATATATATATAAAATACATATATATTATATAATTATATATAATATAAATTATATATTATATATAATAATATATTATACATACATATATAAAATATATTATACATACATATATAAAATATATATTATACATACATATATAAAATATATATTATACATATAAATATATAAATATTATATATAATATATAAATATTATATATAAATATTATATATAATATATAAATATTATATATAATGTATAAATATTATATATAAATATATAAATATTTATATATAAATATATAAATATTTATATATAAATATATAAATATTTATATATAAATACATGAATATTATATATAAATATTATATATATAAATATTAAATATATAAATATTATATATATAAATATTATATATATAATGGAGTACTATTCAGTCATTAAAAAGAATGAGACTTGGCATCTGTAACAACAGGGATGGAACTGGAAGTCATTATGTTAAGTCAAAAAGGCCAGGCACAGAAAGACAAACTTTGCATCTTCTCACTTATTTGTGGAAGCTAAAAATTAAAACCATTGAACTCATGGAAATACAGAGTAGAAGGATAGTTACCAGGGGCTCAGAAGGGTATTGGGGGGCAGATAGTTAATGGGTACCAAAAAATAGTTATAAAAACTGAATAAGATCTAGTATTTGATAACACAACAGGTTGACTATAGTCAATAATTTCATTGTACATTTTAAAATAACTAAGAGAGGATAATTAGATTGTTTGTAAGAGAGAGAATAGCTGTTTGAAGTGAGGAATACCTCATTTACCCTGACAAATATTACACACTGTATGCCTGTATCAAAATATGCTATATACTCCATAAATATATACACCTACTATGCATCCACAAAAATTAAAAATTAAAAAAAGATGGTACTCAGTAATCAAGGATAATAAAAATTGGGCAATTTTTTTTAAAAATTAACTCAAAAAGGATAAAAGACCTAAATGTAAGACTTAAAGCTATAAAACTCTAAAAAGAAAGCACAGGACAAAAGTTTCACAATACTGGATCTAGCATAAGACACCAAAGGCATAGGCAACAAGAACAAAAATAGACAAATTGGACTTCATGAAAATTTTTTAAAATTGTATATCAAAAGACACTATTTTAGCCAGGTATGAAGGTGCACGACTATAGTCCCAGCTACTCAGGAGGCTGAGGTGGGAGGATAGGCTGAGTCCAGGAGGCAGAGGTTGCAGTGAGCCAAGATCGCACCACCACACTTCAGCCTGGGTGACAGAATGAGACCCTGTCTCAAAAAAAAAAAAAAAAAAGAGAGAGAGAGAGACTATCAACAGAATTGAAAAGCAACCCATTGAATGGGAGAAAATAGTTACAAATCATATATCTGATAAGGGGTTCATATCCAGAATAGATAGAGAACTCCTAAAACTCAACAATAAAAAACAATCCAATTCGAAAATGGACAAAAGACTTGAACAGATATTTCTCCAATGAAGAAATAACCAAACTAACCACATAAAAAGATGCTCAGCATCACTAATCATTAGGGAAGTGCATATCAAAACTACAATGAGATACCATATTCATTTGATAGGATGGCTACTGCTTAAAAAAAGAACAGGAAATAAGTGTTGGCAAAAAGGTGGAGAAATTGTGCACTGTTGGTGGAAATGTAAAATGGTACAGCTGCTGTGGAAAACACTATGGTGGTTCCTCAAAAAATTAAAACTATAGATTTTGATTTTTTATAAGATCTAGTAATTATACTTCTGAGTATATACCCAAAGGTACTGAAACCAGGATCTCAGATAGATATTTGTACACTTGTGTTCAAATAGCTCTTTGAACACAGAGAGATATTTTGCCTTCGTATTTTAGCATTCACAATAGCTAAACATGAAGGCAACCCAAGCGTCTTTCAATTATATTCATATAGTAGAATAATATTCAGCCTTAAAAAGGAAAGAAATTCTACATTATGCACAACATAGATGCACCTTGAGGACATTACACTAAGTGATGTAATGCATCACAAAATTACAAATACTGTATGATTCTACTTATATGAGGTACTTAGAGCAGTCAAAATCATGAAGACAGAAAGTAGAATGGTGGTTGCCAGGAACTAGAGGGAGGACTAAATAGGGAGTTGTTGTTTAAGAGGAAAGAGTTTAGGTTTTACAAGATGAAAAGAATTGAGATGGATGGTAGAGACGGTTGCACAACAATATGAAAATACTTAATGCCACTGAACTGTACTTAAAAATGATTAAGGTGATAAATTTTATATTATGCATATTTTACCACAATTTTTAAAAAGCCTTCAGGGACAAGCATTTCAAGAAGGAATAGATATTAAAAACTATTAAAAGTTGCTTAGAATCAAAGAAGATGAGAAGAGGTGATTAGATCTGAGGATTATTGCTCTCTAGCAACTTGCAAGAAAGTAGTTTTAGTAGAGTGATGGGGCAGAAGCTAGGTTAGATTAGGCTGACCACACGAGAGCTGAGACCATGATGGCCACAAATACTTATCAATAGTAAAACTAATAATAGTTAACATTTATTGAATGCCTACTCTCAGATAATGTTCTGAATATTTTAAACACACTACTTTAACAGAAACTTATAATTCTTTGAGGTAAACAATTCCCATTTTACCACTGGAAGATCTGAGACTCAGAAAGGTTATTAAAGTACAGTAGTACCCCCTTATCCGAGGTTTCGCTTTCCTCAGTTTCAGTTACCCATGGTCAACCAAAGTCCAAAAATACAAGTGGAAAATTCCAGAAGCAAATAATTCATGTTTTAGATTTCACACCATTCTGAGTAGCATGTAGTATATCCACGCTATATAGGATACCCACCAATTAGTCACTTAGTAGTCAATGCAGTTACCAGATCAACGTTAACGGTATTTTTTTGCAGTGCTTATATTCAAAGTAACCATTACTTTACTCAGTAATGGCCTCAAAGTACAAGAGTGATGATTCTGGCGTATTATTTTAATTGTTCTATTTTATTATTAATTGTTGTTAATCTCTTATTGTGCCTAATTTATTAAACTTTATCATAGGTATGTATGTATAGAAACAATCATTGCATTAATATGGAGTTCAGTATTATCCATGGTTTTAGGCATCCACTGGGGGTCCTGGAATGTATCCCCTGTGGATAAGGGGGGGACTACTGTACCTTGCCCAATAATTGCCAAGTATTTCTCATTCTATAATCCATGCTTCTTTGAGAAAGACAACAGAATAGCCCACTAATTTGAAGTGCCATCTTACTTTCTAAAATTTACCTCTTACTTTAGGCCTCTCAATTTACCAATATTTCCCCTTTTATTTCCAAGACTTTTCTATACCATTAGATTTGTATATCAGGTGGACCCTAGCCTCTGAAATGACATCACCTTCCACCTCCCAATGATTTTTACCTCTACAATATTCTACTGATTATACAGGTTAGCCCTGTACAGGTAAAGCTAACCCTGTACAGGTTAGCCTTGTATCTGTACAATCAGAATATTGTACAAATAACAAGAGAATGACTTCCAAGGCTAGGTCATAAAAGACACTGTGTTGTTCATCTAGTTCTCCCTTAGTTCACCCACTTAGGGGTAAGCTAGCCATGAAAAAATTCAAGCAGTCCTAAGCAGAGGTCCAAGTGGTGAAGAACTGAGGCCTTTTGAAAAGCCAGCACAAATTGCAAACCATTTGAGTGAGTCAGCCTAGAATTGGATCCTCCAGACCAGTGAAGCCTTGAGATGACTGCAGCCCCAGCTAACATCTTGACTGCAATCTCACAAAATACTGAGCCAGAATTACCCAGGTAAGCAGCTCCGAAACGCATGCTACACAGAAACTGTGTGAGACAATAAATGTTTATTATTGTTTTAAGCCACTAAGTTTTGAGGTAATCTGCTATCCAGTAACAGTTAATTCATACATCAAGCTAGATTTGAAAAATATTTTATACCACAAAATTTACATGTTATTACATCATATGCAACATCTTTGGTTTGTCTTGATCAAAGGAGCTAAAACCTTTATTTCTTATAAAAAGTATGGAAAGGAAAATATTATAATTTCAAATAAGTGATTTATTTAACAACAATAAAATAACATTCCCATATGTCAAAGCTACCAACACTGTAATTTAACTTCCACTAAATGCTCTTGGAAAGTCACATGGACACACTCCTGGGCTGGAGGCTGGAGCAGATCAGACAGAAGACTAAGTCTTCATCTTCTTTGTCTAACAATCCTATTCTGATAATAAAATAAAGCTGATGATTAACAAAATGCTCTCTTCTAAAAATTAAATCTATATAGCTCATTCTTACCTGATTGTGGTAATAGCTGTAAATTCTCTGAGGGCAGAGAGCACTGTCATTTCAACCTTCTTTTTTTTTTGAGATGGAGTCTTGCTCTCTGTCTCCTAGGCTGGAGTGCAATGGCGCCATCTCAGCTCACTGCAACCTCCGCCTCCCAGGTTAATGCAATTCTCCTGCCTCAGCCTCCCAAGTAGCTAGGATTACAGGTGACCGCCACCACACCTGGCTAATTTTTGTATTTTTAGTAGAGACAGGGTTTCACCATGTTGACCAGGCTGGTCTCAAACTCCGGACCTCATGTGATCCGCGCGCCTTGGCCTCCCAAAATGCTGAAATTACAGGCGTGAGCCACCACGCCTGGCCTGTCACTTCAACTTTTATAGGCCACAGGCTCCAGTACAGTTCAAAACATGTTTGTAAACTGCACAGGCTTTGTATTGCAAGATCTAAATATCTAAAATCAGCACATCAGTTAATTTAAGTGTCAGCTATTGTTATTTTTATTGAATTATTTTAGAGCATTTCCAGTTTCATAAAATATCAAAATGCAAAGTCCTTTCTCATTTGTAGAACCAAAAGGTTCTACAATGTTATTTCCTATATGGTTATAAACATAATTTCTAATCCATGGGTCCCAGATCACTTCATGGCTACAATTTAAATATTATAAGCCCTTAATAAACTAGGCATTATCTGCAGGCTAATACACTACAAACACACTACTGTATTTCAAAATAGAAGATAGTTATACTAATAAAATACTATTGTATTTTATCAAATCTAAGTACCATTAATGACTTAAGAGTCACCATTACTTCATGTACCATTAAGAAAGAAAACCATTACCAATTCAACTGTGACATCCATAAGATGCATCCCAATGTTAAAGATGTTCAAATGTGGAACAGGGGAATGTGCCTCTTAGTATCCATGAAATACAGTCATTCATCTTATCACAATGTTGTTTAAGAAATGGATTCCGGGCGAGGTGCGTGGCTCACACCTGTAATCCCAGCACTTTGGGAGGCTGAGGTGGGCAGATGACCTGAGGTCAGGAGTTCGAGACCAGCCTGGCCAACATGGTGAAACCCCGCCTCTACTAAAAATACACAAATTAGCTGGGTGTGGTAGCGGGCACCCGTAATCCCAGCTACTCGTGAAGCTGAGGCAGGAGAATTGCTTGAACCCAGGAGGCAGAGGTTGCAGTGAGCTGAGATCCAGCCTGGGCGGCAAAAGCAAAACTCGGTCTCAAAAAAAAAAAAAAGAAATGGATTCCAAATGTCCAGCTACTATCATTCAGTTTCCAAGATACTTTATGACATCGAAAGGGGGTCCTGTTATGCAAAAAAGACTGCGTACTAATACCTTAAAATAAATATCTGTTGACTTAAAAAAAGTTATTTCTGTGGCTTATTTTTAATGATGATAGAAATTAACAGCTACAATTTATCAGAAAACATATTCTACAGGCCAGGCCCTTATAGCACTTTCAAATATTATATCTAATTATCACAACTTTACAAAGTAAATATTATCTCCATTTTATATACAAGAAAACTAAGACTCAGAGAGAGAAAATCACTGTTTAAAGGTCTCACAGATAATAAATGAAAAAAAGGCTCAATTGCAACAAATTTAATTTCAGCTACTTTCTCTACTGCCTTCAAATATGAATAGATCTCACATATCCTCAAAGAACCCCTTCTCATTCCTAAAGATTCTATCTTATCTTCCTCACTCTTGTTACTAGAGGTATCAATGAAAGTGAAGGTTAAGGATAGGCCTTTGGAAATGACAAAAAGAGCTCATGGTGAATTCTCAACATAAATTGCTTTTTGCTAACATTTTTCCAGGTTTTAAGAGGTAAAGGGCATTGAGACAACAAATGTGTACTTTTCATTTGAGAAATTTAGCTAGTGACAGTACTAATACAGGTGATCGAATAACTCTGTTCAATCAAAATTGTGTGGGGAGCCAGGCATAGTGCTGTGCACCTGTAGTCTCAGCTACTCAGGAAGCTGAGGCAGGAGGATCCCTACAGCTCAGGAGTTCAAGACTGCAGTAAGCTATGATCGTGCCACTGCATTCCAGCCAGGGCAACAAAGCAAAACCCATCTCTAAGAAAGAAAAAAAAAAGTTGGGGGGACGGCGGTAAATATTCCAGTAAAAAATGACAGACTGACTATATACATCTTCTTTCCTTCCCAAAACCCCACTAAAATGACAATCGAGGAATTTTTTTTTAAGTATAAAACTCTAAGAATAAAAATAATGGGAAGGTGACAGCAGCAGATAAGAGGTTTTAACAAATTTTTAGAAGACAGCAGAGAGAGAGTAAACTGACAGCACACAAAATGGAAAACCTGAAACACAAAAAGGGATACCAACAGGAAGCAAACCATTCTAGCCCCTAAACCCCAGAAGTGTTGAGGAAGTGGAAGTATCAGGTACTTGAGAAGGTAGAGTTAAGGGGACATGGCTAAATATAGGAGGACTGGCCGAAGAAGTAGTTAACAGGTCCACTCAACTCCCACCTCTACCACCTCCATCCTCGCTATACTATATCCAGGAGCCTGCAGTTAATTAAAGGATGGAGGAAGGACTCAGGGATACCACTCCAGACTCAGCAGAAGGCAGAGATGAGAAACACAGATTGAAAATATGTCTACATACTAAATAGTAGGATCTCTAGCCCACTTCCTCCATCTAACTCCATAACACCCACAACTAGGAATATGTTTACTTAAAGAGTCTAACTGCAGGAAAACTAGGATATTGGTTGTGTGTTCCAAATATCCATTATTTAAACAATGACACATGAATCACAGACTGTCCACAACACAGAGCATTTGCATATATCATTCAAGAGTGACCTCTAAAGTTAAGCACTTAATATTTAGTTACGCATCTTTAATTCTTTGTTTTTGTTTTTGTTTTTTTTTGAGACAGAGTCTCACTCTGTCACCCAGGCTGGAGTGCAGTGGCGCGATCTTGGCTCACTGCAAGCTCCGCCTCCGGGTTCACGCCATTCTCGTGCCTCAGCCTCCCGAGTAGCTGGGACTACAGGCGCCCGCCACCATGCCCAGATAATTTTTTTTTTTTTGTATTTTTAGTAGAGATGGGGTTTCAGTGTCTTAGGCAGGATGGTCTCGATCACCTGACCTCGTGATCCGCCCACCTCAGCCTCCCAAAGTGCTGGGATTACAGGCGTGAGCCACTGCGCCTGGCCTGCATCTTTAATTTTTTAATCAAAATACTAAATGGCTATTAGCTTGCACTAGAAAATGCTCTTGGGGATTAGTTTCACAAACAAGGATTTATACTCCTCCCACAAACATCTGAAAATTGTGAGAAATGCAATGTAATTTTCAGGAACCCAGTGCATAAGTCCCCCAAAAAGATGCTAACTGCAAAAAATACATACATAAACTAAATAACAAATAGCTAAAATATTATTATCAGAGATGTCAAAAATTATCAGAGATGAAAGGAACAGATGTAATCAGTATAGTAATCAGAATCATCTCATGAATTTATAGAAAACAATTTTAAAAATCAGATTTCTGGCTGGGCGCAGTGGCTTACACCTGTAATTCCAGCACTTTGGGAGGCCGAGCTGGGTGGATCACCTGGGGTCAGGAGTCTGAGACCAGCCTGGGCAACATGGTGAAACCCCATCTCTACCGAAAATACAAAACATGAGCTGAGTGTGGTGGTGTGCACCTGTAATCACAGCTACTCAGGAGGCTGAGGCAGGGGAATCGCTTGAACCCAGGAGGTGGAGGTTGCAGTGAGCTGAGACTGTGCTACTGCACTCCAGCCTGGGCAATAGAGTGAGACTTCATCTCAAAAACAAAAAATCAGATTTCTCAGGTTTGAACTCCCAGAAATTCTACTTTCTATAGATATTTAGTGGGGTCCACATATTTGCATTTCTGTATTTTTAGAAGCAGCCCAGGTAATTCTGATGCACATGGGCAGTGAACCAATCTTTGAAAAACACTATCCTACATTTCAGAAATGAGAGACTCTCACATAGCGCAGCTAAACAGGCACTGCCACTTAATGGCAGAGACAGACCTAGAACCTTAACCTCTGCTGCTACAAATTCTCAGAAAATCCTAAAATGAGAGATATACACACAAATACATATATATACACATATACATACACACAGCAATGAAAGGAAACTGAATTACAATAATTTGTCCTTTTTGCCATGACTTAGTGAAAGTTTTGGAGCTGAGCAATAGCAACTACCCACATGTTGCCATCAAAAGTAAAATTTTTTAATTTTAGTAAACTAAAATTAAATATTCAGGTCCTTGGTCTATCTAACCAAATTTCAAATGCTAAACAACCACATCTGACTAGTGGCCACATATTGGACAATGCAGATATAGAACACCTACACTGCAGAAAGATCTACTGGCTACTGCCATATTCCTTTTTTTTTTTTTTTTTTTTTTTGCAGATAAGAGTCTCACTCTGTCACCCAGGCTGGAGCGCAGTGGGGTGATCTCGGCTCACTGCAACCTCCACATCCTGGGTTCAAGCAATTCTCGTGCCTCAGCCTCTGGAGTAGCTGGGATTACAGACATGCACCACCATACCCTGGCTCATTTTTGTATTTTCAGTAGAGATGGGGTTTCACCATGTTGGGCCAGGCTGGTCTCAAACTCCCGACCTCAGGTGATCCACCCACCTTGGCCTCCCAAAATGCTGGGATTACAAGTGTGAGCCACGATGCCCAGCCTGGCTAGTGCTATATTCTAAAGCTTGCCTACTCAGACAGTTGCCAAGGCTGCTTTCCTTAGAACGCAATGAAGAAGAATGACAATGACAAAACCTACAGTAGTCAAGTGCCTGGCCTAGTTTGATAATAAAATAGTCATGCACAGCATAACGACGTTTTGGTCAACAACAGACCACATATACAACAGTGGTCTCATAAGATTATAATACAACTGAAAAATTCCTATTGCCTTAGTAAAGTCACAACTGTTGTAGCCATCATAATGTTAAAGCACAATTTTTATGAATTTAGTGTAGGCTAACTGTACAATGTTTATATAAAATCTACAGTAGTGTAAAGCAGGAGGTGAGCAGTGGGCAAGCGAGCAAGCGAAGTTTCATCCATATTTACAGCGGCTCCCCATTGCTCACATTATGGCCAGAGCTCTGCCTCCTGTCAGATCAGCAGTGCCATTAGAGTCTTATAGGAGGGTGAACCCTATTGTGAACTGCGCATGCGAGGGATCTAGGTTGCTGCTCCTTATGAGAATCTAATGCCTAATGATCTGAGGTGGAGCTGAGGCAGTGATGCTAGTGCTGTGAAGCAGCTGCAATTACAGATTAACATTAGCAGAGTGGTTTGACTGCACAGAGACCATAATAAATCAATTGCTTACAAACTCTTATCAAAACCCTACCAGTGAGTGGTAAGTGACAATTAAGCTGCATCTTGTGGTAGGCTTTATAGTAGAAAGAGGATTGATGTACATCAATTGTACAGCTGCATCTGGTGGCAGGCTTTAAGTCAGAATCCAACACTTATTTCAGTCCATGCATGGCCCACCCATTATTTTATTTACTACTTCCACCCACGCCTCTTTCCTGCACTGCGCATTTGTCTCGGTCACAGTTTCGGTAAGCCCACAAGCTAACCCTAGCCAAAATGAGTAAAAAACAAATGTGAGCAGAGAGCTTCTTTGAATAGGGGAAAAGACCCAATGATGAGACAGCAGAGGGTTCTAAGACTGCCAAAAAAAAGAAAGCTGCATTTAAAAGAAAATACCAAGGCTCCTACTTAAATAATAGGTTCATTGCAACAGGTGATTCATATTCTCCAAGCCAGCTTTGTATATGTGGCGACCAGCTATCCAAGAAAGCCATGAAACCTTCAAAACTACTTCATCACCTGGAGACCAAGCACCCTACATTAAAAGACAAGTCTTTTTCGAAAGAAAAAAAAAAACATGAACATGAAGAACAGAAGCAGTTATTGAAAGCCACCACTTCATCAATGTGTCTGCACTGAGAGCATCATTCTTAGTGGCTAACCACACTGATAAAGCTAAGAAGCCCTTTACTATTGGTGAAGAGTTGATCGTGTCTGCTGCTAAGGACGTTTGTCATGACCTTTACGGAGAGGCTGCAGTTCAAAAGGTGGCATGTGTTCCTCTTTTGGCTTGCACTGTAACTAGACAAATGGATGAAACAGCAGAGGATACAGAGGCACAATTGTTAGCATTAATGGGAACCGTGGTATGGAATCCAGGTTGACAAGTCTACCGACGTTAACAACAAGGTAACAATACTTGTTTTTGTGTTACATGTTTTCAGGAGAATATACATAAGGATATATTATGTGCACTTTTGTTGCCAACCAACACCACAGCTGCAGAACTATTCAAGTTTTTGAATCATTAAATATCAGGAAAACTGAATTGGTCATTTTATGTTGGTATATGCATGGACAGAGCAGCTGCCATGACTAGACGGCTTTCTGGTTTCACTGCTCGGGTCAAAGAGGTCACTTCCAAATGTTGAGTCTATGTACTGTGTCATCCACAGAGAAATGCTGGCTAGCTGAAAAATGTCACCTGAACAATATTTTGCAAGATGTGACTAAAATTATTAACATTAAAGTACATGCCCTTAACTCACATCTGTTTGCACAGCTCTGTGAGGAGATGGATGCAGAGCACACACATCTTCTCTTAGTGAGAGGGCTTTCTAAAGGTAGATCACTGGCCAGAGTTCTTTAGTTACAAGAGCCGCTCCAGAGATTTCAGAAAAGCAGTCACCACTAGCAGCATATTTCTGTGACACAGAATGGGTCGCAAAACTTAACTTGTGTGACACATTCAACCTGCTCAACAAACTCAATCTGTCACTTCGGGAGAGATGGACAACTGTGATCAAGTCGGCAGATAAAGTGGCTGCATTCAAAGCCAAACTGGAATTATGGGAGCGACAAGTGAACACTGAGATTTCTGACATGTTTCAAACATTAGCAGAGATTTTGAAAGAGACTGAGCCAGGGCCTTCTTTCTCCCAGCTGGTGCATGATCACCTATCTCAGCTTTCCAAAGAATTTAAGCATTACCTCCCAACTACAAAAGACCCCCAAACTGGGAAAGAATGGATCCGCAATCTATTTGTGAATAAACCAGGTGAACTGGCTTTGTCCATGCTAGAAGAGCAACTGCTTGAGATCACAAATGACGGTGGACTTAAAAGTGTGTCTGAGACAACTTCAAATTTCCACACATTCTGGATTCAAGTCAAGGCAGAATGTCCTGAGATTATCACAAAAGCACTGAAAAGCCTGCTTCCATTTCCAACTTCCTATCTTTGTGAAGCAGGTTTTCTGCAATGACAGCAACCAAAACCAGATTACGGAGTAGACTGAACATAAGCAACACACTTTGTGTGTCACTGTCTCCCCTCAGCCCCAGATGGGACCATCTAGTTGCAGGAAAACAAGCGCTGCTTCCCACTGATTCTACATTATGTTGAGTTCTATAATTATTTCATTATATACTACAATGTAAATATAATAAAAATAAAGTGCACAATAAACGTAACACGCTTGAATCATCCCAAAACCACTCCCCCTCCCCCTGGTATGTGGAAAAACTGTCTTCCACAAAACCGGTCCCTGGTGCCAAAAAGGTTGGGAACCACTGGCCTGTAACATATAGGTTAGGTGTTTTACATACATACTATCTCAACATCGTAATTACTGAGAAAGATATTTCCACTGTTTTACAGGTAGAATCTAAGGCTCAGAGAGGTCCTTACATCTAATAAATAATGAGATCCAAATTCAAATTAGTCTGTTGGAATCCAACTAAACTCTAAACTTCACATACAATAGATGAGAAGATAGATGCAAAGTTAAAAAAAAAAGTCACAGACCAGTATCAGTAGTATTAACGTTATCTTAAAAAAAAAAAAAAAGTAAATCAGAAGAGGGAGAGCCAACATTAAAAGTATAGGAAAAGGAAAGTCTCAAAACAACGGCAGCACATATAAGCATAATCCAGGAAGAAGACACCCCTACCCGAGGACCTGACCCATTTAAACACTGTGGGACACTGGCCTAACAGCATTAAATAAATGCATCATTAACTCTCTCTTTCTAATTATAGTATATAATCAGCCAGCCACCTTCTAGTAATTATGTATCTCCCTTCACAGCTTGGTGACAGGAAAAACGTATTTTAGCCTAGAATGTGAACATTAGGTACATTTCTCGTTGTAAATTAGTAATTTGCCACCCAGATGTTTACACATCACTCCCATGTGAGCTTAATATCATTCAATCAATCACTTAGTTATATACTATTGCCCAAGCCCCATCAATCCAGAGTTATGGAAAAGACCAAATTCTGATGAGAACCTGGGCCACACCGAATTCATCAGAGTAAAGACATTCTAAGAGGCTTCTTGGCAGCCAGTCAAATGGTGTTCCCAAGCAACACAGTGACCTCAAATGCACCTTCTACTTGAACTCCATCAGCATTTATTTATCCCTTCAGTGAAAGTCCTAATAGTTCTACCAAATTTCAAATCCACTCTTCTTCTTCAACCCTCTTCCTATCTCAGTGGAACCACAGAGCATCCACAGTGATAAAAAAATGGAATCTGAAGTAAGGCAGACCTAGGTTCATTATCTTAACTCCACCATTAACTAGCTGTTTGACTTTGGACAATTACTTAAATATGAGACTCTATTTTCTTATAAAATGGGCTAAACACCTATGTCAACAGGCTTGCTGTAAGGATCACATGAGATAATTCATTCAACAAATATGTGAGTTGCTAAATGTGACAAACACACTGTGCTAGATGATGGACACTGACAAGTATCTACTACTCTGTCTGACAAATAGTAGGCATTCAGTGAATGTTATGCTATTACTGTTGTATTTCATCAAATCTAGAACGCCACTAATAACAACATACACCATTATTTTATGTGCTTCTAAGAATGGAAAAATGTCTGCCAATTAAACTATGGCATAGCATTAATTATAAGACATACCCTGATTTCAGATGTTAAAATGTGAAAAAAAGCACATATTAAGATTGACTAAATAAGGTATTAATTCAAGCCTTCATTATCCTTGGCTATGCTGTTTGGTTTTCCTGTCTTTGGTCTTGCACTCTCCAAAGTATCCTCCAAGATCTAGATTACACACCTCACTTTGAACTAACCCCTCTCCCAATCTCTTCTTTAAAATCCTTAATGCTTCATACCAGGAAAATGTTTAAACTTCTTAGAATGGTATTACACACCCTTCAGTCTTTCATCCCTCCCAGCTCACCTTCCCAACTTCACTTTACCAGCTCTTCAACATATCTAACTAAACCAGATTGCATTAACTATGTTTGGATACTTCCACTCATCTTTGTCTCTGTTCTCTATTACTCTAACTCCTAGATTTCCCCAGGTGCCCTTTCCCCTCTTCACTATGTGTTAACATCATACTCAATCTCTAGTACCCATTTCAAACACCACCTCTGCAGATCCTTCCAAGATAAACGTCTTTACACTCTAGAGCAAAATCAATTGGTCATTCCTCTATAACATAATCACAGTACATACTGTGATCAGGAGACCACCCAAATTAAGAACTCCTCTAAGGCAGGAACTAAGTCTTACTTATTATATTACCTGACAGCATAATACCAAGTTAAGAATTCAGTGTCTGAAATATCTGTGTCATACCTGTGTCTGAATTCTGGTTCTAACACTCCCTAGCTACATGACCTTGGGCAATCTATTTCATCTCAGACTCAGTATCTTCTTATAATGGGGATAACAAAACCTACCTTAGAAGGTAAGGATTAAATGTAAAATGCCTGGCACACTAGAGCACTCAACAAACATGAGCTGTTGTTATTATCCTCATTATTGTTTTATTATTTTTTTAAAAAAAAAGAAAGGGGACAGTCATGTATACTTAGTAAACTGGTTTCATTCATATTCTTATCTTCTCTACCCATATATGCTCTGACTTTGGCTTGGCAATTTGGGTTACAGGTAAAGGATACACTCTTCATGTACAGGCAACACATGTAACCTGTGCTAACATTAAAATGTTACAGAGGAACGAGGCCAATTCATTTCTAAACCTTCCTGAGTCTTGCTTTCATTGTTACCTGACCCCTCAAGCCTCAGCATAATTCCTCGGTCCTATCTCCTCACTCAAGATAGGTTTCCACTTGTGACCATAACTAAATAGGGCAATGCCGAACTTTCTTGTTGTTGGGTAAATAATAACATCATTAATTTACCCAGTCTTTTAATTGGCATTTGCAAGAACTATTTCAGGTTGTTAATGGAATCTAATGGATTAGATACAGATAAATGTATTAATGCAGAGTATCTGAGTAATCATTAACAAGAACATTTAAATCCCTACTGACTCTTACAAAGAAACTTCATTCTTAAAATTTCAAAGCAATGTTTATACAGCAATGATAAGCCTTAACAAGATACAGCAGTAAGCAGAAGGCCAATATTCTTATATCAGGCTCTGCTATTAGCTAGTCATGAGACTCTGACCAGGTATCTTGGCATCTCTGCTCTCAATTTATTCATTTGTAAAACAGAGGGGTTGAGAAGGTCTCTTTCAACTCTAAAAAAGATTAAAAATTAAATTTTCACTAGAAAATTGAAAAGAACTAAAATCAGATACCCACTAAAAACTCAAGCAACTCACTTAAGCCATTCAGACATACTTAATAACACATGCAAATTTCACCTCAATTCTAAAAACAAATATACAGACACAGTCTATAACTGAGATGAACACAAGTTACAAGAGAACTAACTTACCTCACAGCCACATAATTGTTCTCACCTGGTTTTCTTACTCTGTACAAAAAGGTTAAGAGTGATTTATTAAGAAAAATATTAGCAAAAAATCAACAAAGCCATTTTCCATGAAAACCTAAACTGGACAAACCTGGAGGAACAAGCTTTGAGTCTCACTTTCCCAGTCAAAAATAATATTAGCCAAACATTATTTAGTATTGTTGAGCTCTGCAGAAGAAATAATTTTAATAGGAAATTTATTGCTGTTACTATGTGCCAGGTATTGTTCTAAACACTTTTCATATTTTTAACTCATTTAATCCTCACAACAATCCTGTAAGTACTATTATTATCCCTGTTTTACAGATGAGGAAACTGAAGCACAAAAAGGTTAACTGACTTGCCTGAAGTCACTCAACTAGTATGTTGGTGGAGCTGGAATATAAACTTAGGTAGACTGGCTTCAG
Source organism: Homo sapiens (assembly GCF_000001405.40). NCBI lineage: Eukaryota > Metazoa > Chordata > Mammalia > Primates > Hominidae > Homo > Homo sapiens. Next base: position 180,641,071 of record NC_000001.11, on the reverse strand, counting down.
AGTTTTTTTCTATGTGTTATTAATATACTAGCATATTATATAAACTAATGAGCAATAAAATGAATCAGGGTGATTGTGTTAACTCAGCTACAAACAAAACCATATAACCTGAATCACTTAACCTCTTTTCCCATTTGGGTAAAAAAGGAAGTTGAGCTAAATAAGCTTAAAAGTTCCTTACAAGTCTAACATTCCATGATTTATGATCCAGAAGCCAAACACCAAAACTGTAGCACAGCAAACAGCTGTCCACTTTTGTCCTCCTCTTTTTACCCTTATCACCTTATCTCCTTACCTTTTTCTTCTGATTTATCTTCGTAAGTTCCTTTATTTACCAGCTGGCTGTCCAGTAATAGTTACACTGATAACCTTGAGGGAAATATAATTTAACAGAGGTGAACACTATCCTACAGACCACACTCTACTATCTCCAAACTATGCAGACTAAGACCTGGGACTAAAAATAGACCCGCCATTACTTCACTGGGCTGTAGAAAGGTCAGCGGTGCCTAAGAACAGGTCAGACCAGGCCTAAATGTATGCATGTTTAAGTGGATGGATTTATTCATTTTTCATAAAACAGTACGCCATAGAAATTAAGAGCATGGGCTCTTACAATCTCCACAATTAGCTATCCACAATTACTATCAACATAATCAGTTACCTAATGGCTCCGAGATTCAGTCTCCACCATCTAGAAACGGAGCTAACAACCTACGCTATAAGAGGTGTTTTTAAAGAACTTACCACAGTGCCTGATACAGTAAGCGCTCAAAAAATAACAGCTGCTGTTATTGCCACTACTACCACCACTGCTGTTATTTACAATTTCCATATAAAAGCAACAGCTCCACAGTCTGATTTGATTTAATTTCAAATTCTGGTTCCATTTACTTACTAAGTATAGAGCCTTAAGCAAATTACTGATCTCTCTAAGCCTGGGTTTCCTCATCAGTAAAATGGAGATAATAAATCATCTATCTTACAAAACTACTGTGAACATTGAGATAACATATGTAAAACAGCTGACACCTGGTTCCTAACTGCTCAATAAATGTTAATTCCTTTCTCCTTAATGACAAGCTTACCACACTTCTGCTAATTCAATTTAAAGAAAGGAGAGTAGAATTAGGGATCACATGAGATCCAGGGAAGCCAACTTTCTTTTCTCTATTGTCCTTGCTGTAGGGCAGATACCAGACACTCCTCACCCAGGGAACTCCTTTATCCTCTTCCATGTTTGATAAGACTAGAGAACCTTTTTTCAGGCTATCTTCAAACTTCTAATACAGTATATGTATCGATGTACACTGGAATCCTCAATAACTGTTAAGAGTTTCAAGTGGTCCTGAAACCAAAAAGTTTGAGAGCCACTACTCTAAGGTATAAAAAAAGCCCACAAAGCACATGGATTACCCTATGAATTACGACTTTAACAAATTTAGCCTAGATAAGTAACTCACATAAAAATAACCTAAAAACTTCTCACTTTTCTCTATGATTAAATTTCAGTCCTTGAAAAAAATCACTTGTTCACTAGTTATTTACGAATAGTCAATGATAGAACTGGATTTTAGGATTTATATCTGGTTTCTGGTCCAAGGTCTTTCTAATACAGCAGGTCATCCTCAATTAATAAAAGATGACTATGTTTTCTTAATCAATATATTAAGCCTCTTGTTATAGAGATTATGAAAATTTTAAGTTATGTTTACAGTAGATTAATTATATTTTCCTTTGACTCCCTAGCAAATAAACAATTTTTAAAGGGTGTTTTTTTTTTTCAGACAGTGTCTCACTCTGTCACCCAGGCTGGAGTGCAGTGGTGCTATCTCAGCTCACTGCAACCTCCGCCTCCTGGGTTCAAGCAAGTCTTGTGCCTCAGCCTCCCAAGTAGCAGGCACACGCCACCACACCCAGCTAATTTTTGTATTTTTAGTAGAAATGGGGTTTCACCATGTTGGCCAGGCTGGTCTCGAACTCCTGATCTCAGGCGATCTGCCTGCCTTGGCCTCCCAAAGTACTGGGATTACAGGTGTGAGCCACCATGCCCAGCCTAATTTTTAAAACATTTTCTGATCAGTCCCTATACATACCACACTTGCTTGGTGATGGGAAGAAATAGGTGACTAAATATCAGTCTGAGTAAACAACTAAGACTTTAAAGGAATATAACTTAAGTTACAAAAGTAATCCAAATTTATACAGAAGTATAAAGTAGTACAAGATTTATTTGTATTACAAAAGTAATACAAATTTATACAAAAGTAATACAAATTTATATCCATGTTCCAAGTCCTCAATCTTCAGTCTTCCCTTTCTACACCACTTTTTAATTTTAAAAATACTATGTTGACTGAAATACAAAACCAAATACACACATACACACAAATTTGGGGTGTGTGTGTTTTGGTTTTTTTCTGTTATTTTTAAGGTACTGAAAGCTAGCATTTAATGACAAATCAGCCTATAGCAAAGGAAGACTTCTATAAATTTGTGGAATGAACGAATGATTTGTAAGGTATTTGTTCATGAGCTTTCTCTGCTGGCTTCTTTTAGCATTTACTAGATAAGGAAAGACCTGAAAAGGCAAATACACTGGGCAAGAACCCTGGTGAAGTCTGACACTCTCTCATTCCCAAAGGCCACCTCAATACCAGGCAACCCACAAACCAGCTGTGGTTAATCTGTACAAGTTGGGCAAAGTCTTCCAAACTTTTATTATGTCAAATCCCTATTTAAAAAAAGTTTTATTATGTATCTCCAATATATGCATATTTATTTATTAATTATACCCATCTGTATCTGTGTACAATGTAAAACAAAATTGTTTAAAATAGAAGTTTTAAAAAGATGACACAAGGATGAAATAATTTCTACCTTTCATTTATGAACAGTACAAAAATATTTTTGATCTAAGAAATTATCAATAACAATGCTTTGAGAGAACATAACTGAAAAGTTTCATTTTTTTAATCTTCATTAAAAAAACAAAAAAGTTTTTTAAATAAATAAAACCTTCATTTAACATTTTATGATACAGTGTTTCAAAGGTCCAGTTCAAAGTTCAGGATTCATTTGATTTTGAAACTTAATTAATGGCTATAAACTGAAAAAACAGACCTTACAAAGGCAGAATACTCATAATATATACACTTACAGTCAAGTTCATTGTGACTGACAGTAGATGTAAAACCTTACTTCAAAGAGTTAGCTTAGGCCAGGAGTGGTGGCTCATGCCTGTAATCCCAGCACTTTGGGAGGCTGAGGCAGGCGGATCACGTGAGAACAGTAGTTCGAGACCAGCCTGGCCAACATGGTGAAGCCCTGTCTCTACTAAAAATACAAAAATTAGCTGGATGTAGTTGCGCGCGCCTGTAATGCCAGCTACTTGGGAAGCTGAGGCACAAGAATGGCTTGAACCTGGGAGACGGAGGTTGTAGTGAGCTGAGATCAGGCCACTGCACTCCAGCCTGGGTGACAGAGCAAGACTCCGTCTCAGGAAAAAGAAAAAAGAATTAGCTTAATAATTTTTAAATTTTTGGCGAACTTCTTGTCAAGTCTACTAAAGTGTTATTGTTTTTATCTGTAATTTGGCTGCCAAAAAGCTAGTACTAGAAGGAGAAACCTCAGCTCTGTTGTCATTTTCTTGTTGTTCACTTGTGCTTGCATTATTGGTATTACTGTTATGGAATCTTTACAGGAGTCTTTTTAAGACATGTCTATTTCCTAGCGGTTGATTTGGCTAAAACTAGATAATAATTTATAGATTCATTTAATTATGCACCCATAACTGGATTAATGATTATCTGCCAAAGCGAACAAACAAGTGAAAAAGCCACTGGCAATCCTTCTGTTTTCTTCAGTATACCTGTGCATGACCTCCTTAGCAGGGGTACTGCATCAATCCATTTATTAAATACTAGTAAAATTGTATTTCTTCCTTTTCTTATGCATAAAAATAAGTAAAATTAACAGTTCTGTCTTCCCTTACTTTTCCTTTTTTTTTTTTTTTTTTTTTGAGATGAAGTCTTACTCTGTTGCCAGGCTGGAGTGCAGTGGCACAATCTCAGCTCACTGCAACCTCCGCCTCCCCGGTTCAATCGATTCTCCTGCCTCAGTCTCCCGCGTAGGTGGGACTACAGGCATGCACCACCACACTCAGCTAATTTTTGTATTTTTAGTAGAGATGGGGTTTCACCATGTTGGCCAGAATGGTCTCAATCTCTTGACCTCAAGTGATCCGCCTGCCTCGGCCTCCCAAAGTGCTGGGATTACAGGCGTGAGCCACCGTGTCCAGCCCCCTTACTTTTCTAATACTGTCTTCTCTTTACTCCATGGGAGTTTTGGGCACACTCCTTTGGGGCCTACAACTCAAATATACCTGAAATCCTTACCCAGCACAACTCAATCATTCTCTTAAATGCTTCCCAGATTAGGACTGAATTTGAAGCTAGGACTAAGTTTCCATGGTCACCCCAGGTCAAATAAGATTCTTAGGTTCTTATGATCTGGGCCTTCACCCAAAAGCTGATCCAAAACCAACCTTCAGGATAAACGGACAAGTATAATCTTTCCAGCATACTCACGCTGACACACTTAAAGATGATAAAGAATAGTTATAGCTTCCTGTCTTTACAACATTCATTCACTCACTTAAGAAACATTTGTAAATGCCAACCATCTCATTGACGCAATCATTTACAAGTGTTATCTTAAACACACTATACTATACTTTGATTTACAAAAGTGTCTGAAAGAAAAAGTGTGGTTTGTGCCCCATCGGGTGGCCAAACTGGATATTTCAAACAAGTTGCAGCAACTCAAGTTAAACCTACCTAATCAACATAATACCTTTGGGAAACTGAAGCCTGTAACACAAGTGTTCCCATGGGAGAGTTCTATAAATGAAAATCGTTAATAATGTTATGGTAATGTCTCCTTATACCTGAATATAATGGAAGTGTAGTTCATGCAGAACCTCTCCTTTCCAAAATCCTGCAATAAAAAATTAATTCATCGTCATCCCTTTTTAAGTTAAATAAGAGAGTTTCACTGGGTTAACATCTTATTCACAGATCAAAATATCAAAAATTTTTGAAAGGATATTATTAATTTTAAAGGATGCTATTAATACTCCTGTTAAGTTCTGTCCTCTTCATATACCAAACATAATAAAACCATTTAAAAACACAGAATTTTAGAGCTGGATGAGTCCTTAAATAATACGGGGGTTGTGAGCTTAGAAATCAAGTCCAATTCTCTAACATTAAAGAAACTCAGATGTTTCTTAGCTAAAAGAAGAAATGGTTTCATCAGGATCACACAGTGTGACCGGACTCTCAATGCTTACACATGCTCAAGAGACATATACACATATTCCTAAACAAGTGGCTTAACCCCTCTGGACCTTAGTTTCCTTGCCTGGAAAAACAAGGTAGATAATCTTTAAATTCCCTTTTAGCTCTAAAATCCTGTAATTTAGAAACCTTGTTATTTTATTACAAAACAAAGGATACACTGAAAAAAATCATTCCTGGGTCCTGAGAAACCAAAGAAACACAAGGCCCTAGGGAAAGTCAGCAGCCTAAGGCACCAAATATATTTGCTTCTTCTGCTAATATTCTGCAAAATATTAACATGGTCATATTAGTCTATTTGGTTGAAACCAGTCTCAGTTAATTTTGATTAATCAATTGCAGAGCTTTAAAATATATAGTCACTAATTCTAAATTTTAAAAAAGCTCTTACAAAGATTTACCGGTGTTCTATTTTACATGTCAAAATTTATACTCAAACAGATTACTGGAAACAGGAATAGTCTCGGCTTGTTTGTGTTTATTCTTTGCACAAACTACTTACAAATGGATTGAAGAGATTTTCTTTATATGGCTTCTCCATGTTGGTCTGTTATTTTATGCTTTATTATTCTGCCTATGAAGACTGAATCTATGAACACCACAACTTATTTTTAAATTAAAAAACATAATAATTTTCAGGATATTGATGGGTTATTATCATTAATAATTTTATCAGTTCAAGGAATAAAAGCCATTAAAAGTTAAATCAAAAACATGACCTATAATGGACCTTGAAAAGCTCTGGCCCTATATACTTACTTTATGGAAGAAGAGCGAGCCCGGGAAAGGCAAAAAAGATTGTCCCCAGGTCTCATGGCTAACACATACAAAAACTAGTATTTACTGTGCTACAATATATACATATTATATATAATTAAATATAATTACAGATGTAAAACAAAATTTTCAGATTCTAATTCTCTGCTTATTTCAAGTAATATTTAATATAGCAAAATGACACAAAAACCAAAGAAGCTGAACAGTTCACATTGATTCACGATACTAGAAAGCACCCTAGGCTAGAAACCAAGGGTAAAATACAAAAATTTCACCACCAGTGCTTGAAAAACAAATCCCAGCATCTGTTCTACTGATAGCATTTTAAGAGCATCATCTTCATATGAGAAACTACAATTTAATTCATTATGAAAAGGTCCTTTTCTCTAGAGAATTTTTATGGATGTCCTTTTTCCCCAAAGTTTTAAACTGCTAAAATTCCTGGACTCTAAAGACTCTTATTTACATCTCTCTATTACTTTTAAAGGAATAGCACCAACTCTTCAGAAACAACACACAAAACAAGATTCCAACCCTATAAAATATTGGTTGATTCCAACTTACAAAGAAAAGTGCGCCTCATTTAATTTTGTCTACCAAACAATGAGTTTATCTAGGACAGGAGCCATATAGTAGGAACTCTCCGCAGAATCAAATTTCAATTATCCACAATAAACGAATTTTTCAAAACATAATTTATAACTGCCCTGAGAAAGATAATGCAGACACAACATAATCTCAGGAATTTTGCCCCTCTGTGACCAACCTACAGTAAACATTTAGGAACAGTATCCAAGTGGACTATGTGAATGAGGAGTCCCAGAATCAATGTGGTTCTCCAGCCACAAAACTGACATTACAAATTAAGAGGGTTGCATTTTCAAACTAAATCGTATGCTTCTCCTTCCAGCCCCAGATATTGCAAATTAATACAATTCCATGAAATAGTTAAGTGTCGAAATACCTAAAATGAATCATGGCATACATCCAGCCACTATTACTTCTGCCCAAAGCATTCCATGCTACATAACAAATATAAGATGTGCTTCAGCATGCTCCTATCCTGTGCCTCTGTGAAGAACTGGCAGTGGTGCTGAAAATTACTACTAGAAAGATGAAAGACCAATACCCTTCTTTCAATAAAAACCATCACTTGGATTCTAGCCAAGGTTTTAAAACTAAATGTTATTAGAAACAATAAATCAACTCTGCAGGCTGAAATGTTAGTCCCTTATTTCACTCATTCTTACAAAACATGGCCACAAAATACTGTAAGAAATTGAGTGACAATAAAGCATTAATAATTATAGGCCTTTCATTTCTAGCAATAATGAAATACTCTAGGTTGCAAGTGAATTTATTTCACAATATTCAAGATTCCGTTTAACCTACCTGCATCTCTTTCCCTGTCTTCTTCAATTATTACAATGGCTATATGAATAAATACACTCACTGCTATTGCCCAAACCTCCTATCACTAAACTTATATAAAAATTAAATGGAGAACTAAAATAGTTTAATTCATAAAATCTAGCTAAGTTATGTGTGTTCATATTGATTTTATATTCTTTGTTCCTGCACACAAAACAGATGTGAATTCCTGGAGGTTACAGATAAGTCTGTCTTTCTCTATCCAGGAGCTGAATTGCCAGCTACTGAGAATAACCTATTGCAATGCTTAAAGCCTCTTAGGTATCTTGTCTTCTGAACATATAAATGGGTTCATTATCTTTATTTTTCCCTTTATTAATGTAAGGTTCCTTATTATCTATTAAATACCTTCCAGCAGTGTTAGCACAGAAATTGGGAGGGAATGGGGAGCATGATTTCTGTAATACACAGGTAAGGTATATTGTTTACAATATACTAATTTTCTCCCCAGCTAGCAAAAACTTAGCAGAAAATAAAAAAATGTTAATAATTCTCTTCTCTCCTTTCTCTTCCCTCCATTCCAAAACAAGAGGCAAAAACAAAGATGTTATTACTCTGTAGACTTCATGCAATCAGTAAAAAGAGTCTTATTATCAAAGCAGAATAGTTGATTACAACGTGTTTACAAAAACTATAACCACTACATATGTGATACACACTTAAGTCAAGTTTCAACCCCGTTACAAAGCCTTTGTCAACAGTGGGCAAGTGGGAAAAAGCCGAAGGGCTCTTTGGAATGAAGGAAATCACTGGAGGGGCTTCTCTTGGAAGACAAGGATTCCTTGGTGAGAGGTGTAGAGAGAGAAACAAGACCTAACCTTGGCGAGGGGGCGCTCGCCCAGGGTGGGGACGAGAGGTCAGGGCGAGTGGGGAGAAGGGGATTAGCGCGGAACAGCCGCGACCCGGGGCTGCCCTCGCACCGTGACTCCCCCACCTGCAGCTCACCCTCCCACCGTTCCCCGGCCCCGGCCCCGGCCCGGGCAGCGCCTTTCCTCCCGGCCCTCCGCCTGCATATCCGTTACCCCGGCGGCAGCGGGGCTGCGGGGGAGGGGAAGGACAGCGGAGCCGGGAGGCGGCCGGCCGCGGCGGGGATGCCGCAGTGGCTCCCCGCGGCAGCGGGTCAAAGTCTGCCCGGGCACAGGGAGCCAGCTGAAGCGGAAGGCGGCGGTGGACGTCAGGACTGGCGAGATGGTGGCCCCTCCGAGTCCTCCCACACCCCAGCCGTGCCGGTACCTCATACTGGATGTATTGCTTCCTCCACTCGGGAGTGATGTGCGCGGAGAGGTGCTCGGCGAACTTCATCCTGCCGTTTCCCCCTCACTCCCACTCGGGTCCAGCAGCTACAGGCGGCGGCGGCAACAGCGACTCCGACTCCTCCCCACATGGGCCCCGGCGCGGCGCGGCGCTGCGCTTCTCTCCTCCTCCGCCGCCGCCGAGGTCTCTTCAGAGCAGCCCGCCCGCCATCTTCCTCCTCCTCTCCATAGCCCCGCCCCTCCCCGCCCTCTGGACGTCATCGCCATGGTAACCGCCTACACCGCCCTGACGAAGGGGGTGCTGTAAGGGGTGGGGCTTGGGTACGCTTCTTAAGACTCCGCCCCTTGTGGGCCGTACGTGCTGGAGGCACCTCCCTGGATCTCTTCAGTCTGGCTCCTGTTGGCCTACAGCTGCTTTCTACCGCCTGTCTGGGAAGCAGCAGTGTTGTTACTGCAGTTAATATTAATACTGTAGCAACAATAATCCACACAAGACGTTTATATTTACAAAGAACTGTGCAAATATTTTTCCATTTTGATATTTATGCTTCATAAAACCTTTAAGAAATGGATCAGCACTAATCCAAACTAAGAAGCTAAAACAGTTCAGGACTAAATGTATTTAAAGGAACAGTATTTTACACACTCTAGGTGCTCAATAAGTGCTTATTGAATTTAATTAAAGACATCAATGCCAAAAAGTGCATGCTGCTTCTGAATTTCAATGTAATTGTCTAGTCCAGGGGCTATCAGAAAAGCCAATAAAAACACCAAATGAGGGTACCGACCGCACTTGTAAACTGAGCTTCCTGGGGTTGGGGGTGAGGGTTGGGAGGGAAACCAACGTTGAGAGGAAAGAGAACCCCGTAGAAGTACAGCTCTAAGCCCACCCCAGTAAAACCGGAAACAGGCCCAGCACCCAGGCTGAAGTGTCCCTGGGGAACATGGGCAGAGATCACTCACAGAGCTCTGTACTACATTGAGTGTGGGAGTGATTGTCTTGGAAGTCCCAATTCAGGACAGAAACCCAGGTCCTACCCTGGGTGGAGGAGACCTAATAATAATTTATTGAGCACTCACTGTTCCTGTACCAAGTGCTATTCTAAACCTCTTACATGTACTTTGTCCCTTGATTCTAACATTTTTTTTTTTGGTCTCGCTTTGTTGCCCAGGCTGGAGTGCAGTCACACCATCATGGTTCACTGCAGCCTTACCTCACATAGGTTTGTGAGCCATCCTCCCACCTCAGCCCCCTGAGTAGCTGGGACTACAGGCACATGCCATTATGCCAAACTAATTTTTTTGTTTATTTTTGGGAGAGATGTGGGTCTTGCTATGTTGCCCAGGCTGGTCTTGAGCTCCTGAGCTAAAACAGTCCTCCCACCTAGGCCTCCTAAAGTGCTGGAATTACAGGCATGAGCCACCTTGCTCAGCCTAACCCTCACAATTTTGATGAGATTTCAAGATTTACTAGGGAACTGCTATGCCTGGAGCAGTGCTCTGAGATATCATTCTCTGCTGTTGTCTTTTTTTCTCCATGTACTTTTTTCCCCTTTCTCTTCCCCTTAATTCATGCCAATAGGGATTCTGCAATCATTTCCCCAGGAGAGGGATGACACAAGATGGAAAATAGGCATAGACTATGAGTCTTTCTGGCTTTTTCTGTATAAAAGCCTTAACCTCTGGTGAAAGGGTAATCAAGGTCAAAAAAATAAAGAAAGAAGAGTGAGGACTCCTCTCACCTCAGACCTCCGTCTGCTCACCATAAAGATTCCCCTCTGCTGGAGGTAAACCTTGCCAGGAGAAAGAGACAGGCAAAAAGGAATATGTGTGCTACCAGGAAGGAGGCGAGACCACAGAAAGGAAATGGCTGTATGTTGTGCCTGGGAAAAGGGAACCAGGGACAGCTACAAAAGAGATTCCTGCCTTTAGCCAGTCATGGACTAGAATGGGAAATTCTTAGTAGCAACCCTGGTGGACCATGGCACACTGCTCCCAGCAGCACCGTACCTCTATGCCTTAATTGTGCACAAAATTCTGGAACCATGGCCCAACCCAAGAAAGTAAGGAAACCCTCAAAACTAGCTCTAAAATTCTTGATTTTTCTCATGCCTGATCCAGAGCCCTGCCACCCAGGACATGACAACTTAATTTATCCACAGAAGTAGATTTAATAATAAATTTCCTGCCAGGCACAGTAACTCACGCCTGTAATCCCAGCACTTTGGGAGGCCGAGGCGGGAGGATCACCTGAGGTCAGGAGTTCAAGACTAGCCTGCCCAACATGGGGAAACCCCATCTCTACTAAACATACAAAAATTAGCCGGGCATGGCGGTGCACACCTGTAGTCCCAGCTACTCAGGAGGCTAAGGTGAGAGAATCACTTGAACCCGGGAGGTGGAGGTTGCAGTGAGCCAAGATTGCACCACTGCACTCCAGCCTGGGTAACAGAGCAAGACCCCGTCTCAAAATAAGTAAATAAATACATTTCCTCATTCCCAGCGTTATTTTTGGGTATTTTACTGATAGAACCATCAAATACTTAGTAATTATGGAACACCGACTCTCTTATTTACTCTGAATCAGAAGAGCCCCCTGACTTATACTTTCTTTTGTGAATAGGCAAGCAACCCTTCATTTAACAAAACTTTATTGAGACCTATGATATTCCGGTTATGTCACTTTAGGAATGAAGGACCGTTCAAAAATAAATTAAGACTCTGTTTTTTCCTTGGAGGAAATCACAATTTAGTCAAAAAGATGGGGCCAGGCATGACGGTTCACACCTGTAATCCCAGCACTTTGAGAGGCCGAGGTGGGTGGATCATTTGAGGTCAGGAGTTCAAGACCAGCCTGGCCAACATGGTGAAAACCCATCTCTACTAAACATACAAAAAAAAAAAAAATTATCCAGGCCTGGTGGCACATGCCTGTAATCCCAGCTACTCAGGAGGCTGAGGCATGAGAATCACTTGAACTCAGGAGGCAGAGGTTGCAGTGAGCCGAGATTGCACCACTGCACTCCAGCCTGGGAGACAGAGCAAGACTCTCTCTCTCAAACAAAAAAAAAAAAGATGGGCAGGTAGACCAATAGCTCTTAGGCTACAGTGCGATACATGCTATAATTGACATATGTGTAAAGAAACAAACATCCAAGGATCAGAGAAGCTGATTTTGAAATCCAGTCTTAGTCAATCATCTGACAGGGAAAAAGACACCCCAAAGATTCCCTAAGGCAAAAGGCAAAGTCAGAATTGTTAAAGAATGACAAGAAATTTTCTGACCAGAGTATCCTTTAAGGCAGCCAAATGTCCCCTCTCAAAGAAACGGTCTGATACAGTTTGGCTGTGTCCCCACCCAAATCTTATCTTGACTCTTAGTTCCCATAATCCCCATATGTCTTGGGAGGGACCTGGTGGCAAGTAATTGAATCATGAAGGCAGGTTTTCCCATGCTGTTCTTGTGATAGTGGATAAGTCTCATGAGATCTGATGGTTTTATAAAGGACAGCTCCCCTGCACATACTCTCTTGCCTGCTGCCACATAAGACATGCCTTTGCTCCTTCTTCACATTCCACCATGATTGTGAAGCCTCCCTAGCCATGTGGAACTGTGAGTCCATTAAACCTCTTTTCCTTTATAAGTTATCTAATCTTGGGTATGTCTTTATTAGCAGCATGAAAACGGACTAATACACTCTCCCTGCTCCTGTCCCTTGTCTTCCCAGTCTGGCTCCCACATTGCCTGAGTGCACTCCCCTTACTGTATTGTCAATAATAGTTTGTATCAGACTATGAGGTCCTTGAAGATAAACTGCTCGTCTCTTGTTTTCTCCAATTTAGCACAGTGCCTGGCACTCAGGCATTCAATAAAGGTTGAAGGAACAAAGGAAAAGAGGCCAACAGAGGGAGAAGGAAGAAGGAAACAGGAAGCCCCATGGAGTAAAGTTGTAGGAAATAAAGTTAAGTTGCAACAAGATTGTGAAGGAATAGTTCCTGACGGCATAGGCAGTGTGAGGTCTTTGAAGAAGGTTAAGCAGTGAGTGACTAACTTAGGTTTGGAAAAGCAGGCTAGCGTAGCTTCCTGGTTTTGAGCACTAGCTCTGGGAGTAAACAGGCCTGAATTAAAATCCCAACTCTGGCATTTACAAACTATGTGACCTTCGGCAAAGTGCACTAGCTCTTAAAGCCCCAGTTTCCTCCTCTCTTAAATGGGTATTATCACACCTCCCTCACAAGTTGTTTGGAGAATTAAATGAGATTCTCCATATAAAACACTTAACATAATGACTGGCCCCTGATTTAACATAAAAATTGGTAACCCCTCAAAAACATCTGTCAGCAGTGTGAAGGATGGACTAGGGCAGGGACAAACTCAAGACCAACTTATTAACAAGCAGCTATGTAACACTTATGATGTGCCAGGCACTGTTCTAAGCACTTTACAAATATAAATGTATTTAATCTTCACAAGAACTCTAAGAAGTAGCTACTATTGTTATCTTCATTTTATAGATGAGTAAAGTTAGACATAGAGGTTAAGCATCTTACTCAAGAGCACCCCCCTAGTGAGTAATAGACCTGGGTCTGAGCCCTGGCAACCCAGATGCAGAGTCCTTGCTCTTGAGTGCTATGAGTATTATACTGACTGTGGATGCAACAGCTCCAGCCAATCAGGATCATGGACAGAAGAAGATGTGACGTGTGACTCTAACTGTAGTGATTGGGTAGATGCTGCTGTCATGAACTGAGATGAGAAATGAAAGTAGAGAGCAGGTCTGGGGTTCCATGAGATGTGGGAAATATGAAGGAATCAATGGAACATGCAGTACTCCAGTTGGAAATACTGATCTAGAGCTCTAGAAAGAGAAGTTAAGACTGAAAACTGAGGAACCATTTGCATTTAAGTGATAATTAAGTCTGGCAAATCTGCCGAGAGAGAGAATAGAGTGAAAAGGAAAAGAGCCCAAGGGAACATCCTCCCGTGAGCCTGATAAAGAAGATGGGTCAAGGAGGGAGGCTGAGATGTAGTCAGGGTGGGCAGCAAGACTATCAGGAGAGAGTAGTGTCAAGGAAGCCATAAAAAGATGAAAATTTCATAAAGGAGGCAGTGATCAACAATGTCAAATGTCATAGAGAAGTTCAGTAGGGTGACTTCTAAGCCATTGGGTTTAGCAAGTAGAGAGTCATTAGTAACCTCAGAAAAATGGCTTCAATAGCACAAAGGGCTACAAACGGCTGAACAGTGAACAGCATTTTGTTTTTGTATATCATAAACTGTGTTTATTCCATGTACATGTTTTAAGATGACCAGGAATGAGAACTTAATAGTATACTCAGCAATTTATCTAGAAATTCATAAGTGCTGAGTTGGAACACTTTATATTTATCACACATAATGGTAAGTTCTGGAAGAGTTATACTTACCACAAAGTAACTGTTCTAAAACTTAGAATTATATGTGATAAATATAAAGTCAAATTGTTGCTTGAAAAAACAAGATTGGGGATCATGCTGAAAGGTGAAGAACTGATCTGCAGAGAGATAAAATCTTAGGCAATATCTCCCATTGAATCTGAATAAGCTAAGGTGTCTCAAGAGTAAATATCACATTTTCAGTTCAGCTCAGACTCAGAATTACACGGGACCCAGCTCGGTTTTAAAATACAATAGACTTATCAACCCAATATCTGTTTGAGTCCCTGCGTTCAGTTCTTTTGGGCATACATCCAGCAGTGGAATTGTCAGATCATATGGGAATTCTATGTTTAACCTTTTGAGGAAATGAAGGTTTTTGAGTGACATCTTTAATCAGATAAATCATACACTTTTTTTTTGCTAAGTGGAAAATATTCTTCAGGGGAGAGAAGGAAGAAGCAAGGTATATTAGGTTTCCTAGGGCTACCATAACAAATTACCCCAAACTGGGTGCTTAAAACAGCAGAAATGTATTCTCTCGCAGTTCTGGAGGCCAGAAGTCTAAAAATCAAGGTTTCGGCAGGCTTGTGCTTTCTCACAGACTGTAGCAAAGAATGCGTTCCACAACTTTCTCTTAGCTTCTATTGTCACTGGCAATCTGTGGCATTCTTTGGCTTATAGATACGTAACTCCAGTCTCTGCCTCCATCATCACATGCTGTTCTCCCACCATGTGTCTCAGCATCTTCATGTGGTGTTCTCACTCCTCGTGTCTGTTTTCTCTTCTTATAAAGACATCAGTCTTATTGGAGTAGAACTCACCTTAATCCAGTATGACTTCATCTTAACTTGATTACATTGGCAAAGACCTTTTTTCCAAATAAGATTACATTCAGAGGTACCAAGGATGAAGATTTCTATTTATCTTTTTGGGGAAACACGGTCCACCCACAACACGGGGAGTGTAATGGCACTACTGAAATAATCCAAGGAAGAGATGATGGTGGTTTTGATCAGAGGGTAAGCAACAGAGGTGAAAAGAAACAGTTGGAAATTCAATGTATTTTGAAGGTAGATTGAACTGGATTTGTTGGCAGATTAGATGTGGGATGTGACAAAAAGAGAGGCATCAAGGATGACTCCAAGATCTTTTGTCTGAGTGACCAGAACAATAAGGTTGGGAATATTGCAGAAGAAGCAGGTTTGGAGTGGAGGGAGGAACTCGAGAATTCAGTTTCAGGTATGTTATGTTGAGGATGCAGGTCAAACATGCAGGTGGAAATGTCCAATAGGCAACTTGGCGTCTGGAGGTCAGCAGAGAAGCCCTGGATAGAAATATAAATATATGAGTCAACAGAATAAGGTTAGTATTTAAAGCCACGAAACTCCATGAGATCACCCAGAGAGTGAGTGTAGACAGAAAAGAGAATGACTGGGCATGATGGCTCACACCTGTAATCCCAGCACTTTGGGAGGCCAAGGTGAAAGGATTGTTTGATGCCAGGAGTTCACGAAAAGAGAAGAGGTTGTAAGACAGATCCCTGGGCAATGCTTAAAGGTTGGGAAGATGAGGAGAAATTCACAAAGGAGACTGGAGGAGATGAAATCCATGCAGTGAAATTCATCATTATTTCAAGAAACATTTCCATAAAAGGGAGCAGAGTAATAAAGTGATATATAGATTAGAATCAAATAAAAGAGGGTGCTTTTCAAATCGGAGAAATAACATCGGGTATATATTCTGATGGGAATGATTCAGTGAAGAAAGAAAAAAATGATTATACAGGAAAGAAAGGGGATATACATTTTCTCTATGTAAAACCAGATACAGAATACACATGGGTTAGAACAGGGAGACAACATCAGGAATGATGTTCAGAATGGCTATCTCTGGGTTAGAGATTTCAAGTGATTTTTACTCCTTGCACTTTTTTATGTTGCTTTTAATTTTTACAAGATACCTTTATCAAATCTACAAAAACAATAAGGGTTCTATTTAATAACCCAGTGGTATCCAATAAGTGTCACAAAGTGTCTGTGCAGCATTTGATACTGCAAGTCACAGAGACGAAACCAGTAGACTAAGAGATGCGGAAAATCCAGGCCAGGCCCGGTGGCTCACACCTGTAATCTCCACGCTTTGGGAGGCCAAGGTGGATGGATCGCTTGAGGTCCGGAGTTTGAGACCAGCCTGGCCAACATTGCGAAACCCTGTCTCTACTAAAAATACAAAAATTAGCCAGCCATGGTGGTATGCACCTATAATCCCAGCTATTCAGGAGGCTGAGGCACGAGAATCGCTTGAACCCGGAGGCAGAGGTTGCACTGAGCCGGGATCACACCACTGCACTCCAGCCTGGGTGACAGAGCAAGACTTCGTCTCAAAAAAAAAAAAAAAAAGAAAGAAAGAAACAAGAAAATCCAGGGAGGGAAGCCCAAGCAAGTGCCCAGAGAAGGCAAACTAGTCCAGACAGAGGGAGGGATTGGCCCTTAAAAGGAGGAGAGACCCGACATCACTTCTGACCTGGGAGTGGGGATGATAGCAATAATTAGCGCAAATATACATGAGTTAGTGGGTGGATGGGAGGGAATTTAAGGGAGTTTACATGCAAAGTCTGTCTTTCCTCTCTCAAGGAGACAAGTTAATCCACTGGTTCTCGAGGAAATGGGAACAGAGCTGGGCAAGAGGTATGCAGGCAGCACTGAGGGCCCCTTGTGGTTGTGATTCTATTACAAATGATTGTAACTGGGATGATTTTACTAGTTATTCCAGCAATCCAGAGCAGGAATTGAGGGGAAGGATAGTTGAATTGATCCAAGATTAGGAATTGCAGAAATTGCTTCAGGACATTGAGGTAGTAATAAAAACAATAAAAACTAAGATTTATTACATTTTACATGCATTATTTAATTTAATCCTCAGCAATGGATAAGGATGAAAAGGATATTCAGATAAAATATCATAGCAAAGGACAAGGATTTTAAAAGGGTATTGTTGTTTCCATTGTACAGATGAGAAAACTGAGGCTTAGAGGGTGTAGTAGACATCTGTCAGGTTTTGCCTATCTGCATTCTTCCTAGATGGAAGGATCCCCCATCTCTCAAGTCTTGTTGGGAGGCAAGATCCAAGTTCACTGTGCCTGAAGTGAGCATATAACCCTATCCCAATTCCTTGACAAGAAGCATGTGGCCCAGATTTGGCCAAACAGATGCTTCTGTCAGGGATTTTGCCTCATGTGTAAGTACTCAATGACAGCAATAGGCAGAGAATATTCTCAGAGGCTGCAGCAGATTTAAGAGTCCAGGAGTGGCTGGGCGGGCGCAGTGATTCATTCTTGTAATCCCAGCACTTTGGGAGTCCAAGGCATGTGGATCACCTGAGGTCAGGAGTTCAAGACCAGCCTGGCCAACACGGTGAAACACCATCTCTACTACAAAAGCTGGGTGCGGTGGCGGGCACCTGTAATCCCAGCTTCTTGGGAGGGTGAGGCAGGAGAATCACTTGAACCAGCGGGGGGGCAGGAGGGGGCGGAGGTTGCAGTGAGCTGAGATCACGCCATTGCATTCCCGCCTGTGCGACAGAGTGAGACTCCATCTTAAAAAAAAAAAATAAAAGAGTCCAGCAGTGAAAATGGCAGTAGTGTCCCAAGTTGGACTACCAGAGTCAAGGTCCTAACCTGACTTCCTCTGGCATGACCTCTGTTCTGTTCTTAACTATAAAACTTTCTTGGGCTCTGCCTTTTCCTTAGAGTCATTTACCTACCTTCACATTCATACTGAGAGCTACCCAAAGCCATCCAATCAAATCTATTTCTGCTTAAATTAACTTGAGTCATATTTTCCTATTTGTAGCCAAAAACCCTGAATGGGTCTTAGGGATTAAGAATTTTACCCACAGCTCTTATCAAAAAGACATCCAATAATCAGATACACAAAATTCTTTCCTATAGATGTCAGTTAACCTCTTTCCCCAGTCACCCTGGGGCTTAGTCAATGGGCTCATGGATAATGTAGCCATAGTAACAGAGATGGAAGATATGCAGGGGCTCAAAAAATATTGCCTTCCTTCACCCAGCAGTTTGGCAACTGCTGATTGTTTAACCTGATGGTGACAGAAACCAACGTTAAGTCCCTAATATAATACCATATTCGAAGTAGAAGTAGATCAGTCAAATACATGGTGGCAGGTTAATTACATCAATTTCTTTTCATCATGGAGGCAAGGGAGAGAAGCAGTTATTTATCATCACTGGAATATGATACTCATTATAGATTAATATTTGACTTTCCTGCCAGCTATGTTTCTGCCAGCCATACTGACTGTGAACGCCTTTATTCATCACCACAGAAACAGTGTCCCATTCAGCATTGCTTCTACCAAAGAAGTGAGAGAAAGAGATGTCTATGGATTTCACTGGTCTCACCATGTGTCCCATCACCTACAAGCACATGCCCTTGCAGAATGGTAGAATAACCTACTGGAGACTCAGTTATGGTACCAACTAGTCAACAGCAGCCTGATAAATTGGGATGCTGTGCTATAGAATGAGATAATGCTCTAACCAATAGCCAATACATAGTGCTGCTTCTCCCAGTATAACGGCAGGAGTCTAGAAACGAAGAACTGGTAGTATCACCTTCCATTATTTCATATAAGGACCCAGCCACAAAGGTTTTGTACCTGTTTCTTGTGGCTCTTGGCTCTCTGCTGACTTAGAAGGCTTAATAATGAAAAAAAGACGGCTTCCACCTAGAGACTCAACAGGCAGGATCAGGAAGGGTTCAAACCCCTTAAAATGAAAGTTTGAGTTACTGCATCAGGTAAAGTAGCATGATTAGCTGAGGTGCTGGCTGAGGGTAAAAAAGGAACATGAGCTGGAAGTAGAAGAAAGTCAAAAATATCAACTATGGGCTTGGGACCAGATGCAGAAATATGGTCTGTCCTAGCTACTCCAATTTTCTTCCTTGCTTTGTTATGAATACAGTAATAAATTTCCTTTGTTTAGTTTTTCCTCTTTCTGTAGCATTTTATATTACTGTGTTGGAGGTAGTCAACTTTTTAAGTTATACCTCAGGTTATAGGATATAAAAGTGCCATTGTGAGCAAACTAGAATAGGAATGAACATCCCCTTGGAGTGAGGAATTTCTCTTGGGCCTTCCTGATTTCTCAGACAGCAGCCCACTCCTCCAGCCCTTCTAATGAATTTGTAAGCACCTCGTTCCCCGTATTTAGCCCTTTCTGCTTAAAATTGCTAGAGTGGTTTTCTGTTATCTGCATGTAAGCTCTGACCAAAAAGCAAAACAAACAAAACAATCATACACAAAATGGAAAGGCATAAGGCATGGTTATTTTGTTATTGAATCGAAGTGATTAGGGAACAGTGGTTTAGATGATTTCTTTCAGTTACTTAAAAGAGCTTTTTGCTTTTTATTCAGGCTATAAAAATTGCCGTAGGCCATTATGTAGCTCCCTTTGACATGGCTTTGTCTTTTATGAGTCTCACAGATGTTTTGATTAAAGGAAAGAATCACTATTTTCTGCCAACACTTAAATCTTTAAAGTTGGAGAAATAATCTTTCCCAAATTGCAGCTAGCTCCTTAGGGATAGGAATCATGCCTATGTTATTCACTCCTAACAGCACTTAACACAGTAGACTCCACATAGCAACATGAATAGTTTCTTCAATATATGCTTTTATTTTTTCCTGGAGTAATAAGCATGGTGATTTGAGGGTCTATGACCTCCTAGATTTCTGGGCCTGTGATCTGGGGCAGGCTCAAAGATCTCTGAAATGCCTTTGGGGTCTTTCTCCCATTGCCTTATGAATAGCCTCTGGCTCCCTTCCATCTGAACCAATCTTTCAGCAAAGGGTCGAGAACATGCTTCTTCACTCTACATGGCCTGTCTGCAAATTTTCCAAATCTTGCCATTCTCCTTCTCTTTTAACTATAAATTATGTCTTTAAGTCGTATCTTTGCACTCACATCTCACTGCATGCAGTTCAAAGTAGCCACGCAGCAGCCTGAATGCTTTGCTGCTTAGGTATTTCTTCTGCCATATATCTCAGCTTATTGCTCTTAAATTCTACATTCCATGGAGTCCTAGGATATGAACACAATTCAGCCAAGGTCTTTGTTACTTTATAACAAGGATGGCCTGTACTCCACTTTCCAATACCTTGCTCCTCATCTCCAACCGAGACCTCATCAGATCATTTCCACTTGAGACCTAATCAGAAAGGCCTTTACTGTCCATTTTTCTGCCAACATTCTGGTCACAACCACTTAAGTAATCTCTAAGAAGTTCCATACTTTCCCTAGTCTTCTCTTCTGAGCCCTCACCAGGATCATGCTTAATGCTCTGTTAATGACAACCTAGTCTTTTTCTATCCTGCTTCTCTAAAGTCTTCTAGCTTCTACCCATTAATCCAGTTTCAAAGCCCTTACCACATTTTCAGGTGTCCATTATAGCAGCAACTCTACTTCTGGTACCTATTTTCTGTCTTAGTCCATTTTCTGCTGTTATAAGAGAATATCACTGTCTGGGTAATTTACAAAGAACAGATATTTATTTGGATCATAGCTTTGGAGGCTTGGAAGTCCAAGATCATGCTGCTGGCATCTGGAGAGGGTAATCCCAATGGCAGAAGGTGGAAGGTGAGCACATAAGGAAGAGAAAGGCAGCAGGGGCTGGACTCATTTTGTAACAACCCACTCTTGTGATAACTAACCTGCTCTCACAATAGTGACATTAATCTATTCATGAAGGCTCTGACATAATGACCCAATTACTTCTTTTTAGGTCTCACCTCTCAACACCATTGCACTGGGATTCAGTTTTCAACACATGAACTTTTTGGGGGCATATTCAAGCCACAGCACTTCCCATGGCCACAGAGAATCTGGCTCTTGTTCTCTCTCTCCATCATCTTTTTCCACCCGACTCCAGTGCTTCCACTGTGCTCCAGTTTCACTAGTCTTTCTTTAAGGCATCAAGCTCTTTTCTTTTCTTTTTAGAGACAGGGTTCTGCTCTGTCACTGGCTGGAGTGCAGTGCCATGATCATAGCTCACTGTAAGCTCAAAATACTGGGCTCAAGTAATCCTTCTGCCTAAGCCTCCCAAGTAGTTGGGACTACAGGTGCATGGCACCATACTCGGCTAATTTTTAATTTTTTTTTTTTTATAGAGACAGGGTCTCACTATGTTGCCCAGCCTGGTCTCAAACTCCTGACTATAAGTGATCCTCCTGCTTCAGCCTCCCAAAGCACTGGGATTACAGTCATAAGCCACCAAACCCGACTAGCAAGCTCTTATCTATGTTAGGTCTTTTGCATGTATTATTTTTCTGCATGAGATGTTCTCCTCCCTTTCTTCCTGCACAACCTTCAAACTTCAACTTAGCTATTACTGACTATTCATGCCCATTCTAACTCAGGTTCTCCCTATCGTACATAGGACCCTGTACATTTCTTTTACCCTTCTTATTACAGTTTGTGGATATATATTATTTCTAAGATTGTTAAGGTCTGGGTCCTCCACCCGGATAACGGATTCTTAGTAGGTAGAGATTTTGTTTGTTTTGCTTCTGTTGTCTTCTGTTCTATCCCCTAGATGCAGAGTAGGTAGATACTCAGTGTTTCTAGAATGGATGATTTAGCCAAGGGTTTGAAGAGCTTAAAATAATAATTACCAAAAAAGTAATTCCCTGTGTCTGTTTTCTGCTAATGCAGAACACATAAGAAACACCTAATAAATATTTGTTGGTTAATTAATTGGCTAACTAACCTTAGGCTGATATTTTGGGTGGGAAGAAAGGTATCACACCTAGAGGTAGGTTAGGATCAAAGATACCCAGATATAATGACAGTCAAACCTTTTCTTATTGTGATGAAAGTATAAATTATCATAGTGAGGATTAGGTACAAACATTTATAATTACTTTAATGATAGGAGCTCTCACAAGAAAAAGAAAGCAAGATGTGCTACAGCTGAATATTACTGGGCATGGTTATGTTACACGCAATGAGAGGCTATCATTGACTAGAAGGGGCTGTGGACTGAAATCAAACATCTCAGTTTATTCAGCAGGCCTGGAAAAAGAAGGAGAGTAGACGTTAAATGTGAGGGGCATAGAGAAAGCCCTTTCTACTTGGGCAGAAGATGATATTTTATATCTTCAGCAGCAGTCCCAGTTGATAGCCCAATCCAACAGTTATTGATGATAAGCCTCATGCTGTGGTTAAATATTTTGTGGTATAATTAATTTAAATATATCATGGGAAGCTATAGTCTTGGCTTGAGAAACTAAGTTGCATTTACCCTAGGATGCTTGTTAATATTTCAGGACATGTCCAGGTATAGCAGAAGTTTATTTGTACCAAGAGGCCCCATAATAGCCATCATACCGGGGGAAAAGAGAAGTGAGGCTCACAAGTTTGGTTCAAGGTCAGTATCAGCAGGAGGGATAATTAAGTCCCAGACAGCATCTGTCATTCTGATTGTCCCCTAGTCCAGTGGAGCTTAGGGACAATCAGAGGAGTGGACAAAAACAAAGCATAATGTAGAGCACTACTTTGCAATCGACAAAATGACTGGGGACTAATGGGAAGGCGGGCAGGTTGCAATGTGGAGCAAGTGAGAACTCAGAATTGACACAGCAGAACAACCTATAGCTTGGATCAGAGAGGGCACAGGACTGGAGACCAGGCTGCAATAGCATCAAGAAGCCCCTGGTACTTTTGGTGAGCATTGTCCCTCTGATGCTTCTTTGCAGCTTGGGAAGCATTTGCAGCAGTATATTGACCTTGGCAGCAGGAAGGGAGACAGTGCTGTAAGAAACCAAAACAGGAAAGGGGAAGTGCATGCGGAAACAAAGAATACCAGCTTGTGACCACCCAGGAGCGGTCCTGGGCACTTTCAGAACTAATTGGAAGGAATTTATTATGGGTTGAATTGTGTGCCCTGGAAAGATATATTAGAGGCCTAACTGCCAGTACCTCAGAATGTGACCTTATTTGGAAATAAGGTCATTGCAGATGTAATCAAGTTAGGATGAGGCCATTAGGGTGGGCCCCAGTCCGATATTACTGGTGTCCTTATAAGAAGATTAAAATGCCATGTGAAGACAGAGATGCACAGACAATGCCACGTGACTACAGAGGCAGAGACTGGAGTGATGAAGCTGCAAGCCAAGGTGTGCCAAGGATTGGCAACCACTACCAGATGCTAGGAAGAGGCAAGGACGGGGCCTCCTCTACAGGTTTCAGAGGGAATATGGCCCTGCTGACACCTTGATTTCAGACTAGCCTCCAGAACTGTGAGACAATCACTTCCTGTTGGTTTAAGCCACTGGGTTTGTGGTGCTTTGCTCCAGCGGTCCTGGGGAACTAACACAGAATTTCAGGAGAGTTTTTCAGAGTGAATAGGACAGAGTCATTTTGACCCTAATTTTCCCCCATAGATTTGCGAAGTCACAGAAACACAGCTTACATATAAAACTATAAAAATAAACATGCCAAAGAGCTAAGTTTTTATTTGTCGACTTGAATTTGGCCAATGTGCCACTAACTAGTACATTTCATGCAACTTTAAGACCAGCCTGCATCTAATTAAATGAGATAATGTCTGTAAAGCTCTTAAAACAGTACCTGGCACCTAGTTAAGGCTTCAATATATGTTGGATAATGTCAGTAATATTATCATCTGATTATCCTGATCCTCGAGCTCTGAGCTGCTCATCTCCTCTGCATCTAAGATCTGCTGAAAGCTGCTGAGAAAACCTCACACCTAGGCAATCTGGTGTCACTAAAAAGTAAATATCACCAACCTCACCGGAGTCCTTCACCCTGCCTTGGTTTCCCTAGTAAATGCCCTCTCCTATTCACTACGATGTGTTCTAAATTGTGGTTCCTCAAACCTCCACCACCCCCATTTCTCAGCTCATCCCCAGCAGGGCATTCCTAGCACTGAACAAATATAAAACCTTAGAAAAAATATCCCTCAACTGTCACCACTAAACCTATCAACCCGCGTGTACCCACAGCTCTCGTGGATTCCTCCCTGTTATTTGGACAAAAAAGCACTTTTCTAGTCCAGATCGTCATTCTTTATTCTTCCCTCTTCCTCATTCACACTTTCAATCCATAAGCAAATGTTAAGTCTATCTATCAGATAGCTTGCCAAGCCACACATTTTTGCTTCTCTCCATGACCACCAGCTTGGCCCATACAAGCCTCATTGTGTCATTGTTCTGCTTAAACTGTTTCAGTGATTTCCTACTGCCGTACCGATCAAGAAAATCCTTCACATATTTTCAAGACTTCTCTCCAGGCTGGGTCCCTCATAATCCAAGCTCTATCAGCTTTTCTAACCTCACCTCTTACTCTGCTCTGTTCTTCCAACATGCTACACTCTAGGCTAGAGGGTAACTCAAAATACTGTCACTTCCTCATTAAAATAATAACATTCACATAATGCTTACTGTGAACTGGGCATATAGCAACTCATTTATCAGGGCAACAATGAGATTAGTACTATTGCTATCACCATTTAACGATAAGGAAACGGAGGCACAGAAGTTAAGTGATTTGCCCAAAGTACAAGGAAAGTAATGACAAGCCAGGATTTGAACCAAGAGTGCTGGTGGTGCAGTCCTGTTCTGTTCTCTGATCTTGCCTGCATGCCTCTAGACTCCTCCCTCAGTCCCAGCATTCACTACCACCCTTTATATTCGGCCGATTCCTATAATTCCTTCATGACTCAGTATAAACATCCCTTCCTCAGCGTCAGATCTCCTTGCTCTGTCTCATATCTTCCCATCCTCCATATTATAATATTATTAAATATCTATCTCCTCTGCCACATTGTCAGTTTCATGAGGACAGGAAACATATCTGCTCTATTTATAGCCACACCCTCCCTTCTTAGCACATACCTGACAGATAGTAGGTGCTCATTAAGCATTTTTTGATTGAATGAAATAACAAGTAATAACTAATCACCTTGAAGAACGTCTGTGTATATAGAACACATAACATCATACCTGGCACATAACATGGACTTGATAAATATTTATTTGATATTGTGTTCCAGAAATGGCAAGGAATCCAGTTTGACTAGTGTCAAGGGTGTGAAAAGAGCTTTTGGCAAATGGTCGAGCCAAAAGAGGAGGGAGTTCCATGATAGAAGGAAGGGGTTATCAGCAGTATATAATCTTGCAAAGGCAAATATTAGCATTTCAAAATCCCTCCTTCCCAGCCCAAGATGGTTCTAAATTTTTCTTTTAAACACACCATCTAACCGTGTTACAGCAGACTTCAGCAAAGTGTAATTGGTATGCTCATGGGACCTTGGCATAAGAGACTCATGCACTAATGACCAAGGTGAAAATAAAGGTCTACTTGGGTGTGTTTATGTAACACAAACAGCTACCTCCTCCCTACTTAGTAAGGGTCTGATTATCAAAAAAATCTAATCTCTATGAGCACAATAAAAGATTTCCTATTCCTATCTCCTTTGGAGAAAGTAAATTTATTATCCTCAAAAGGCTTCCGGGAACACTGGGTTAATCCCTTTAAAAAGATACATCTGGACACCCTAACTTCATTACAATTCTAGACTTGAATGCTACCAGGTATATTTTTTTTCTTCCCCCAACTGAGTGGTGCCAGGGAGTCTAGAGACAGCAGTCAGCAAACCAGGTTCAAATCATTGTCTCTTTGAGGCTGTGTTTTGGCAGCCCTGGCGACAGCAGACTGAGCCTTCAAGGAGCAGTAAACTTCTTGTCACCCTTGAGTGACCCTCTACGGAAAAACTGGAAAGAGAAGATGATAACTTCCAGGGAAAACAGCCGATTTACCACCTGTGCAAACATGCATCTAACTGGCCTGCCATGAGAGTCCTTGGGAAAGGCTTTGGTAAAACAGCAATTGCCAACATGTGGAGTCAAGCAGCTGCGCTCTATACAGGCCAGAACCACAAATGATTGTGCTATGTGTCAGAAACCACCACCATTACAAAGGTGCTTTATCCCAAACCATTTCGTTAAATCAAATCCCCACCAACTATAGGGTGATGAGTGTATAGGACTCTTGTCATAGGATCAGCGTCTTTGGTCCTATTTTCACACCACAGGAGACATTTATCCCTTTACAACATTCTGATCTATGGCTAGCTGTTAATTATATTTGCCGCCAAGAACCCGTTAATGAAGGGCTATTTCGTGGCCTTTGGCGAAAACCTCAGACTCAGCAACCAAGGAGCTGAAAGCCCTGACCTTAAGGCAATCTCCACACCAGCCTCCTGCCTGATGCATATTTCAAAGGTTTCCAGGTTTTAAAGCATGGATTACCTTTGCAAATGAAAAACTGAACAAGCAGAAGCATTTAATGGCATGTTATTACAGTTCCAATGATTTTGAAAAGGCTGCTCAGTTTAACCAGAGGCAGAATTTTAAATGAACATAGAAATAATTATTCACTGCTTTTTTCATCATTTTCTGTTTATTCTACTAGGATTTAAAATATAGTACATATTGATTCCCACCTAAGGTTTCTTGCCATTATGCATATATCAATCTACTGAAAAATCATGCATATTGATAAAATATTTAATGCTTCAGGGGCATTCAATATTCACCCACCTCCCAAATAGGTTGTTTGTTTTATCTAAATAGGATCTTGCATGGTAATGAAATTTTAAACTCCAGTCAAAAGGTAGAGTTTTATTTTTTCAAATATTTCAAACTTTTCATTTATGAGAAAAATGATGAAAACAGAAAGTAAAAGAAAGCAGTGTTGTCTTCGCCAGTAGAGAGCATTTAATCATTACCTGCCAGGTACGTGGCATTCTACTAGATGCCATTTATCAAAATACATTCATTGTGCACCTATGATCTACTAAGCACTTCCTCAGATGAAAAGATTATAGACATACAGTCTCTGTTCCATACAGTTCAAATCTAGAAGGAGAAACAAGTAGTTACAACATAACGTGGTATTATGGGAGTACAATACATGTTGGCTGTACTAGATGTATAGATGTATAAACGAAGAAATGAATGAATGGGCATGGAAAATTTCAGAACATAATAAAATCAACATGAAGGGCAGGCAATAAATACACAGTATTCAGGCTGGACGCAGTGTCTCATGCCTGTAATCCCAGCACTTTGGGAGGCCGAGGCAGGCAGATCACCTGAGGTCAGGAGTTCAAAATCAGTCTGGCCAACATAGTGAAATTCCATCTCTACTAAAAATACAAAAAAATTAGCGGGGTGTGGTGGTGGGTGCCTGTAATCCCAGCTACTCAGGAGGCTGAGGCAGGAGAATATCTTGAACCCTGGAGGCGGAGGTTGCAGTGAGCTGAGACCACGCCACTGAACTCCTCCAGTCTGAGTGACAGAGCAAGACTCTGTCTCAAAAAAAAAAAAAAAAAAACCCTATAATCTGTAATACCAGCACTTTGGGAGGCCAAGGTGGGTGGATCACCTGAGGTCAGGAGTTCGAGACCAGCCTGCCCAACATGGTGAAACCCTGTCTCTACTAAACATACAAAATTAGCCAGGCATGGTGGCGTGTGCCTGTAATCCCAGCTACTTGGGAGGTCGAAGCTAGAGAATCACTTGAACCCAGGAGGCAGAGGTTACAGTGAGCCAAGATCACGCCACTGCACTCCAGCCTGGACGACAATAGTGAAACCCCATCTCAAAAAATAAATAATAATTAACAAATTCAGTATTCAATAATAATAATAGAGGATGGACTATTTTATTTATTTATTTTTTAGATTTTAGCTCCTACTTAGATGAGAGAGCATGAACTATTTCTCCATTTTAAATGGAGAACATTTCAAGAGGATTCTAAAGACTAAAATCTTTTAGATGTAGGATTACAAAAGAAATGAGAAGCCCTACATTCAATTTACTAATGATGTGTTGGTAAAACCGAACAAACATGAAACACATGATAGTAAAGAACTAAACTGCATAATATAGGAAAAATAAGAGGGATGGAAATCAGATTGTTACACAATGGTATTATTACTCAAGCTCTTATTTTGAAATTATGTCTTCTTTAGATTCAATTATTATGACATTCCCATGTTAATCTCTTCATTGTAACTGCAATTAACCACAGTGTAAGTCACTCCAAGTGAAGGTATTGGAAAGTGGTATAAGGCAAAATTGGGCCAATTCACTCCCTTTGGGCATTCAAAGTGCAATATAATATCAATTTTCACCCCAAAGGGAACAAAACCCTCATTTATCACTCTTTCAGAAGAAAGATTTTAAAAATTATACATCAAACAAAACTTTTCAAAGACTTCTATGTACTCTTAACTCAGTGCCGGGAAAAGAAAGAAAATAAAGATAAGTTTACGCCTAAAAATATGATTAGTTTTTGGTCTAAAGAACTGTGTTACAATTTTATTATTACTTTGCTATGTGACCTTGGTCTTCATTGCCTCCTTAATAAAACAGGAATAATAATCATGCCTACCTACCTGATAATAATGCATGTTTATCAAGTAAAATAACAGTTCTAAAATGTTTGAAAACATTGTAAAAATATTAAAATCCTATATTAGATTTGTTGTACATTTGAATGATAAAGTTCAAATAGGATGGTATTTTTCATCTATAAAGGATGGGATGGCTTTGTTTAGGGAAAGGAAAAGCATATTATAAAGTACATAATCCTCCAACAATCTATGCAATAATAGAAATGAGGTAGTAAAAATATTACAATTTTTTCTCTTTTAACAGATGCATCTATTTCTAGTTCCAGGGTATAGTTAGTTTTCACATTACTCATTTTTTTTTCTTGCTAAACCTTTCATCATATTTTCATAAACATTACCAAGGTTACTTCTTGACTTTGCCTTTAAAATATTATTTTGATTATCAAATCTTATGTGAAAACCTGAAGGAAAAAACCATAAACCTGTTCTTTCCTCTAACAAAACCTGGCCTTGCTTCTGCCGAGAACATCTAGAAGTCGTTAAAAATAGCACAGTTCTTTATTTGGACTCAATTGACTTGTACTTCTGTAGACCTGTCAAAACGTTAAATAATAAATTGTTATCTCTGAATAGATTCGTCTTTGCCCAAGATACAGTTGAAAAACGTGTTTTACATGAGTCATTTAACCGGAATAATCTTCCTTTGGATTACTGGAGTCATTAGGGGGAAAAAAATACAAAATCATGTGAGTAATTTTCCATGTATCTAGGGTTCAATATCTCAAATGTTTCACAGGCCTTCTGCATCACAAGGCAGTTTATTTAAAAATACAGGCACATCCTCCTCTCTGCTTCTCCATGTCACTTCCTCTTTAGCAGCTGAAGGCAGGCCTATCATCGATGAACAGAGTGTCAGCCAATGCCCCTTGTGCTTCTGTGTCATCATTCTAAGATAGGAATGAGCATGAGCATATTTGAAAGGCCCAAGGCAGAGAGCTCTTTTCCTCTTCTCATCATTTTAACAACAACAAGAAACAAAAGTTATTAACAACAGTCAAAACAGCACGGGCACAATGCAAAGGTACAGCCTCTATAGCTACATAGAGCTGCAGCCAAATAGCCACCCACATATTTGCTGCTGTTGCTGGGGAAGAAAGGAAATGTTGCTTTGGTTCAAAGAAGAGGGGAGGGGCTGGGGGTGATGGCTCATGCCTGAAATCCCAGCACTTTGGGAGGCCAACGCAGGCAGATTACTTGAGCTCAGGAGTTGGAAACCAGATGGGTACATCCACCATGGCAACATGGTGAAACCCTGTCTCTACAAATAATTTTTTTTTTAATTAGCTGGGCATGGTGGGACCACCTGTAGTCCCAGCTACACAGGAGGCTGAGGTGGGAGGATTGCTTGAGCCTGGGAGGTCGAGGCTGCAGTGAGCCATGATCATGCCACTGCACTCCAGCCTGGGTGGCACAGTGAGACTGTCTAAAAAAGTTAAAATAAAGAACCATGGAGGAAGATGTGGACACAAACAAGAGAAAGGGGCAGAACACTGTGTTTGACAGGAGTGTTCCAACTGAGAAGATCATTTCTCACCCTCAGTGAGGAGCAGGTGAACCACAGAAACAGATAGGAGAGCGTGTTGTTTGTGACCTCTGCCAGACGTTGCAAAGAGATTAAGGCACTCATCAGGAGGGGCAGTGCCTTGCATGGAGATCTCAAGCTTTGTTTTCTTGGGTGAAGGAACTATTTCAAAAGGAATGCATAGCCAACATTCCTACCATTAGCCTGTCTTGCTATTGTATATTGCATGGCTGTCCTGCTAGGGAAATTTGATCAATATATTAGATTCCTGGCAGAAAGATGCTATCAGACAATGCGTGTATGCCTTGACATAGCTCAATTTCCACCTATCCAAGAAGGTATTGATTTTTCTCTCCCCGAAGTGCACACACACATACTAAGAGCGCTTACAGAGGATGGGGGTTGGGTAGGCACTTAGTCAAGAACAGACAGTTCTGCCATTCCCCAAATGCATTCAAAATACCGTCTGGCTTGGTGGCTTAATATTTGGATGATCTATATAAACTCCTCACATCAGGATTAAATCAATGGCTGATGAGCAAAAACACTCTTTGAATGCTCACTCTTTAAATGTTAAGAACCCTATCAGCTTCAGAAACATTTCAGAAAATGTGGCCCTTCTTGGATTCCTGTTCCAGAGTTACTTCATATGAAATACCATCCTGAAGCTACATCTTTCTAACACAACTGAAATTAATTCTCTGTTACTTGATCACAGCCTTCTTGCCTAATATCTGGAGTCGTGTCAACACTTCCGTTACCACTCCACTGTTTCTTCTCTTGTTTCCATCTGTCTCAAGCTGCTCACAGAACATTTCCAGCTTTTCACCTTCTGGGCTCAAGCTAAGATTATACTTCCTGATCCCCGTGTGGTTGGGTGGGGCCATGTGACCAGTTCTAACCCATGAGCTGTCAGCAGAAGTAATCTGTGTCATTTCTAGGTTGAGCTTTCAGTGGCCAATGAGAGACCTTCCAGAAGTCTCTTCCCTCCAGAAAGGTAACCAGAAATTATCAAAATAGCAGTTGCTCCATCAGCCTGAGAACTTGAGTGATTATGAGGACAAAGTTCATGGCTCACTGTGATGAACTCTTTCTGAGGGAAAAAGTTAAAAGGTAAGAACCAAACTAAGAGAAACTGGTATCAAAATACATAACAAAAAGCTAGTAACTATACATAGAGTCTACAAATCAGTAGAAAAGTGTGCCTCAGATGTAAATAGGTATTTCACAGTAGGAGAAATATAAGTAGTCAATAAATATATTAAAAGATTCTTAACCTCAGGCCGGGCACGGTGGCTCACACCTGTAATTCCAGCACTTTGGGAGGCCGAGGCAGGCGGATCATGAGGCCAGGAGATTGAGACCATCCTGGCTAACACAGTGAAACCTCGTCTCTTCTAAAAATACAAAAAATTAGCTAGGCATGGTGGCACGCATTTGTATCCCAGCTACTCGGGGGAGGCTGAGGCAGGAGAATCTCGAACCTGGGAGGCGGAGGTTGCAGTGAGCCAAGATCGTGCCACTGCACTCCACCCTGGGCCACAAGAGTGAGACTCTGTCTCAAAAAAATAAAAAGATACTTAACTTCAGTTGTAATTTAGAGAAATGAAAATCATAACAACAAGATGCCATTCTTACCTATGAGATAGACAAAAGTTAAAACTTAAAAAGCTTAATAAGTGTAGTCCCAGCTATTCAGGAGGCTGAGGCAGGAGGATTGCTTGAGTGCAGGAGTCTGAGCTATTATTGTGCCACTGCACTCCAGCCTGGAAAATAAAGCAAGACCCTGTCTCTTAAAAACAAACAAAAAAAAGCTTAATAATTTCCAGAACTGGCCAAGCTGTGGGAAAATTGACATTCTCATTCCTGCTGGTATAACCTTATTGGAGGGCAATTAGTAAAAATTTTTTTTTTTTTTTTTGAGATGGAGTCTCACTCTGCCACCTAGGCTGGAGTGCAGTGGCGCGACCTTGGCTCACTGCAACCCCCACCTCCCAGGTTCAAGCGATTCTCCCGCCTCAGCCTCCCGCGTAGCTGGATTTACAGGTGTGCGCCACCACGCCAGGCTAATTTTTTTTTTTTTTTTTGAGACAGAGTCTTGCTCTGTCGCCAGGCTGGAGTGCAGTGATAAGATCTTGGCTCACTGCAACCTCTGCCTTCCAGGTTCAAGCAATTATCCTGCCTCAGCCTCCCAAGTAGCTGGGATTACAGGCTTGTGCCACCACGCCCGGTTAATTTTTATATTTTTAGTAGAGACGAGGTTTCCCCATGTTGGCCAGGCTGGTCTTGAATTCCTGACCTCAGGTTATCTGCCTGCCTTGGCCTCCCAAAGTGCTAGGATTATAGGCATGAGCCACCATGTCCGGGCCCAGCAATATTTTTAAAATATAAATACCTTGACCCAAAAATCTGTTTTTAGTAATCTAAACTATAGAAACATTTACATATAATATTAACAATATTTACTGAACACATGCCATGTGTCAATCCCCATCTAACTGCTTTATTTATATTAATCATTATCCCTGAGAGTTTTCTATTCCTTTTCTACTTTACAGATGAAGAAACAGGATAAGCAACTGGCTTAACTAGGAAGTTGCTATGCAGGGATTCAGATAAAGTGCTCTCTTTACACTAGAGTGTCTGTCTCAGAGAAATATGCATGGGGATTTTCATTGTACCATTATTCATAATCAATAAAAAATGAATAAAATGTAAATGTTCATCAATTTGAGAAATGGTTACAAATGGTAAATTCAGATTATAGACTATTATGCAGTAATTCAAAAGAATGAGCCCAAAAGAATTGAAAACATACAGCCACACAAAAACATGTAGGATGTTCATAGTAGCATTATTCATGATAATCAAAAAGTAGGAACAACCCAATGTCCATCAACTGATGAATGAACAACAAAATGTGGCATATACATACAATGGATATCTATGAGGTATCAAAAGAAATGGAGTACTATTCAGTGCTAGCATATGGATGAACCTTGAAAACATTATGCTTAGTAAAAGAAGTCAGACATAAAAGTCCACATATTGCATGATTCCATTTATATGAAATGTCCAGAGTAGGCAAATCTAGACAGACATGAAGTAGATTAGAGGTTGCCATGGGATTGAAAAGATGGGGGGAATTGGGACTAACTGCTAATAGGTACAGGATGCGATGGTTAACTTTATTGCCAACTTGACTAAGTTAAGTGATGCCAAGTTCTCTGGTAGTGCATTATTTTGGGTTGTATCTGCGAGGGTGTTTCCAGAAGAGAGTAGCATTTGAATCAGTAGACTGAAGGAAGAGGATCTGCCCTCGCTAATGTGGGTGGCCAACATCCAATCCATTGAGGATCCAAATAGACCAAAAAGACAGAGTAAGGCTGAATTCTCTCTCTCCATCTCTGAGTTGTGACATCCATCTTCTCCCATCCTTAGAGATTGGAGCTCCTGGTTCTTGGACCTTTAACCTTTAGATTCTGGGACTTATACCAGCAACACCTCCCCAGCCCTTCCCTGGTTCTCAAGCCTTTGGCCTCACACTAAATTGTTGCTACCCTTCCTGGTTCTCTAACTTTCAGATGGCATATTGTAGGACTTCTTGGCCTCTATGATTGCATGAGCCAATTTCCATAATAAATTTCATTTTATACATATCTATGTATATTTACACACATCTACATATATCTACATATCTATATATCTAGAGCTACATCTAGATCTATCCTATTGGTTTTGTTTCTCTGAAGAAACATGACTAATACCAGGGCTTCTTTTGGATGATGGAAATGTTCTGGAATTAAGGTGGTAATGAAGGTTGCAAAACATAGTGAGTACGCTAAAAACCATTGAATTGTACACTTTAAAATGATTAATTTTATATTATGTGGAATATAGCTCAATTTTTAAAAAGAATGGGATTGGTATCTTTGTACTATTGTAGTAGAATGTTAAATGAAAAAAGCAAGCCTCAGAACAATATGAATAATATGTTTCCACTTACGAAAAAGAAAACAATATATGTGCTTATAAATGCATGGGGAAATTTAGGAGGAATACACAATAGTTCATTAACAGAGGTTTCCACTGGAGAGAAAATGTATCTACTGAAAGAGAGAAGTTAAAGGGAGACTTATTCTCCTGCTGTAAATTTCTTTGCAATGAAAGCAACAAAAATGAAGACAAAAGCATTTAAATATAAATAAGCAATTAAGCAAATATAACCTCTGAAAAGAAACCATAAGTAAAATAATAGGACATAATGGGAAAGCCCTGGACTTACAGCTGGGAAGCATACCAGTTCTACCTTAATGCGCTGGGTATCTAAGGAAAATTTATCTAGCATCTCTGGTGCTCAGTTTCCTTGTCTTTCAAACAAAGGGACCACCATGAACTCTTAAGCTGTTAAAATCCTTGTTTTCCACAATAAGGCATTCTCCTTACTTGCTTTGTTGCTAAGGTTACTTGCAGCTCCAGCATTTCAGGCCACGTTTTAGACAAGGCATCAAATACAGTCATGAATTTACAAACATTCTAAGATCATAACCTTAAGGGAAAAGGATCATCAACCTCATTGCCCAGCTTCTGCTTAATTATGACTCTTTTTGTTTTATCTGATCACAGTTAGTTACATGGACCTTATGGCTAAATTGAGTAATAAAATAATTCTTGGACAAAGAAGATAATTAGCCAGACAGGTCATTTTTTTGTTTGTTTAATACATTGAAATCTCATTTCAGAAAGCATGCTATCCCGAAATAATTTATTTTCCTTTCATCATGTACATAACCTCCCAGTTGTCTTTTCATTAAATTCTACTGGCCCTAGACTAAGAGGAAGTTAAAAGAAAGAGAGAGAGAGAGACTCACAATTGCCCTGGGAAATCAGAGATGCAGAGGAGAAAGGCTCAAGCAAGTAATGTACATGAATGAACAAATGAATGTATGAGAGAATGAGAGACATTTCTGTTCTCTTCTCCACCAGCATTCCAGTTCCTCTGGCAGTCAGGCCACTATGGTGAATAGTGGAGATTAGGGGCATATCTAAAGAGCCTAGAAAGAATCCCCCAGAAACAGAAGCTCATTCTCAAACAGCTGGACCAACTCCATCAAGCAGAGTGCTGGCACCAGGAGATGCTCCAAAAGTGCTAGCATCCCACCCTTTCCCATCTTGCCTGGGAGACACTGAAGTCCAGCAGAAAGAACTCAGACTTGAGACCCTGTAACACCTGGGCCCATATCCTGTCTCTGCCACTCACCATCTACATGACCTTGTAGAATCTACTGTAGAAACAACGAGGACTGTCATGAAGGTCAAACAAGATAACACGTGTAAAATTTCTCCCACAATGCCTGGCACACAGTAGGCAATTGACGAAAAACATACTTGCTTTTCATCTCTGAATTCCTGGGGGGCCTGGGCCTTGTGTTTTGCCCAAAGTGGGCCTCAAGGCCTGCTTCACCAGGATTTGTTTTCAAGAGTAATGGCACGATTTTTTTCCTTTAAATAATTTGGTACTTTTAATGCCATCTCTTCCTACTTTCTGAAAAAGGGGCCCCACATTTGCATTTTGTACTGGATCCCACAAATTAGTTAGCCAGTCATGAGGATGTGTGAAATTAGCTGAGTATTCCCTTGATGCCGCTTCCCCTGGGCCTGAGATGAAGGGGGAACCCAACTCCCATCTCCCACAGACAAGGCAGGATCCACATCACACCACCCGCCATCTCCCAGTTAGCTTCTTTCCCCTCACTCTTTTATAGAGCAGAGATAGGTGATGGCTAGGCTGGCAGGTTCTGCATAGGTGGTCTAGCACCTTGTTTTGGAATGCATGGGTACTTGGGGCTTTTTTTTTTTTTTTTTGTCCTTTGCATTTGGAACTTTGAGACTGTAACTAGAAGAATACCATTTTATCTTTATTTTGAGACAGGGTCTCACTCTGTCCCCCAGGCTGGAGTGCGGTGACGTGATTATAGCTCACTGCAGCCTGGAACTCCTGGGCTCAATTGATCCTCCAGCCTCAGCCTCCTCAGTAGCTAGGACTACAGGCACACGCCACCACACCTGGCTAATTTTTTTTTTTTTGAGAGACAGGGTCTCACTATGTTGTCCAGACTTGTCTCAATATCTTGGCCTCAAGTGATCCCCTGACCTCAACCTCCCAAGGATCCCATTTTAATATCTTCTTATTCATCAATGTAGAGAAAGCACTGGGTGTGTAAGGTCCTGCAGGACTTAAACTCATTTATGTGTGCCAGAAATTTTAGGATGCTCTCTCTCTCCCTCACTCTCTCTCTCTGAGTGTGTGTCTGTGTGTGTCTGTACAGGTATATACAAGAATGTGCAGATGAAACTTAGTTCTTTCTGCATGTAAAAAGCTAAGTTCCACAGAGTTTCTTACATCTTCATGTTCTCAATGTACAGTGGAGGCACAAATGTGATTTGTTTTTCACCTCTACACAACCCCTCTCCTTCTCTATTACACTTCTAGATTTGATTTTATTCTAAGATGGGTTTACTTTTATACCAAATGGTTAAATAGGTGACACTAGGGGATCTGTGTATGTAGGAGAGATGAACTTAGTATATCCACGTGGCAGAGTTGTGTGTGTGCCCAGCCCACTTTTAAGCTAAGTCTCCTTGGCCTTTTGAGCATAACATTGCTGTGTTGGCCACTGATTCAGAGGCTATAACAGGGTAGGCAGGGTGAGCCTCATGTGCCTGGGGAATTTATGAAATGTGCAGCTTCCCACCTGGGATGCAGGTTATGGTGAGGTCGTGCATTGGTAGGCATGCCAGGCCCTGCATCAGCAAGAATCAGAAGGGGCATATTATAAAACATGTGATCATTACTTTGTAATACCCTGCCCTGACTAGCAGAGGCCAATTTGGGGCATTCAGTCATCCCAAGAAGGAAATGATAAACTCTGGCAGACAGGTAGCTGTGTATCCAGATCAGAATGCAATAACTAGCAAAGTGAAGCTGAAGCACCCACAGGGCCTAGGATCTAAGGGACCTTTGGCCCTGTGCAACCACAAGAGTGCCAGAACATTCCAAGGAAGGTAGCTGGACAGGTAAGGAAGGAGGTGGGATCCCCTCAGTCCTGGCTGGCTTCCTTCTCTGCTGAGAGAACATGATATTTCTTTGTGGAAGTGGGGTTCGCCAAGCAAGACACCTTTGTACAAAGTGGTACTTCATTCCAGACAACCATGGCAGCTGTGCCCTCAGCCCCTTAACAGTCTCAGGCAGCTCACTGTGGAGCGTCCAGCCAGGCTGTTGGAAATGAAACTCAGAGCAGCACTGCTCTAGGCAGGTCACAGGCCAGGATCCAGAGGCCTGTTGCAGAGTGGCTGATAAGGTCTTAACCCTGCTGGAGTTTGTGAAGGGCTCAGCCAGTACGCCTCACTTGGATCAAACTTCCATACACGAAGCACAGCCTGCCCAAGAATGCATCACGTTATGTATGGCAGAGAGACCAGGAAAGCCGCATGCTCAGTCCCCACTGGAAAATGGGCAGCCTGGATTATAAGGGTCACAAGAATTTCCAGTTGTAGCAGGAAGCCCAGCAAGCAGACTGGGTCTCCATCAGGGTTCAATCAGGACAGAGCTGATGTGCAGCAAGTGGGGAGATTGGTCTTGATCATGTAAAATAATAATTCCTCCATGTAGTCTTCTATTCTTCTGTCAAATTCAGGTATGTCCACAGACTGAACAGATGAGTTGAAGGGATGTTAAGATTCTTTCATTCTGCCCGGCGTGGTGGCTCATGCCTGTCATCCCAGCACTTTGGGAGGCCAAGGCAGGCGGATCACAAGGTCAGGAGTTTGAGACCTGCCTGACCAACATGGTGAAACCTCATATCATCATCGAAATACAAAAATTAGCCAGGGTTGGCGGCACGCACCTACAGTCCTGGCTACTCAGGAGGCTGAGGCACGAGAATCGCTTGAACCTGGAGGCAGAGGTTGCAGTGAGCCAGGATCACACCAATGCACTCCAGCCTGGGCGACAGAGCCAGACTCCAACTCAAAAAATAAATAAATAAATAAAGATTCTTCCATTCTGACTCCCCCAGTGTCCTAAGGACAGTGCATCTGACCCCTGGCCTGGAACCAAGGCAGGTCCTGGGAATGCTGGTCTTAACCACCAGGATTGATTGTCAGCCTGGATAATAAGAGATGATCCTTGTTGGCTGAAGCACTGCTGGAGAAAATCGTACACTGGTGCAGGAGGTCCTGGTACAAGTGCTGAGTCTTTAGCTTCTACAGGTCTTGCAGTGTTACTCCATAATCCTGTTCCTTGCTTAATTCACTTTACCTTTCACCTGAGTGGCCACCAAACCTTCGCAAGTCTTCAAACCTCTTGCCCAACCTAACTTTCAGGTTCCTAACTCTCAGGGGAATCCTTACCTCCTACCAACTTAGTTGTACTGATTCTTATTATCATCTCCTTCCCTCTTGCCTTAGACGGTGAGATCCCTTCCCTTGGTCAAGGCCTCCATCTATGTCCTCAACCCCTTTCCACTCCACCTATGGGAAATGTGTCCCAGCAGTCTTGCCTCCTCTCTTCTACCTTTAACATCCTCTACTGGGTTTTTTTTTCCCCTCTAACCGGTTTCTCTCAGAGTGAAATTGCTTCTTTGGCTCTATCCTTCTCTATCACTGCCCTATATCTCTCCTTATGAACCGATTCTGTTCCAAACTTTGGCAAAATGGGAGGCTCAGGGAAGCCAGGAGCCAGGGTCTGGGTGCTCAGATGGAAAGGGAGTAGGGTAGAGCTCAGGCCATGAAACAAAAAGGGAACTGAAGATAGTGTTCCAGGTGAAATAGGGTCAGAACCAAAGAGACAGCCACACACTGTATCAATCTAAAATGAGCTGGGCAAAGAGGAAAAAAATGGATGGGAGTTAAAAGATTGGTAAGTAAGGATAGAAGAATAGAACCAAAAGTTTAGAAAGCTGGATGAGAGCCAGAGCAGAAAGAATTCTCAAAGTGTAGATAGCTAAGTCAAGCTTGCATTTATAGGATGCCTGTAGCCTTGCCCATGGGTGGAGAGGGAGCATTTAAGGATGCCAAGCCTTCCTGGACATTTCCTCCTCTGCTAATCTCTTTAAGAGGGTTAGCAACAATCACTGCTCCACTTCCTTAGTTCAACCTCATTTCAAAACACATTGCAGTCTCAATTCTATCTCTACCTTCCCACTGAAACCTCTTGGGAAAGGATTGCCAATTGTCTCTATATTGGTCTCTTCTCTGAGTGTTCCTCCACGAGTTCCTTCTCCTCCTTCTCTGTTGCCCAGTGTTTAAGCATTTGTATCTACAGAATTTCTTCTAGGATCTTCTAACCACCCTTACAATCATTGGGCATCTTCCTCTACTTTTGCAGATTTTAAATCAGCAGTTTTGTTAACTTCCAAATCTGTATCTCTGGTCCCTACCTCTCTACTAGCCATCAGACTCACACCTGAACTGTTTGGCTCTGCGGTCCTTCAAATGTTCTGGTGTCTAGATTGCCGTGCAGGCATGGTAGGTGGCAAACAGGAGAGTGGGAAGAGCTGTAGGATAAGGAAAGAAAAGTAATGGGTGATTAGCTAAAAGCAAGCTGCTATATCAACTTATTTCTAAAAGAACGGGGCTTTTTAAACTCCTCTCTGAAGTGCTTGCACACACCAAAATCACCTGTGTTGGATAACTAAGTTAAGAAATCCTTGAGTGTATGCTCAGCTTTACCTATTTCCTAACTATGGGACCAAGAGTGGACTTGGGTCACAGAATTGTCATTCTGGGGCACTGTCATTAAGGGAACTCACTCTGCAAGTGGGTTCTTCTCTCCAACTAGCAAATTCTTTTGATTCTATTAGTTTCAATTTCTCTGAAAGAGAATTTGATTGGCCCAGGTAATCTTTTCATGCTAGGACCTCATTAGATGGGTCGCCTTGGGTCAGGCACATACCCCCAAGTCTAATCCAAAGTTACCTTTATGCAAAGAACATCCTAGCATTAATTCCCTGGGAACGAGCTGAGAGCAGTGCACTTCATGATGGAAGGCAAAGTTTCTCATGGCTGACACCTCCAGCGCTTAGCTGTGGAACATATAGAGGAAGTTCCTACCACTGCCTGGGAAATTAGGAAAGGCCTCATCATGGCTGTGACATTTGAGAAGGCCTTAAAGGATAGTAGGTATTATGTGTGATTTGTGTGGCAATTTCAAAATGTTGCAGCATTATTCCAAACCTAGGATTTGCATTCAGTTATTGCTTGTTCACTTTTTTCCTTTTCTAAATCATGAGTCACTTTCATTCTTAGGAAACTCCACACCTGAAGGAACTGGAACTTTCTCCTTTCTTCTCTCTTTTCTGTCTTTCTCTTCTCCTCTCTCTCTCTTTTCACCCTCTCTGTCTCTGTTTTTCTTTTTCTGTCTCTCTCATTTTGTGTGGACATTAAACAAAGTCTAGAATAATATTCCCTAATTCTTTCATTTATTCACTCAATATTCAGTGCCTACTATATGCTAGAGCATTTTATAGTTTATAAAATGCATTTTATAGATCATTTTGTTTAGGCCTTATCACAAGCCTATTAAGCAGTTATTATTATAAAATACATTTAATTCAAACAACCGAGGCTTAAGGGGGTTAAGTAATTGATCCAAAATCAAATTGGAAGTATAGTGGGAGAGGGGAGATTTGAACCTAAGCGGAATCTCTAAAACCTATATACTTTTCACTATACCACACTGGGATGACTCACAAATCACAGAAAAACATGACATTAGATCTGATATGATTAATTGAACAACATCAGCAATTTGCCATTAAATGCTACCGATTAACATCTGTCATATTCTTGCTGAGCATTTTCCTAAACTGAGGGTTCAGGTTACGTAACTAAAACGAGTAATCTTCCAAAATAAGTCTGTGAGTTTGAAAAAGTTCTCCAATTAAATTAAGTTTATTTTTTAACAAGTTAATTTTTTAAATGAGAAATAGAAAATTCTTTCTCTCTGGCATTTGTTCTTTGCTTCTGCCCTTAGAAGCCTATCCTGTGTATGTAATATTTATTAATATATAACAATGCTACCTTTTACAGTATGTACAGTCCATTCCCCATTGGTAAGCTTCTTATGTTTGCATTTGGATAGCTCAGCTAGTTTGACTGTATGACTAAGAAATCAGTTGAATTTTTTGGAGTGACTTTATTTTTGCACCCCCATTCCCTTTCAGATTCGAAAGTAACAGATGCTTATTGTATAAAAGGCAAACCATACAGATGTCTTAGAAAGTAAAAAGCCCTGGCAATTCCACCCTCAGACATAACAGTTATTAATAATGTGGTGCATAGTGTTTCAAATTCCTTCTACTCAAATACTAACACATACTATATTTACACATATTTTTACATAAATGGGATCTGCCATACGTACTATTTGGCAATTTCTGTTTGTTTGTTTGTTTGTTTTTGACTTAACATCTTATCTTTGTCAGTACCTATAGATTGATCTCAGCTTTCAGATGGCCTTTGATAAAGCAAAACATCCATTTCACAGAAAGAGAATGCATTTCAAATGTTTTGCCAATGCACGCCTTAATTAAAGCAAAGTCAAGGTGAGAAAGTGGGAATGCTGCTATGTATTGTACCCATTGTCACTCCTGAAAAAAAAAGTAGGTTAACAGTTGCTACTACTAAACAGTACATTGTTGTAACTAACTCAGCCCTTGAAAAAAAACTTGACAATTACATCCACTTTTTGAATTCGCAGCCAATGGACAAGAGCTGAAAGGAGGTATGTTTTGGAAACTATCCTCTCCTGGAGTTGCCTTCAGGTCGTGAATTGTAAGGCTTTGAGGCATTTTCATCAGCTTGCCGTTTACTAGAAACACACTTCCCAACACCTCAGCGCTGATCTGTTAAAGCCTCTCATTTAGTAAGAAACACAAGACAGATGATTCAGTGTGCTGGGTAATTCATTAACCCGTCAAGGGCTTTTTTTCCTGAGCCTGGGATAACAGACAGAAAAAGGAATGTAATCCTTAACGAGCAATAAAGGGCACTGCTGGAGGGATGGGAACACACACAGACAAGACACGAGATGGACTCTCCTTTTCCATCTGGAACAACCAGTTGTCTCTGAACTTACACAGATTTTTACCATAGATTGATCCTGCCTGGCAGCAAAATAATTTTTTTTTTCCCAGCTGTCTTGGAAATGGGAAGTGACATGTTTGGTAGACCACACTCACAGAAGGCCATATGTCTGGTATCTCAGGGCTTGGACTGTCCATAAAGAACCAAGGAAGCTGGCCAAGCCCTGCCAGTATTTCACAGGACACCAAAGAGAATATATGTTCTCAGGTTGAGCCACAAAAATCAACATTAGTCCATGGACTATCTAAAATTTGGCCTGCTGGAACCCAAGTCACAGACCTCAGAAAACTGACTCTGCTATCTTCTTTTTCATTGCTTTTATGTAACTTCTGGACTTATTAAAGAATGCCGAGCCTAGATTTACTGGAAACAAATGTTTTGTGATAAGGTTCTCTACTATTTTCTAACACTTTTTCCTCTCTTCATATTATTTCTGTATCCCGTGAGATATTTTGATATCCAACTATGATTCCTGGTTTGGGAATCTCCCCTTTTTCAACTGAAAAGTTGAATAGTGCTAAACATTTAGAAGCAGATTCTCCCCCTTTCCCCCCAGATTTTGTGTTTGTTGTCATTAACACAAGATCCAACAAGAAGATTGCTGGAAGATTCATATACTCTTTCACGGTGATACACTATGGGAGTAATAAAGTAGGCTTTGGAAGGAAAAAAGGAGGATAATTGAAATTTCTTAAGTTATTTGCAGAACTGTCAATTTTTCAATGATCTTATTCTCACTGATGATGTTTATATTAATAATTATTAGGGTGACCAAATGTTCTAGTTTGCCCAGGAGTAGTCCTGGTTTATGCCTGTGGTTCCAGCATGATAATTAATTGCATCTACTTTCTCTCTCAAAAGTGTTCTGGTTTGGCTGCTAAATAATATGGTCACTCCATCAATCATAGAAGACAGTATTCTGCCATCACAGTGGCAGCAGAGTCATATATTAAATAATGAGAGTTTTCTGTCAAAATTTTAAGTGTACATATAATTCATCCTATAAATCTTCTTTCTATGAATCTATTCTACAGAAATTCTCATGTTATAAACAGAAGACACACACACACACACACACAGAGGGAGGGAGAGAGAAAGAGAGGAATGCTTAGTGAAAACTGGAAAACATCTAAATGTTTATCAATAGGAGATTAATTAAATGCAGTGGAATTCAATGTAACTATTATAAAAGAAGGTGGTAGATCTCTATGTGTTGGTGACATGGTAAAATGTTCAAGACATTTTTAAGTTAAAAAAGCAGGTTGTGGAAATAGGTGGCAGTGCTTGCCATAGCTGGCTCAGGAAAGCCTTTAGCTCCTCCCATAATTTCCTCCAGCCCCCATCCCCAC
This sequence comes from Homo sapiens, assembly GCF_000001405.40. NCBI lineage: Eukaryota > Metazoa > Chordata > Mammalia > Primates > Hominidae > Homo > Homo sapiens. The sequence continues at coordinate 180,597,292 of NC_000001.11, read as the reverse complement.
AAAATATGCCAAATCAATTCAATCTAAAATACTAACGGCTTACTATGAAAAGGCAGCTTCTCTCCTAGCCTTCTCATTTAACTAGATGTCTCCCCTGAGCCTCTCCAATATAGAAATTCTGGAGATGCCACGGTCTATATTACAATCTTCTTGTATAATACATACGTATATTGGAAAGAGATTCACAAAGTTGTTGACTATAATTACTTCTGGGGAGTGACTGTTATTCCCTCTGTACTTTTATTTTAATCTATAAGTATACAGCACTTATACTTTTTTTTTGAGATGGAGTCTCGCTCTGTCACCCAGACTGGAGTGCAGTGGTGTGATCTCGGCTCACTATAACCTCTGCCTCCCAGGTTCAAGCGATTCTCGTGCCTCAGCCTCCCAAGTATCTGGGATTACAGCTGTGCGCCACCACGCCCGACTAATTTTTGTATTTTTAGTAGAGACAGGGTTTTGCCATGTTGGCCAGACTGGTCTCGAACTCCTGACCTCAGGTGATCCATCTGCCTCAGCTTCCCAAAGTGCTAGGATTGCAGGCGTGAGCCACCACCATGCCCAGCCTAGCACTTATGCTTTTAAAAATGAACTTAAAAGGAATACACCTATAGTCAGTTTGCTATACAAAAAATAAATTTGGCCAGCCGTGGTGGCTCACGCCTGTAATACCAACACTTTGGGAGGCCGAGGCGGGTGGATCACGAGGTCAGGAGTTCGAGACCAGCCTGACCAACATGGTGAAACCCCATCTCTACTAAAAATACAAAAATTAGCTGGGCGTGGTGGCGCACACCTGTAATCCCAGCTACTCTGGAGGCTGAGGCAGGAGAATCACTTGAACCCGGGAGGTGGAGGTTACAGTGAGCCGAGATCGTGCCATTGCACTCCAGCTTGGGCAACAAGAGTGAAACTCCATCTCAAAAAAAAAAAAAAAAAAAAAAGAAATATATATATATACATATATATACACATAATATAATATATTTTAGGTGCATTTTGGGCATCTGGAAATGCTTTATTTAGAGTTAAAGAATAGACAGCCAGATCTCTGGCATTTTTCCTATAAATATGCTTTAGAGTGGATGTGGCATGCTCTGTAGTTATCTCCCAATTATCAGGCTAATTGAGGAAAGGAATAGCTTGGGGAAATAAAGTTGAAATGTAGCTTTTCGTTTCTAACTTTTTCACAATCATTTTAACCGGATCAGTTAAACAGATACATTAATTGTTTCCTCTGAGTCTTTTTGGAATTAGATTATAAAACATTAACTACTTAAAAATGAATGATTTTCACTTTTTTTTCCTTGCATTTCTCTGATCCATCTTCTAGGACTAATGTGAATCCAAAAGTCTAGGAGCAGAGAACTGAAGATTTGAAGAAGCTTAACTGTGAAATGAACAGGTCATAGTGTACCATTTCCATTTTCAAGGGTTATAAAATGTTGTTTGCACTTAGTTTTGATTTTAGAGTTAAATGAGAAACAAAAGAAAAATAAGCTAATGTAAAAACATAAAAATCTAGAGTTGGAATGCTCCAAAGTAGAGGAGAGTTCATCTCCCTCTCCTCTCCTGCACCTCACTTAGCCACTTGGTTAACTAATTATCCTTGAAGCCTTTCCTCCAGGGTCACCTGTGCCTCCCCGCCTCACAGCTTCCCGCCTCTCCACCCACCCAATTCCCACCTGTGCCTCAGTCCTGGCAGGAGGACTTCAACACTTCCTTGTCCCTGTTCTTCTATCTTCTCTTATAGGACTTAATTGATTGTATTACTGTTTGCTCCATCATTTGCACCTGTGCCCATTGCCACCCACTAACTGAATTTCAGCTTCTTTTAGAGCAGGGACTGAGCCATATTCATACTAGAAACCTCAGTGCCTAGCATAATACTCGGTACATGGTAGATACTTGTAAACGTTTAATGCATGTAACTGAGAAAGAGAGAGACAGAGAGAGTGAGAGAGCACCCCAAGAGCAAGAGAGCACCCCAAACTCTGCTTTATAGAAAGAAAGAAAGCCTCTAAGCCATTTTAAATGTCCCCCAGGGAAGGGATTTCCTTGGACAGGTAAAGCCTGGTTTTGAACTGGCTCGCTGGCTGGAGTTCAGAGCGTGTCTGCATTTCTTCCCCTGTTGGGTATTGGTTTGAAGTGTTTTTGTAACTGCCACACGTTGCAGTTTCCCTAACCTTTTTTCTGGGAAATCAGAATAGATCTTCAGGACTAATGGGGTGAGATAATGTGTATTCTGTGTACACCTATTGTTATTTGTTGGCTTAGCTGTGCACAACATTCTGGATAAGCTGGCTTAGGAGATGCAGTGACTCATGTCATTTTCTCCGTAACCAGGGGTGACCTAGAGCACTTCAGGCTGGAGGAAATTGGTTTCTCGCACTCTAGCTTTGTAGCTCCCACTGCAGATGAGTCTAGGCACCATCTCGGCATCCATCAACATGACTGAATTAGTTACTGCTCTATCTGATATTAATGGTGATGGCGCCTGGCTGCAGGAAACCCTTCCTGCTTGGCTAAAAGAGGTTGTGACCTACTTGCACATAGATTTAATGCGAGCGGGAAAATCTGCATTCGACTATAGCTTTGATATCACCAATTAGAGACACTAACATTAATTGGGCAACCTCTTTTAAAACTCAGTGAGTATGAAGCTATTAGCTACTCATTCAAATGTTGTGAATGAGTTTAATATTTATTAGCTCTGTTTCTAACATCCAGCTGAGATCTTCCTGGGAAGTAAGTAGGCATTTGGATGGAGGGTGGGAAGTGGGAGACTGTAGGAGAGAGAGAGAAGTGATTTGGGAGCACAGACTTGGTTACTAAAGACCACAGACTTGGCACTGCAGAGAGGACTGCAGGGACTCAGAGGCTGTCCCGAGCACTTGGAGAATGTGTTGAGTATTCGAGAAGTGTTCAGGAAAGAATTCTGAAAGGGAGACTCAGAGGGCCCTAAACTGTGTATAAAGTGGTCCCTTATTGCGTGTGCAGTCCCCTAGTCTAGGAAGATGAGAGTAGTCAGATGATCTAGAGTGAAACTTGCAGAAAACACTAGTGCAGATAAGAGCCACATGGGTGAAACTGTGAGGGCCTCATAATTTTTAAAAGAATGTAGTTTTTTCAAAAATTATTTTCAGAAGTAATACATATGCAGAAAATTTGGAAAATATAAAAAAAGCACAAAGGTCCCAACACATCAACAAAACCAGAAGAAGGCTGGGCACAGTGGCTCACGCCTGTAATCCCAATACTTTGGGAGGCTGAGGCAGGCGGATCACCTGAGGTCCGGAGTTCGAGACATGCCTGTCCAACATGGTGAAACCTTGTCTCTACTAAAAATACAAAAATTAGCCCAGCATGGTGGCGGGCGCCTGTAATCCCAGCTACTCGGGAGGCTGAGGCAAGAGAATCACTTGAAACCGGAGAATCGCTCTGGGAGGCGGAGGTTGCAGTGAGCCAAGAGCGTGCCACTGCACTCCAGCCTGGGTGACAGAACAAGACCCTGTCTCAAAAACAAAAACAAAAACAAAAAACAGAAGTAATTCCAACCCCCAGAGGTAACAAGCCTTACCATTTTTGGCAGCACGAGCTTTTGTCTGTCCATACTTAATGCATGTGCAGACCTTTTGTAGACTGCAACTCTATCTCCAGCACACACTGTCCTGCAGTCTAGGCCTAGCATATCTTGAAACGTGCCAGTAAGCTGGCTGTGAGCAATTTTTTTCTATCTTTCTGTTCCGTACACCCTGTCCTTCCCACCCTCCTTCACTGCCCTGCTGCAGGGAGGTAGATCTCTCAGAGACTGATCACTATAAACTGATCCTGCTCACCCAGGGGCCTCTTTGTTCATTGACAGGGTACAAGGGCTCAGCTTAAAACAATGACAAGTCTCTGCTTTGTACATTACTTTGCATATATTTTCTTTCTAAGTACAAGGAGCTTTTAAGTAAGCATGTAAGATAAAACAAAATAGATTGATTAATGTAATCCACAGCCTAACATTCAGGGCATCCCGTTTGTGAAACTAAACCATGTAATCACAGCCTGGGGTAACAAAGCCGAGTCTGCACACAGAGGAAAAAGCTGAGATATACCAAAGGAGATACGCTAACAGCATGCGCAAGGCCTCTGCTCTATGCCTTCTTTTCCTAGCCCATCTCTTGTGTTTTGTGCTGTTGATACCGGCCAGTGGGGCCATAAGTGTTGAGCCTGAATATTTCTCCATTGGGCCCTATCTCTCCTTCCCTACTACCACTGCCTTAATTTAGCCGCTGGTCTCTCATGTGGATTACTGCAAAACCCTCCTACCTTGTCTTTCTGTTCCCAGTCTTGCCCCCTTCAACTCCATCTTTACCATTTGCAGTTCAGTGAACTTTCTAAATAGCTGTCTGTTCCCATTACCCATCACTGTGTAACAAGTCACCCCAAATTTTAGTAACATAAAACAACCACCATTTCATTATGCTTGCAGATTCTGTGGGGCAGGAATTCAGACAGGGCATAGCAGGGTTGGTTTTTCTCTGCCCCATGATATCTAGAGCTGAGATGACTTGAATGGCTGGGAGTGGAACAGCTGGAGTTAGAAGAGGTACTCCTTACATTTTTCTTTATGCACATGTCCTGCCACCTGGCCTGCAATGCTGAAGGATGGGTTCAGCTGGCACTGACCTATGTGTGTCCTCCCCAATATCATGTCCTCAGGGTAGTCATACTTCTTTCATGGTGGCCTGATGCTTCAAATGCTAGTGTCCCCAGGGATCAAGGTGGAAGCTTCACGCCTTTTAGGACCCTGCTTCATAAGTCACAACCTTCATTCCCACTGTATTCCACTGGTCAAAGCAGTCACAAGCCTGCACCAATTCAAGGGAAGGGAACATAAACGCCACCTCTTGATAGAAAAAATGTCAAACATTGTGTAGCTATGTTTTATTTATTTGTTTATTTTATTTTATTTTTTGATACAGTGTTCCTCTCTGTTACCCAGGCTGGAGTGCAGTGGCACAAGCACAGCTTACTGCAGCCTTGACCTCCCTGGCTCAAGTGATCCTCTAACCTCAGCCTCCTGAGTAGCTAGGACTACAGGCACATGGCACCATGCCTGGCTAATTTTTAAATTTTTTGTAGAAACCGTAGGGTCTCTCTATGTTGTCCAAGCTGGTCTTGAACTCCTGGGTTTAAGCAATCTTCCTGTCTCGCCCTCCCAAATTGTTGGGATTACGGTGTGAGCCACTGCACCTGGCCATAGCTATGTTTTACAATCACCCGTCTATCTATAGTCTGTATTTATATAAGCATAACAAATTTTTGAAAGATACACATCAAACTGTTATAGTTGAAAGGTGGAAGGAGAATTTTCTCTCCTTATTCTCTATACTTCCAAAGGAGAAAAGAAAAAAAACTATTGGAATTATGAATGATTTTCATTTTTTAAAGAAAATTGCTTCCTCTATTTTCTCAACTCTTCAAAGACTAAGAATACTAAGGTAGGTCCTACACTGGCACATTCTAAAAAATTTGCTAGACCAATTTTTAATAGAATTGCTAGACCCCCTAGCTATGTTCAGGGCACACAAAGAGATTGTGAACTGGGCTTTGTCAATATAAGCCCATTACCCACCTTAGGCTATGGAAGAGAGGCTAGAAACATCCTTTGGGGGCTTAAGAAGCCAGATCAAGGTCTTCTTTATAGACAATGGTCCTGGTGCACTGTTCCAAACCCACCCTACTCCTGCCATAGGAAACACCACCTCCCTTTAAGCCAAGTGAGGAGGTTTCACAAGAGTCATTTGGAGTGAGTCCTTGATCTGTGTCTCCTGGAGTTTGAGAGACACAGGACTGACTTTCACCAGAGGAAGCCTAAAGGTGAAAGTCTAGAAGGGCCTGCCCTGCAACAGAATAAAGAGAGAAGACTCATTGGCAGGGAGCTGCACTTTTATTGACGGGTGGGCCATGGAATGAGGGGACCCATTCACAGTCCATGTCAAAAGGGACACTGCCCTGGAAAACCACCTGCAGGGTGAAGCTACCTGGCAGGAGGGCACTCTAGCCAGGGGTCCCTAGTAGAAGGATCTCCAAGGTGCGAATGGCACACCATATGACAACTGTGTCAGTCACATAAATCTGAGTAATTTGCCCCTAATCCATCCCCAGAGGCCTAAGGAAAGAGCAGCTAGTGGGTAGAAGAGGGAAAAAGCTGACTGTGCACCCTTCCTTCACTGCAAGCTTCCAAGACTAAAGCAAGCCTAGCCAGACGGATGAGAAGTTTTTCAATGAATAAAATATTGAAGGTGTAATATTACACTTCACACAATTTTTGCAGTACTCAAATGAGAGCATTTTTGTGACAGAATGGGATCAGAAAAGCAAGGATTTTATCCTAGAATGGATTTTTCTGAAGCAATAGGAAAGAATAAATAAAAAGGTCATGTCATGAATGTCCAGGACACACTATAGGTCTAAGAAAACATTCTTAGACCTATAGTCTTAGACCTATAGTGTGGCCCGGACATTCAATACCATCTGTTACACTTTTTTTGTGCTTTTCTGATTTTCCAAATTTTGTTTGGAACACATATTGCTTGTTATTATTCAACTGCACATCTGATCATATCACTTCTGTGCTTAAACCTCTCTGATGTCTTTGCATTGCCCTCATGATCAAAGCTAATTTAAAAACCTGGCTTACAAGGCTCTTCATGATCCAGCCCCTGCCTACCTCTCTATTCACTTTTTCCAGCTTCCTGTGAGCCACATACACTCTGTAGTCCAGCTATATGGACATAAATGTTCTAAATGCATCATGATCTTCTGTGTCTCTCCTCAGTTCAGGTTATTCTTTCTTTACTTTAATTTTTTTTTTTTTTGAGACAGGATCTCATTCTGTCTCCCAGGCTCAAGCGTAGTGGCATAATCATAGCTTACAGCAGCCTCAACCTCCTGGGCTCAAGCAATCCTCCCAGCTCAGCCTCCCAAAGTGGTAGGATTACAGGTGTGAGCCACAGCACTTGGCTGATTCTTTTGGTTTGAAATATCCATCACCCTCACCTCTTATCCGAGGAGCTGGCTTTGATTCACCCTTCAGCTCAGGCACCACCACCTTTGCAGGCCAAACCTCAGTTGGAGAGCTCCTTTAGCTGAGAGATTGGGCTTTCTAGTTGGCACTTCCAGTGCCTCTAACCAGGTAACACAGCAGGCATTCTGCTTCCAATCCCATAAACAAACTAACACACAAATAATGGTTGGTGCCCAATGTTCAGTAACCAAGGAAAGTCAGGGAAGGCCAAGAAGCATTCTTTGATCATCTGACCGGAGATGGGCAAAGGTGCTAAGTTTTCTGTGTGGAAGCAAGGCAGAGAGTACTAGGGAAGGCTTTGGAGAGAAAAGGATGCTGGAGTATGTCCTCTGCCCAAACAGTGGCCACTTTTACTTGAAATCTGAAAGGCTCCATTCTTGGGATTGATCATTGCTCTGTTTTAATTTGGCCTCAGTATATCTACTCTTTAGATTTCTGACTTGTTGATCTTTCTTCTGAGCCCTGCAGGGATTTGATCATATTTGAGGTAATAGATGTGGGGTGCTAAGGAATCTCCTGGATGTGAACAAATGATCCAAAAGTCAAGTATGTTGAGAAAATGGAATTGTACAGAATTTTAGTAACTGGTGATTTTGTTTAGAAGTTTATGCCACGCTTGGATCACATTCTTCTTTTTGCATTTCAATATAATGAAACACATTGGTGTTTTTATGTTTTGTTTGTTTTGTTTTACTGCAAGCCATTATTTCCTGATTAAATAGGAGGTTGTTACCTAGTCCAGAATCAGCTTCTGAAGTTACAGACTTCAACTCTAACTTAATCTAGACCTGCCTCTTGGAATTTCTTCACTGTTACTGTGATAGGCAGCCACAGAGTTCTCAGATTCTTGGATTGAAAGGAGTATAACACTTTATATTTGTGAAATTCTAACAGGTTTACAAACATTCTTGAGTTTTAAAGCATATTACATAATCTGAATTTCACAAAAACTTATAAACTTATTATCATCATTTTAAAGATTTTATACCAGGAGTTCAAGACCAGCCTCACAACATAGCAAGACCACACCTCTACCAAACAAAAAAGAAGATTTTATAGATGAAAGTGAGTGAAAGTGAGGTCAGGGTGGTGGCTCATGCCTGTAATCCCAGCACTTTAAGAGGTCAAGGCAGGAGGATCACTGCCAGAAGTTCGAGACTAGCCTGGCCAAAACAGTGAGACCCCATCTCTTAAAAAACAGAAAGAATGGCTGAGCACGGTGGCTCATGCCTGTAATCCCAGCACTCTGGGAGGCCAAGGCAGGTGGATCATGAGGCAAGAGATCGAGACCATCCTGGCTAACATGGTGAAACCCTGTCTCTACTAAGATTACAAAAAATTAGCCGGGCCTGGTGGCGGGTGCCTGTAGTCCCAGCTACTTGGGAGGCTAAGGCAGATGAATCACTCAAACACGGGAGGCGGAGGTTGCAGTGAGCCAAGATGGCGCCACTGCACTCCAGCTTGGGGGACAGAGTGAGACTCTGTCAAAAAAAAAAAAAAAAAAACAGAAAAGAAAAGAAAGAGAGAGAATCAGAAAGGTTAGGAGATTTGTCTGAGGTTACAGAGTTAATTAGTGCCAAGTCTAAGACTTTGCTAACTTTGCTAACACCATAGCTTTCTCTATCTTGGTTAGTACATGTCAATATGATAAGGTCATTAATAACAGACTTCATAGTTGCTTGTGGTTGAGAGTTCAGAATAAAATCAACAATGACCATATCTCCTAAATGACTGTTTCAAAACCCTTTACAAGGCAGCCAGGCCCACGTGAAGTATCTAAGAAAGGATAAATTATATCAGTAAGTGTTAGAAATGTAAAATGTTTGTTCTTTGGTGCCACAAGGAAAAATCAGCATTTAGACAAAAAGTTGTCTTAGCAAGGCAATTTTTACTTTCTGCAGAAAGGGTGTCCCTTGCAGATGGGACAATGGCAAGGGCACACACAGAATAAACAGACACCAGAATATTTATTACTTACACGTGAGGTCCTTATTGCTGTGTCCTGTCTCCATTGGCTGGAGCCAGACCTCATGAAACCTGACTGGCTAATAATTTAAAACTTTTAAAAATAGGTAGAAAAGTAATAATATTCCTAAGTAAGGAAGGGACACAGGCTGTGAGCTGGGACATGCCTATGAGCGTGTCCAACACAAATATTTTGGTTAAGGTTCAAGGACATAGAATGTACTATGCCTGTGAGCATGTCTAACAGCTACATAGGATAGGGCTTAACAAAGAGTTATTAGCATAAAGCAAGGAGGCTTGAAGGAAGTTAGTCTTTAAAAGAAACTATTATTTCTAACACTTAAGATTTATTTTTAAACTTTGAAGAGGAAACTTTTTACTTTCTACAGTAAGTCACTTCATGTGTTGTTTTTCTTGAAGCCAGCTGAATTGTTGGTTCAAATCATTCTGAAGATGAAGTCAAAAGCATGCCCTGGATCTTTAATAATGAGTCACATTCCCTTTCTTTCCCTTGGCAGAAAAACTTGGCCATTGACATATTGAAAAGAGAGTTATACGTTCTTAGAGGGCTTCTTCTGTCTCCTGGGGTACATTTGCAGGACAAGTTAAGGAGAATTTTCATTATGGAAAATTTGACATTAATTCATTTACTCTAGTTATGCATTCTTGTTTTTATGTATTTAAAAAGAAAAAACATTTCCTCTGAATAAATGGAACAATAATATGGCTTGTTAAATGTAACTGACAGGATTCGAGCTCCTGTTCTATCAATTACTGAGCCTTAGTTTCCTCATCTATCAAAGTGGAACACTAACACTCACAGGGGTTATGAAAATTTTTTGTTGCTTGCTCTGCATCTATTCCCCAAATTTCCATCTGGAGATCCTTCTCCCCTAGTCTCTATCCTTCTGGTCTAGTTAAGGCTCCTCCACCTCCCTCCAGGAATGGAGGCCGGACACAGTGGCTCACGCCAGTAATCCCAGCACTTTGGGAAGCCAAGGCAGGAGGATTACTTGAGCCCAGGAGTTTGACACCAGTCTGGGCAACATGGTGAAACCCCACCTCTACAATAAATACAAAAATTAGTCGGGCATGGTGGAGTGCACCTGTAGTCCCAGCTACCCTGGGGGCTGAGGTGGGAGGATCCCTTGAGCCCAGGAGGTCAAGGCTGCAGTAAGCTGTGATTGCACCACTGCATTCCAGCCTGGGCAACAGAGAAAAAAAAAAAAGTCTAAAAAAAATAGTAAGAAGAAGAATGCAGACCATGACTCAGGACAGACTCTTCAAAGCCCCTGGCCATGAGGCCAATTCAGAGATGAGTATGTGATGCTGTCTAATTAGAGTACATCTGAGCACTCAGGAGGAAGCTGAGTGCCACTCCTGAGTGCTGCTTTCTACTTCCTGCTGAAATGGAGATGCTGGAAGACTGTCTGGCTGGAGCAGCTCCAGCCACCTGCCCCCACGGGGAACCTGAGAACAAAGCCAACACACAAAGGAAGGTGGATCCATGCCAGGAGATGGAGGGAGTCAAGGTTCTGATAATGTTGTTTGAGTCCAGTCATGTATGAAGGCAGCCCTGTTCCTGAGCTTCCCAGTTTTGTAAACCAATAAATGCTCTTTGCGTTTACACCTATTTGGTTTAGGTCTATCAAGAGGATCCTAAATGATATTCTACCTAAATTTAAGAATTAAAGAAAATAATGTAAAGTGCTCAGCAAAATACCTGGTATAGTAAGTGCTCAGTAAAGGTTAGCTTAATTGTGCCTATTATGGAGTTTAGTTCAGAAAAGAGAGGACTCCATAATTATTGTGAATATCAAGTGAACTCCTTCAGGCATGGCAAAGAGCCAGTCTTATTGGTAGGTTGAATCTCACGAGATACGAAATAAGCAATTTCAAGAAGTCTTTCCTATCCTTAACACCTCTCTGCCTCCTTGGCACTGAGAGCCCCAGATGTCAAAAATTGTCATCAATCCCTTTGTTTTCAGACATTTAAAGAGGAGTTTCTCTTTTAGCTATAGCACCTGCACGAATGAGTCCATGAGCTCCATTCCTGAGGGCGGATTTTGAGAGTGGCCTATAGAGATAGCAGAGTCCCCTGGCTGCCCTGAGAGATGAAGAGAGACACAGCCACAGAAGAGGTGACGGACGGAAACTCCTGCCATCTTCCTATGCAGTTTTGGCCTGGCTGTCCTTGCCAGGCACCCTCAAGAAGCTCCAGCCTCAGATTTTAAAAGCTGTGTAACTTTTTGAACTCAAAGAAAGATCTTTGGCTAAAATGGCCCCCCAAAACCTTTGTTAAACAAGCACAGTATGTAACCCAGTCCTCTTCTTCTGCCCGGGCATCCCCCAGATACTGCCCTTTGCAGTAGAAGCAGCCCAAGGTGTCGGGGCCCATGACAAGGGAATCAAAACTTTTCTCTTGTCAGGTGTGTGTGAGGAGGTACCTTGGTCATCTGTGATTCTTGCCTTGCCAAGCAGATGGCTGGAGACTAAGAATGGAGAAGCTGCCTAGAGGGAGTACAGAGTAAATATTTTAAAGTTCTGTCGGAACAAGGTCAGACATGCTCCTGGGTAAGGACCTGAGTCATATTTCAAAGAAATGAGGCAGAGCTTCCTGGAAGCCACAGTCGAAACAACTTCAGACATCCAGTTTAACCCGAGAGGTTTGAATTCCTTCCTTTCTCTTATCTTTCTTTCCTTTTTTCTTTTGTTCACTTTTAGCTCCAGTTTTCTTTCTTTCTTTTTTTTTGAAACAGAGTCTCACTCTGTCACCCAGGCTGGAGTGCAGTGGCGTGATCTCGGCTCACTGCAACCTCCACCTCCCAGGTTCAAATGATTCTCCTGCCTCAGCCTCCCGAGCAGCTGGGATTACAGGCGCCCACCACCACAGCTGGCTAAGTTTTGTATTTTTAATAGAGATGGAGTTTCACCATGTTGGCCAGGCTTGTCTCGAACTCCTGACCTCAGGTGATCCGCCTGCCTCAGCCTCCCAAAGTGTTGGGATTAGAGGCATGAGCCACCGTTCTCAGCCAGTTTTCTTCTTTTTAATCATACATACCACCCCGTGCCAAAGTCTCATTCTGTCGATGTGTGTAATTTCCAGCTCAAAGTCCCATTCTGTGGCTACATCGACATTTTTTGTTTCTTTTCATCGCTAACACTGGTAAGGCAGCAAAATGCCAAATATTTGTACCACGTACTTTGCTTAAATGGCTCTAAGCCACTGTAGGCTAGGTCAGCTAGCACAGAGCTCCAGAGAAGGTGGAATGCCACTTTCTGAGCCTGATGACTTGCGGAAATGGACCATTTACAATAATTGAGAAGAATCGTAAAAGGAATAAGCTTCTTGTACATTAGTGTTATTTAAGGCTAAATACCTGTAGCATCTGAAATTATTTTGGATTTGCTCCCCTTACTCTGTGATAAATTACATTCTAAATATCTTATTTCCTACTTCCTATTCTTTCATCCTCTCCCCCTCTATCTCACTGCTTGTATTTGAATACATTTTCTGTATGCACCCCCTAAATAGTATTAGCCCCAGTACAAATTAGCATTTCTAAGTATCCATACCTCTATATAACATGCATAAGATAATTTGTCTGGCTGGGTGCAGTGGCTCACACCTGTAATCCCAGCACTTTGGGAGGCTGAGGAGGGGGGGGTCACCTGAGGTCAGGAGTTCGAGACCAGCCTGGCTAATACAAAAATTAGCCAGGCATGGTGTCAGGCGCCTGTAATCCCAGCTACTCAGGAGGCTGAGGCAGGAGAGTCATTTGAACGCGGGAGGCAGAGGTTGCAGTGCGCCAAGATAGCGCCATTGAACTCCAGCCCAGGCGACAAGAGTAAGACTCCGTCTCAAAAAAAAAAAAAAAAAAAATCGACAGCAAGAAAACGTATGCCTGATACACAGCAGTGAAAAAATGATTTGTCACAGGTACTATAGGATAAAATATGAGACTTAACATCAAATTAGGGTATTTTAGCTCCCTCAAAATCACATTCTTTTTTTCTTTTTTTTTTGAGACCGAGTCTCGCTTTTCCGCCCAGGCCGGACTGCAGTGGCGCTATCTCGGCTCACTGCAAGCTCCGCCTCCCGGGTTCAGGCCATTCTCCTGCCTCAGCCTCCAGAGTAGCTGGGACTACAGGCGCCCGCCACCGCGCCCCGCTGACTTTTTTTTTTTTTTTTTTTTTTTGTATTTTTAGTAGAGACGGGGTTTCACCATGTTGGCCAGGATGGTCTCAATCTCCTGACCTCGTGATCCACCCGCCTTGGCCTCCCAAAGTGCCGAGATTATAGGCGTGAGCCACCGCGCCCGGCCAAAATCACATTCTGTATCAGACAACTTCTTACTTAAATTGATAAGCAACCCGATCCTACTATTTAGAAATATTTTTCATATGCTAAGGAATCTGTTAACTGGCTCTGTGATGAAAGTAATGATTTTAGTTAAAGTATAAGCAGTGGCAGTTCTGAGGGCTCAAAATAGTAGCACATTGAAATGATGAAAAGATTCATTTAATATACATTTATTGTGCAACTACAATGTGCCAGCACTGTCTAGACCAGGAAAGATCAGGGAGACTGACCCTTCTTTGGAGGATCAGGAAGTCTTACAGTTCAGTCAAGCTCTCCAAGAAGAAAAAGAGTTTATAAGATTATCCAGGACAGTAGGATACTTCAGGCAGGGGGAACAGCATGTGCAAAGTCATGGAGGACTGCTCTGGGAAACGTGAGTGGTTCCATGCAGCTAGAGTGAAAGGCTGTTATAAAGGAGTGTGGCAGAATATGAAGCTGAAGAAGTAGGTAGAGGCCAGCTCACGCAAGCCTTATAGGTTGGGGTGCACACATTATAGGTTGGGCTGTCATCACATTTGCCATTTCTTCTTACTGCTAACAGAGTTTTGATTTTGTTCAGGTGGTAGAGTGCCCAGGGACAGAGTATAAATTGCAATTGGCCTAAGCCAATTGTCTTAGTTTGTTCTGTGCTGCTATAACAGAATGTCAGAGATTGAGTAGTTTATAAAGAAAAGATATTTATTTCTTATAGGTCTGGAGGTGGGGAAGTCCAAGATTGAGGGGCCAGCATCTTGAAATGACCTTCCTACTCCATCATCCTGTGGCAGAAGGCTGAAGGGCAAGAGAGGGTGAGAGAGAGAGAGCGGGAAAAGGGGGCTGAACTCATCTTCTTATAGGGAACCCACTCCCAAGGTAATGAACCCATTCCCAAGATAACAGCATTAATCTATTCTTGAGACTAATGGTGCCCCCATGACCCAAACACCTTCCATTAGGCCACACCTCCCAGCACCACCACATTAAGGATCAGGTTTTCAACACAAGAACTTTGGAGGGCCTAGTCAAGCCATAGCACCAATCATAGCAATCCCCTTTACTTTTGATGATAATGCATGGTTTAGGGCTGCATATGGCATTCAATTCTGGCCTAAAATATAAGAAGTCTGGAGGAAGGCATCAAGGAAAGAATTTCCTCCCTGATTAAAAACAGAAGAATTCTGTAACAGAGCTCTTCCTTTGCTCCTTCCCTTCCTTTGTGATCTAGATGCTGACACATGAGGATGCAGTATCTAGAGTTACAGTCGCCATCTTACAACCATAGTGAGAATGAGAAGCCTGAGGATCCAAACCTCAGCCTAAGGATGAAAGAGAAAGGACAGGCTAGACACGGTGGCTCCTGCCTGTAATCCCAGTACTTTGGGAGGCTGAGGTGGGCGGATCACTTGAGGTCAGGAGTTTGAGACCAGCCTGGCCAACATGGTGAAACCCTGTCTCTACTAAAAATACAAAAACTAGCCAGGCGTGGTGGTGCGTGCTACTCAGGAGTGCTACTCAGCTACTCAGGAGTCTGAGGCAGGAAAATCACTTGAACCCGGGAGGCAGAAGTTGCGGTGAGCTGAGATCGTGCCACTGCACTCCAGCCTTAGTGAACGAGCAAGACTCTGTCTCAAAAAAAAAAAAAAAAAAAAGAGAGAAAGGACAGAAAACATTCGGGTCTTCAACAATATCACAGAATCACCAAAACAAGTTTAAGACTGCCTATATTAGAACATTTAAGAAAATAATAAAAGTCTTTATAGTTAAAGCCACCATCAGTTGTGCTTGCTGTCACATTTGTTATAACTGCTGTCATTCCAAGGATGGAACTTACCATGAAGAGGAATGGGAGCTGTGCAAACGTTTAGATGGGGGAATGAGTTGTCAGATTTGTGCTTAGAAATTGTTACACTGGCTACTGTGTGCAGAATGGACTGGCACACAGGAAAGAGACCAGTTTTGAAGTTACTGCAACTGTCCGAGAGATTAGGTAGAACCTCAGCAAAAGCAGAAGCAATGATCATTGGAAAGGAGGAGATAAGCCTGAGAGCTATTTTTAAGTCAAAATAACATAACTTAGTGACTCAGTGGATGTGAGAGTGGAGAAGCTAGGATAATCAAGGATTGCTTGGGCTTCTGGTTTGGCTGGGAGGAGATCTGAGTCTAATTCTGACTTTGCCACAAGCTAGTTGAGCAATTCTAGGCTGGTTTCCTCATTTCTAGTGGGTCAGATTAAAAATATGATAGCAGATTTACTTTATCTCCCCTGACCCCTCCAATGCCCAGGAGGTCTTTTTATAGAGAGAGAGAGATGGGGGTCTCGCTATGTTACCCCAGACTGGTCTCGAACTTCTGGGCTCAAGCAATCCTCCTGCCTAGGCCTCCAAAATACCTGGGATTATAGGTGTGAGCCACCGTGCCTGGCCAGGAGCTCTTTTTTGCTGAGAGTACTAAAAGAGGTTAGGCCATTCTGGGGAAGAAAAAACCCCTCTTCCTCTGCCAGATTTATTTGTGCAGAGCTGTTTGGTAGGCAACGTTGAGCTTTTGTCTGCCTTTCAGCTTAGACTGACAACAATTTGTAATGATTTGAGAAGTGGAGCAGAGGGCTCAATGATGGGTGATGACCAAGTATGTGAATTAAAACCAGCAAACCATCATTTCCCACATGCATTCAAGGGTTATTCTTTTTTTTTTCTGAAGACAAGTCTCACTCTGTTGCCCAGGCCAAAAGGCAGTGGCATGATCATGATCATAGCTCACTGCAGCCTCCAACTCCTGGGCTCAAGCAATCCTCCTGCCTCAGCTTCCTGAAGAGCTAGGACTACAGGTGTGTACCAAGTTAAAATTTTTATTTTTATTTTGTACAGATAGGATCTCTCTATGTTGCCCAGGCTAGTCTTGACCTCCTGGCCTCAAAGGGTCCTCCTGCCTCGGCCTTTCAAAGTGCTGGGGTTATAGGCATGAGCCACCATGCCCAGCCAGGAGTTACTCTTTTTTTTTTTTTTTTTTTTCCCTGAGACGGAGTCTCTCTCTGTCTCGATTCTCCTGCCTTAGGCCCTCGAGTAGCTGGGATTATAGGCATGCAACACCACGCCTGGCTAATTTTTGTATTTTCAGTAAAGACGGGGTTTCACCATGTTGGCCAAGCTGGTCTCAAACTCTTGACCTCAGGTGATCCACTTACCTCGGCCTCCCAAAGTGCTGGGATTACAGGCGTGAGCCTCCATGCCTGGCCGAGTTATTCTTCACTAAAGTTATTGTAAAAGCCTTGTCCACATCTCCTTGGATTTGCTACTGGGCATGAGGGTCTTTCCCCTCAGCAGTTTCTTTATCACCCAGACCTGCCAGCCTAGAAGGGCAGCCATGTGCACTCAGACAAATAGTCATTCCTTTTCTTCTGAGGGTAAGACACAACAGAACAGGTAAAAGTGGTGTGCTCACCCTGGGGGAATGAGGCAAACCAGGCAAAAGGCCCAGAGACTGTTGCTAGGATACCGGGTTGCTGGGTGGCAGAGGTCACAGAGCCATGGGAAAGGTTTCACAAATGACTAATTAGTTTTGTTTTATTTGTCCTTATAAAAGGATTGCCTCACCAAACTCACTACACTTCAAATAATTTTTCTTTCCCATTTCTATACCACGTTTTATATTAATTTCTCACATTATCTCCTTTGATGGGCAGAGGGGCTGAGGGATGCAAGTCCAGACACTTCCCTCTATTCAGCGCAGCTCCACAGGGTCATCCAAGCTCCAGAACTTCCCAGGGGAGCAGCTGAGGCCTCTGCTGCCACAGCATCATCATTCATCTCCTTTTTTCAATCTGCTTTCGCCCACACCTTTAGAGGTGTTGTTTCTGGTAGCACTTCCCAATACAATTCCCGGGCAGTAGTTAAAGTGATAAAAACAGATTTCATTCAGGAACTATCGTAGCAGGAAGAAAGAGGCCTCAGTATAGAACAGGACTCAGTTTTGAACACAACAAGGACAAATGTGGATTTATAGGCCAAGATCAGAGTTGGAGTTCAGTGGGTGAAAAATCACTAAGATGAAAAATCAGGGGTAAGAGAATCTGGCTATACCGACTCAACAAGATTCTTGCTGAAGGCTGACAAGGGTGATCAGATACTACTTAGGAGATGGTGGGGGATGAGGAATTTGATTTGATATCAAGGGTGATCAAATAAAGAGAGTAGTAGATTTTCTCTGAACTGAATTAACAGGATTCTTGCTAAACTGGGTGATGCGACTCTGACAAGAAAGAACACTGAAGCCCAAGGTCAAAGCCTAGTTGAGGAAAGGGGTTAGTGAAGCCTTACTAAAGTTTAGTCAGGGAGAGAAGATTTGTCACATGTATGTTCCTTGGGGAAACTGACCTATGAAGCCAACATAGAAACATTGGTCAACTCTATTTTACCAGGCATGAAAATGTGTGTACATGCGTGCACGCACACACACAATTCTATCTATTATTACTTTATTATTTTAAAAAGATACTTTAAGTCCAATAAAGAAAGAATCACAATCTCAAAATAAATTCAAATGCTTTGAATTAAATAAGCGTAGTTTAAAAACAAAATCACTGATTAAAGATTTCTTCGATAGGACACAAAAAGCATGAAGCATAAAAGGAACATTAGATAAATTGGACTTTATCAAAATTTAAAACTCTACTCACTGTCACTCAAAGACAAGCTACGGATTAAGAGGAAAATATATGATAAAAATATATCCAATAAAGGACTTGTATCTAGAATATATAAAGCACTCTCACAAAACAGTAAGAATATAAACAGCCCAATTTGTTAAATGAACAAAAGATCCCTTCATTAAAGAAGAGACATGGGTGGCAAGTAAGGCCATAAAAATATGCTAAACATCATTAATTATTAAGGAAATGCAAATTAAAACCACAATAAAACATTGCTACACACCCTTTAAAAGGGCAAAACAAACAAACAAACATTGATAATCCGAGTACTGACACAGATGTGGAGTATCTTGAATTGTCATACATTGCTGATAATACAAAATGGCATAGCAACATTGGAAAAGAGTTTGGCAGTTTTTTGTAAGATTAAACATACATTAACCATACGACCCAGCATTCCTACTCCTTACTATTCACCCAAGAGAAATAAAAACATATGTCCACAGAGACCTGTACACAAATGTTTATAGCAGCCATTCTTACATAGCTATAAAAAAAAAAAACAACAACTAGAGACTGGGTAATTTATAAAGAAAAATGGTTAAACTGGCTCATGGTTCTACAGGCTGTACAAGCACAGTGCTGGCATCTGCTTGGCTTCTGGGGAGGCCTCAGGGAGCTTTTATTCACAGCACAAGACAAAGGGGGAACCAGCATCTCACATGGCAAGAATGGGAGCAAGATGTGTTGGCTGGTGGGGAGGTGCCACACTTTACAACAACTAGATCTCATGAAAACTCACTCAATGTCTCAATGACAGCATCAAGCCAGGAGGGATCTACCCCCATGACCCAAACACCTCCCACCAGGCCCCACCTCCAACACTGGGGATTACAATTCAACATGAGATTTGGTGGGCTGGCTATGGTGGGTGGCTCACACTTGTAATCCCAGCCCTTTAGAAGGCTGAGGAGGGAGTATCGCTTGAGGCCAGGAGTTCAAGACAAGCCTGGGCAACAAAGCAAGACTCCTGTCTCTACCAAAAATATATATACAAAAACTTTAGCTGGGTATCGTGGCACACACCTGTAGTCCTCACCACTTGTAGGGGCTGAGGTGGGAGGATTGCCTGAGGCCAGGAGCTGGGGGCTGCAGTGAGCTAGGATTGTGCCGCTATACTCTAGCCTGGACAACAGAGTGAGACCTTATCTCTAAAAACAAAACAAACAAACAAAAACCACCTCAATGCATTATCTTTATTCTTATTCATTTATTAATGTTATTGATTATGCCACAGACTAGGGAAAATCTCATCACTTACAACTCTTGCTTGTGGCTAGGAAGGGAATGAGGGAGAGCAGGCAGGGGCTACGGGACTAAAGGAGGGTTTTCCTAGACAGGTGGAGTCTGGAGCATGTATTTAGGTGAAGGAAATGAGTTAATTTTGAGGGGAGAGACCAAAGTTACTGGAAAGAGAGGAGAGCTGACTGACAGATAACAACACTAATCAGAATTCTTGGTGGCAAACAACAGAAACCCAATTCAAACAACCTTAAGCCAAAAGAGAAATTTTTGGCTCACGTAACTGAAAACTCCAAGGCTTTAAAAACAATGTTGTCAGTGCTCTATCTCTGTATTTCTTGGCATCATTAGCCTCTCCTTGGCTTTGTTCTCAGGCAGACTCACCCTGTATAAGATGGTCAGGCTTATACTGCGCAGATAGGTGCAATCCCAAAGAAAATAATGCAACTGACTCTGCCCACGAGGGCCCATATCCACCCTTGAAACAGACTCTAATTGGCCTTGTTTGGGACATGGGCCAACCCATGCTATGCAGGCAAAATCATATTATTGGCAGCCCAAAGCATATGGAAAGGGGAAGCAGGAATTAGAAAAGGAAGGAATGCCCTGAAGAGAGAAAAAAATGACAGTAGGTGTTTGTCACAGACCTACAGATTTGGGAAAGCATGAAATTCAAAGGAGAAATTCAAAGGAAAATTCGAAGGTCAAATCCTAGGGGATTACTTTTATGACAGTTAATTTTTTTTCAACTTGACTGAGCTAAGAGTTGGCCAGGTACCTGGTAAAAACGTAATTCCTGGGTATGTCTGTGATCCTCTCCCACCAATGTGTGCAGGCACCATCCGATCCTTCAAGGGCCAAATAGAACAAAAAGGCGGAAGAAGGGTGCATTTACTCTCTCTCTTCTTGAGCTAGGACATCCATCTTCTCCTGCTCTTGGACCTCAGTGCTTCTGGTTCTCAGGCCTTTGAAATATAGCACTTACAACAGTGGCCCCCCAGGTTCTCCGGCCTTTAGCCTTGGACTGGGAGATGTACCACTGGCTCCCCTGGTCCTCAGGCCTTCAGACCCAGAATGAATTAGACCTGCTTCTCCAGCTTGCAAACAGCAGATTGTGGAACTTCTCTGCCTCCATAATTGTGTAAGCTAATTCTCATAACATATATCTATATAAATTCCAAAAATTATATATATACATATACCTCAAATCCATCTCCTCAGGAAGTTTAAGGCTAGGGTTTTTAAGGGTTTTGGAGTGGGCTGAAGTGTCACCATCGACCGGTCCAAGGGTGCAGGGTGAAGTCTTAGGACAGGGAGATGAAGAAACTCTATTCTCATGCGGAACTGATTCCTCCTTGAGAGCCTCTAAACTGGTTGTTAGCTGTTCTCCTGGAATTCAGGATCTGCTTAAACAACTCTTAAATGAAAGCCTTATGATTCTGTCAGAAATTCTATCTATTGGCATAATGGGGATACATACGGTTAGTATCTAGGGTTATGTGACTTTCGGTTACAAGTAAGTGAGTCAACGTGCAGCCTGAATAATGCTTAATTATAACTATATTTCTGTCCAGAATTCTTGTTAACACTGGAAGGATGGCTTCAGTAAGGATGGATGAAATGTAGAAAGGTGGGGTGATTTCACTGGGGAGAGGTGAATGTAGTCAGGAAAATGAGGTCATGCAGGGCTGGCAGTCCCTATTTTCTCTATCAAGTAAGAGGGAAGGTCATTTTCTGAGAGTGAAGGGAGGAAAGTAGAAGTAGGGGACTTGAAAGACTGGTGAAAGGCTTTCAAGGGGGGTGTTGGGGAAAGGACATATAGGGGAGAAATAAAAGAATTGCTAGAGGGCACTGAGGTTGAGGTTGTTATTTGTCTAAGTAGGAACACACAAGGAGGCATGAACATTGGATTTAATTTCCATATATACTATTAGTGCTGTCGTCTTTGACATGTCATGGCACTGAGGTTGGCGATGAAACATTCTACCCACTGCTCAAGGCAAAAGTAAAATATATTCTCCACTAGATTGTACGCCTATCTCACACTCTTCCAAGCTTCATAGCATTTGGGGCCACTCTTATAGCCCTTATCATGTTACATAGTACTAAAGTATCCTGCCAGCCACACCGATCAGGTTCCTGAATTTGGAGACTGATTTTGAATGGTGTGTCCAAGTACTGATGACTGGAGGTTCTTGAGTTTTGGAAAGCAAGTAGTAAAAGCTGGGATGGAGATGGATTTATTCTAAAATGTATCTGAATCTATTTAATTCTTGGGTTTAGGTAGCAAAAATTTTAAGATTGAATTAGATTAGTGAGGACAATACGTGTGTGTGTGTGTGTGTGTGTGTGTGTGTGTGTGTTTGTGTGTATTAACTTGCCTGCAGTATTGTGCTCACTTGAAGGCAGACCTTTTATCTGACTAATCATCATGTTTCCACAGGTCCCAATGTGGTGCTTTCCATGTGGTGGGTGCTAAAT
Source organism: Homo sapiens (assembly GCF_000001405.40). Lineage (NCBI taxonomy): Eukaryota > Metazoa > Chordata > Mammalia > Primates > Hominidae > Homo > Homo sapiens. The sequence continues at coordinate 180,575,476 of NC_000001.11, read as the reverse complement.
ATTTATTGAATGAATAAATAAAAACTTCTAGGCCGGGCATAGTGGCTCACATCTGTAATCTCAGCACTTTGGGAAGCTGAGGCAGGAGGATTGCTTGAGCCCTCAAGAACAGCCTGGGCAACATAACGACTCCTACTAAAAAAAAAAAAAAAAAAAAGTAGCTAGTTGTAGTGGTGGACACCTGTAATCCCAGATACTTGGGAGGCTGAGGCAGGAAGATCTTTTGAGCCTAGGAATTTGAGGTTGAAGTGGGCTATGATCATGCCATTGCACTCCAACCTGGGTGAAAGACCCTGTCAAAGGAAAGAAAGAAAGAAAGAGAAAGAAAGAAGAAAGAAAGAAAGAAAGAAAGAAAGAAAGAAAGAAAGAAAGAAAGAAAGAAAGAAAGAGAAGAAAAGAAAGAAAGAGAAAGGAAGGAAGGAAGGAGGTAGAAAAGAAAAGAAAAGACAAAAGAAGAGAAAAGAGAAACTTCCAGGTATCCTTTTCCCACTTTTCCTTGTTCCTACTAAACTGTACTCTCCCATTAAGATAATTTAAGGTGAAACCAAAAGAATAATTTTAAAGAACTGCTCTTGTAACTGGGACTGCTTCCAAGTGCAATTATAATCACGTGCTTTTCATTTTCCTTTTCCACCCCTCCTATCAGAGAAAACCTGAATCAATTTCAAGAGATGAATTCCACTGCTTGTGTAAAATGTTCTGGCTTGTAGTCAAATGCACATTGCAGGAGTATATAAAAATGACTTTGTTTTCCACACAAGTGAATTCATTTAGGCAGTACCCAGTTTCTATTTCTTATTACCTTTTGGGAGGGCAGAGCATTAGGAAATTAAAAGGTAGCATTTTTGTACGAAAACTGCTGAATAAGGAATACCTGAGTGGTAAACAACTGGCTGAACCACCTTTGTGCTTCTGAGATAAGGGAGCACATTGTTTATTGTACCTGAAACCTGTTTCCAATACAAGGATTATATCTGCCTTGCTTTAGAAGGAACAATAATAGCATGCAACCTTGAACATACACATACAGCTCTGTTCCTTGTTCTTCATTTGTAACCGTATCCTTAGACAAAGCTGAATCTCCTTGGCTCTAACAAAAAGATTAAAAGGTTCTGATAATGGCTGAAATATCTTAGTTTCTGCATGTTTATGTGTCAATTAGGCATTAACACAGAGCTGTGTTTAACAAATATTCATTGAAGGAGTGGAGGAGTAAAGAAACAGACTCCGCTGGTAGAGAACAATGATAACATTTTTCCAGGAGGAGGCAAAGACTTTAGACTCTATCTTTAGACTCTATCTTGCCCAAGCTGGAGTGCATCGGTGCAATCATGGCTCCCTGGAGTCTTGAACTCCTGGACTCAAGCAATCCTCTCTCATAGCTAAGACTACAGGCACACACCATTAATTTTTAAATATTTTTTGTAGAGATGGGGGTCTCACTATGTTGCCCAGGCTGGTCTCAAACTACTGGGCACAGTGGCTCTCCCACCTTTGCCTCCCAAAGTGCTAGGATTACAAGCATGAGCCACTGTGCTCAGCCTAGACTTTTTTTTTTTTTTTTTTGAGATGGAGTTTTGCTTTTGTTGCACAGGCTGGAGTGCAATGGTGCAAACTCGGCTCACTGCAACCTCCGCCTTGTGGGTTCAAACGATCCTTCTGCCTCAGCCTCCCAAGCACCTGAGACTACAGGCATGTGCCACCATGATCAGCTAATTTTGTATTTTTAGTACAGACGGGGTTTCACCATGTTGGTCAGGCTGGTCTCAAACTCTTGACCTCAGGTGATCCACCTGCCTCTGCCTCCCAGAGTGCCGCGATTACAGGCGCGAGCCACCACGCCTGGACAAGACTCTGTTTTTTGTAAGTACCCTAGAAATGTGTTCGTAGACTCAAGAATGTGGAGGAAGAGAAGAAATACACACCTCCGATAATAGACTTAGGATGAAGGTTAATCAACTCCAAAGTGGGTGCATCCACATTTCAATTCAAAACAGCCATAAATGTTATTTGTCTAAGTAGGAACACACAAAGAGGCACGAATATTGGATTTAATTTCCATTTGTACTATTAGCACTGTGGTCTTTGACATGTCATGCAATTCTTCTGAGCCTGTTTCCCCATATAAATGACATATAAACGTGTAGGATTGAGCCTGGCATATTTATTTACTCAACAAATATTCATGTGCCAGGCATATGAGATAAAAAAGCGAAAAAAAAAAAAAAAAAGACAAGATCCCAGCCTTTGAAGAGCTTGTAGTATAGTGGGAAAGATATACAAATACGTGAGTACTGAGATAATTACGGATGGTGTATTAGGGCAGTAAAAGGAAGAATGCCTAAATCAGACTGGGGAACCCAGGAAATCTTCCTTGGGGAGGCAGTGCTCACACTGAGATTTGAAGAAGTAGGAATTAGACAAAAATGGGAAGGTCATTTCAGACTGAATGGGCAGCTGTGCAGGGGCAGAGTGGCATGCATCAGCTGGCTGTTTAGGGAACTGTTACCCATAGTTCAGCACCATTGGACTGGATCAAAGGTTGTGTGGTAGGGAGAGGTAGCACATGGAGCAGGAGAGGCAGGCAGAGGCCAGATCCTGACGAGCCTCGGGTGCTATGCTCAAACAGAGTGAACTTTACCACCAAAGGTACGAGGAAACCCCTTTACCACCAAAGGTACAGAGAAACCCAGGAGTTCGAAGGAGGGGTAGGTGAAAATTAGGTTTCTCTTCACCAAGAGTACTCTGGGCACAAGGTGGGGAAAAGACTGTAGTGGGGACAACTTGGAGGTAGGAGGTCCGGTTTAAGGCCCCTATAGTAATCCAGACCAGCAAAAAAATGAGTCTCAGCTAAAGTCATGGGGATGGGGAGGAGGAGATTTGCAGGGGTGGCACTCTCAGGGCAGGGAGAGAGGACAGGCAGTGAAGGAGATGCAAGAGTCTAAGATGATTCTCATCCGAGTAGATGAATGACATTACCATTCACTGAGGTGGTGATCGCAGGAGGAGGAGCAGGTTTGGGACGGGAGTAGGTGGGGAAGCACAACACTTTCCATTTAGGGCTGGTTTTGTTTAGCTGTCTGTGAGTCATCTGTGTAGAGGTGTCCAGGAGACAATTGACTATATGGGTGTGGACTAGAAGTATAGATTGGAAATAGCAACCAAGGTTGCCAGTTGTCCCCTAATACTTGTTTATTCTTATTTCATGGTAATAGGATTCCTTCCCTCCCTTCGCTTTTCTCTGGGGGGAAGGGTGCATGGCCACCTGGAATAAAAACTACATTTCCCCGTTTCACTTGCAACTGAGTATGGTCCTATGACTAAGACATGTATGATTAAGACTGAGTATGGTCATATGACTAAGACAATGAGAAGTTCTGAAAACCTTACTTAAGATTCAGCCCACGTGTACCCTGCGCCCCTTCATCTGCCTCTGTCCCTTCTGCCATTTTCCTTCCTGGAAGATAAATGCTGCCATCTTGGACAACACAGATGAGACCACTTAAAGAAGACAAGAGAGAAGGGTCCTGGGCAGGGCCATCACATTGCTCTACTCCAGAAGGAACCACTCAGGCTGTCTATGGGAATCGCGCTTGCTAGAGCTGCTCGGCACTCAGCCTCTGAGGCTGTAAAGGGAGGCCCAGAGAGAGGATCTCAGACCTCACGGAGCTTCTGGACTGTTTACTCAGACGTTATGTGAGAAAGAAAAATACATTTTAAAACTTAGCTTTTGCTTAAGCTTTTAAGCTCCCAGTATTTTAGTTTCCTTTTCCTCTTGCAGCCACATGTAATCCTAAATCACACAGGGAGTCACCAACCTATGGGAGGAAGTTGAAACCACAGTAAAGGATCAGGTCAGCCAAGGACCTCGTAGAGTGAGAGGGCAAAGGATGATGACAGAGGCTGGGGGCAGGCACTTGAAATGTCCCTCACACTCTTTCCTTCGGCCATTGGGAAATGTTCCTTTAGCATTTGCTCTTTTCCTTCTCAACCTGCCTCTGGAATGAGAATGTCTTCTCTACTCACCCAGCTGTTAAACCATCACCATTACATCACAGGCTTCTTCAGTCTAACCTTATAGAATCACGGTTGGCTGTGGGGTGAGAAAATCAACAGCAATGAGTTCTATGGCTTCCTTGAGATATCATTTACATACCAAATAATTCACCCATTCAAGTGCATGATTCAATATTTTTGACTATTTTCATGGAGTTATTCAGTCATCACCACAATCTAATTTTAGAACATTTTTGCCTGCAAAAAGAAATGACATTCAATTATTCACTAGCAGCCACTCCCCATTCCACAGTAATGATTTTTAACTATGCCATTGTTGGTTCCTTCTAAATCAGAACTAAACCAACTAGTGAAATCAATTGCCTTAGGTGTAGAAAAGCAGAGAATGATAAAGCTGAGGAGACTGAGGTTCAGAGAGGTTAAGTTACCTGCCCAAGGGGACCCAGATAGTGGCAGAACCAGGTACCCTGGCTTTCCCTCCAATGCCCTTTCACTTTCTGAATGGGAATTCCATAAGTACTTTTTGAATGAAAGTTACAGGGTACCATGGTAGAATAATTATCTTTTTTTCTTTTTAACTTTTCATTTAGAAATAATTTCAAACTTACAAAAATGTTGCAAGAATGCTACAACAAACTCCCATATGCCCTTTACCTAGAGTCCTTAATTGTTAACATTTTACCACATTTGTCTTTCAATCTTTCTGCGTATTTTTATAAATTATTGTGCTGAACAATTTGGGAGGCAGGTGCAGACATAATGTCTCATTATCTCTTAATACTTTAGTGTGCATTTCCTAAAAGCAGGACATTCTCCTACATAACTAAGTAGAAACATCAATACAATGTCACCATTTATTCACAAACTTCCAATTTTACCATCTGCCCTGATAATATCCTTTATGGGTCCAGAATGCAGTTGAGGATTGGTTGTTGGAAGTAATTAATTTGGAACAGTTTCTCAGCCTTTCCCTGTCCTGCATGCCTCTGACATTTTCAAAGGGTACAGCCAGTTATCTGTAGAATACTCCTCAGTTCAGGTTTGTCTGATACTGCCTCGTGATTAGCTTTATGTCATGCATTTTTGGCAGGAACACCACAGAGTAATGCTTTGTTCTCAGTCTATCATATCAAGGGTACATGATGTCAATTTGTCCCATTACTGGTGATGTTAAATTAAAAATGGGTAATAAGAGTTAACAAGTATTTTGTTGGAAGACACTGTGAGATAATGTAAAGATGCTGTTTCTCATCAAACTGTCATCCACTAGTTTTTGCATCCATTGATGATTCTTGTCCAAATTAATTTCCATTCTGTTGGTTGCCAAATGGTGATATTCTAATTCCATTTCTCTTTCTTTCTTTTCTCTCTCTCTCCTTTCTTTTTTTGAGACAGGATCTCGGTCTGTTGCTCAGGCTGGAGTGCAGTGGCACAATCACCGCTCACTGCAACCTGAACATCCTGGGCTCAAGCAATCCTCCCGCCTCAGCCTCCTGAATAGCTAGGACTACAGGCACATACTACCATGCCCGGCTAATTTTTGTAATTTTTGGTAGAGATGGGGTTTCACCATGTTGGTCAGGTTGGTTTCGAACTCCTGACCTTAGGTGATCCACCAGCCTTGGCCTCCCAAAGTGCTGGGATTATAGGGATGAGCCACCGTGCCCAACTTTTATTCTTGATATTCCCTTTGATTCTTTATTGCCCTCACTTTGGCCCATGGAAGTCCCTTCAGGCTGGTCCCTGTGTCCTTTCTCATCCTGAGCATCACCTCACTTTCTGGCTCAAGAAGATGCTCCAGGCTCATCTTGGACATTCCCTGCCCCAGGCCTGTATATTAGCTTCCTTTGACTGCCATCTCAAATTACCACAGATTTGGAAACAACAGAAACTATTCCCTTACAAATTTGGAGGCCAGGAGTCTGAAACCAATATTAATGGGATGAAATTAGCTATTGGCAGAACCACACTCCCTCCAGAGGCTCTAGGGGAGAATCTGTCTATTGCCCCTTCCAGCTTGGGGTAACTGCTGGCACTCCTTGACTTGTGACTGAATCACTGCCTCCATAGTCACGCTGTCTCCTCTTCTGTCTGTAATCTCCCCCGTCTCTCTCTTATAAAGACACTTGTGATGGCATTTAGGATCCACCTGGCTAATCCAGGATAATCTCCTCATTTAAAAATCTTTAACTTAATCACATCTGCAAAAATCCTTTTTCCAAATAAGGTAACATTTACAGGTTCCAGGGGTTAAGATGTAGATATCTTCGAGTGGACCAGTTTTAAAACTACCACATCCTGGAATCAGCTATTTCCTGATGGAGTCCTATTTCCTTTTAATAAAAAATAATATCTAGAAGCCATGATGTGGATGCTAGGTATGCTTATTGCTACTTGGGTGCCTTTACTTTCAGGCACTCGGTGCAGATAGAGCTAGGAAATTAGGTATATAGATAGATAGATATGTCTATGCATGTATATGTGTATCTCTATATATGTATATATTTATATATACACACATAATACACATAAATCTTTGTTATATATTTACATTAAAAACCAGGAGTTCACACCAATACTTTCAGTTCTATTCCAACACCACAGCATTTATTCTAGCCTTCTTTCATTCTATATTTGTAACTCAAATATAGATCTCTCCAACAGTGAGCGGCCTGGCTCCCATCATTTTCAATATGTTTACTTATTTGCTCAATTCCCCTGTAACCAATCTCCTGATCATACCAGCTAAATCTACTCAGCCCTGTTACTGCCAACCACACCAGCTTTAGGGGATGAATCCCATCAGCCCTAGGAAAGGGGAAGGGCGAAGAAACCTTTTAATAAAAAAAGAGGCACAATATGATTTTATTAGAGAAGTAGAAATGTCAGTGTTGAAGATAAACCTTTCTTCCATTAAGCTCAAGGCACCTTCATTTGTGATCGCACATTTGTTATGCTCAGAGACGTGTCCTTAAGTCCCAGAAATGAGAGAATGACTTTTATAATCCAACATCCTCAAGAGCTTCCCTCTTAAAGGCTTCAAGATGACAGTGAAAGGTTCAGAAATTCCCCAGCACAGCATACATAAACACATTTCATGCTGCATTTTCTCATCCTTAAAAAAATGTGCATTGCCAGACATGCTGAATCTCAAATTGCTTATAGATATACAATTTTTTCAGTTGGATGAACACCTTTATGCTTAAAAACCCTAGAAGACCCTGGGGGGAGCAATTTCAACATCCATGCAGAGACAATCACAGATGATTTTGCCCCTCACTAACTATCTCTCTGATGTTGTCAATGGGAGGAAGGATGGAGTTCAGCAGTGCCATTTATATTATGCTAGACAAACACTGGATTTATATTTCTATTGTGTGGCATCATTGTCTAACACCTAACATGGTTTTCCTGTGGGAAAGTCGAGATGGGGTGGTGAAGGCTGGGGTGGCAAGCAGAGGGAAATCAGTGGATTCAATGCATTTGAGTGCCTCTTCCGGACAAGGTTCTCCTCGCTTTCTGGATTTAAGAGTTGCTCTTTGCTCTCTAGTGAGAAAAAAGTTGGGGGTGGGGATCCCTATCTTAGCTGTTGCAATCCCTGGGCTGCTTCAGTGTTAATAACATTCCAAAAATGCAACAGATTTTGTTTTTGCTGCTATCGCGTATGCCAGGCATCTGGGGTGAGAGAAGGAAAATGGAAACCTGAAAGCGTGTGAAACTGTGGAATGATCGCGGTAGCTTTTGGTAGCAGGGACTGGGTCTAATTTTCCTGTGTCGATGACAAAGGTTCAGGAATCAAAGGGGAAAAAAATTAAAAAGGAATAAAAATCTCTGCTTACTACACATCAGTGTTCTAAAAAGACATATATCTGGACATAGAGGAAATGGCAAGGCGGATTTGCAATCATTAAGCCTTTTTTACAATGTCCATATTTGTGGTGTGGCCATAAAACAAAGAGAATTTCTTTAACACCAAACAACTTACTTAAACATTCAAAGGAATTGAATCCCTTCAAAGTGGCTACCCAGCCAGTCTGTGCACAATTCTAAGGAGAATGTGGTCGCTCAGAACATTTTGGAAACATCTTTTGGAGTGAACTTCAGAGTCATTTAACGAACCACACAAAATTGTAGGATAGTGACTATAGCAACAGTTTTTTTTCCCTCTAAAACTAGAACGGCCAGCCATTTATTATCCACTTCTATTCTCTTAATTTGACTTTAAAAGACAAGAGATTCTAAAAAAAAAAAAAAAATCATCCTAAAAGATCTCTAAGGAAAAGACATATCATTAGTGATAGTTCCAATCTTGGTAACTACTAGCTTCTTGAGATGTGCAGACATTTTGCATTCATTTTTTCTTATCTTTTTTCTCCTTTTACCATTGAGGAAACTGAGGCTTAGAAAGATGTTAAACAATTAGGTCAAAGCGGCAACAGCTAAAATGTGGCAGAATGTGATTTGCATCCAGATCACCTGCTTCCAAAGCTTATACTCCTTTCCGCTGCACTGAATGAGTACCTCCCAATTTTTGGAGCCAAGGTATTAGCCCCAGAAGCATGCGTATTTTAGCCCTAGAAGCATGGCCCCCAAAAGTGGCCATTTCAAAGTCATGATGCTCCTTTGCTTGCAAAAATTCTTATTTAATTTGTTTAAAATCTATTGTTTCATTGGTCTCATCTCATATTTCACATAGAAAATGTTTACAACTGAAATAATGGAAAGTTATCCATGAGTGAACATGGCAAATGTTAATATTACCATTTGGAACAATGAGTCTCAGGAACTGGAGATGGGAGGGGTGCTTGTGCTGACCCACAAGAATCTCAAGGGCAGTGGCTTGGGGCCTGATTTGAAAACAAAGCAGTGCTTTCTTCTTGTGCTTTTGTGTCCCCTGATATTTAATTTATTTTGAATTTCAGAAAATGAAAGAAGGGCATGAAACGTTTTAAAATTTATTAAAGGGCACAGGTTTTCAAAAGCTTGTAAAATATTATATAAGAAGACATCCATTTCAGTGTTATACATATCTTAGCCTTGGTACAAGAAAACACTGACTGGTAAAAGCTAGAAGTACAGAGGTCAAAGAAAACATATTTTTCAATACCCATTGTTTAATAATTCAATGCAAACCTTCCTATTACGCCTCTAAAAAAAATTTCCATTGTTCTGAGAGGAGAACTGGGGAGACGTTGCAGCCGCCTCTGGGCACTGAAGACACAGCTTGTGCAGTTCTAGGAGCCGAAGACGTTCAAACCTGCTCTCTTGTCCTGACTGCAACCCTGGTGGTGAGAGACAAATACTCTTGCACATCTGCTCGATAGACAGTTGTGGATGGTGGGGGATTCCTTCTGAACAGATTTGTAGCTGCTGTGTAAACAGCTGGGTTTAAGAAATAGCTCCATTTGCACTAGCCTATTGTTTGATTAAAGAATTTGAGTGTGTGGCCTTGCACCTCAAGAAGGCCAAAGGGATTGATTATTGGCTGGGTGAAATGCTACCTTTAAAAAGCACTGTAATCTCTTCTCGGCCTTTTGGCTAAGATCAAGTGTAAAGGGCACTGTATGTTCAGGGACTTCAATCTCACCCTCATTCTGCTTGAGTATTTCTGTCCCACTTGTCCTTCAGATTCTTCTTATTTTTATTATTTGTGGCTAGATGGGGTAAGATTCATAGGCTCCAGGGACCATATCTGTTTTATTTGCCAGTGTATACTCGGCATATAGCATAGTATTTGGCACATGGTAGGTACTCAGTGGATGAGTAAAGCAAATAATCTTGCTGTATCCTGCTTAGGGCTCTGTGCTGGTCATTGTCCAGAGTTTATTCAAGTTCATTGGGTTGAATTCCAAACGAAGCAGGAGAGTCCATTTTTAATGATACGTGGACAGGTTGCCACTGCCAGGCCCTTCTTATTACCATTTGGAAAGCAAACCACTGCTACCCCTTTCTGCTGCTGTCAACGGTATCCTCCCTAGCTTGTTAGAAAGAAATTGGCACTTTGATACACAAGGCTCCATCAATCCCTGCACTGGAAATGCAAAATCTGGATTCTCTCTAAGGCTAAATGTCTGGGGCTTGGACTCCTTGGGGTGGAGCCCTGGACAGTGGCCAGTGTCATCAGTATAGGCTGCAGAGACAGTTCTCCAGTGGGGGTCTTCAGTCCAAGCCAATAGGATGGCCACTTGATGGGTCTGAAAGGAAACCAGCTGCAAAATGGAAATTGACATGTTATAAACAGAGAAGGAGGAGACAAGGAAAGCCAAAGCTGAAGAGAGGCTTAAGCAGGAGAGAGGAGAAGGGAGGCTTGGAGAGAGCCAGGAGTCAGCACAAGACAAGGTCATGGAAGGACAAGGAACCCTTCCGGGCAAATCCCATCCATGCCGCCATTTTAACACAGAACAGGTGCTCCAGTCATATTTTCTGGGCTATAAAATGTCCAATACTACAAAGAGGGTATTTAAAGGAGAAGAATTAAACAAGAACTGATGCCACTGGGAACAGAGCGAGGGCATAGGACAATGGTTCTCATTAGAACCTTAAAATCACCTGGGAACTTTTGGGAACCCATGGATGCCACAGCCTGCCCCTGGAGATCCCGATTTAATTGGTCTGGAGTGGGGCTCAAACATCAGTGGGTTTACAAGCTCCCCAGGCAATTCTAATATGCAGCCAGGGGTGAGAACCACTGGCCTAGGAGATCAAGCAAAGGTGAACATCGAGCAGGGAGAAGATGCTTATCTACTAAGCTCCTTGTCCCACAACTGAGGACACTCACCTGCTGGCCTGGCTCACCCCAAGCACTGGGACCTAGTCCCAGCGTATTCCTAGTTCAGAGACATTTAAGAAAGCTGATTTTAGTGGCTCAGGTGACTGGTCCAATTGGAACAGATGCCTCAATTTTCTCCTTTTGCTAACCAGACTATGTCCTAAATCATTTGGAGCCTAAAAGACTTACATCATAAGCAGGATGATAGAATTGAATACAACACAGTAGTTTAACTTTAGACTAGTTAAACTAGTCTAACCCTAGTTAGACTAGGGTTGTCAGCAGCAAATAAGAATACAGAATGCCCAGTGAAATTTTAATTTCAAATAAACCGTGATAATTTTTAGTATGTCTTATGAAATATTTAGGACATAGTTATACTTACAAGTATTCATTTATCTGAAATTCAAATTTAACAGAGCATCTTGTATTTTAACTGGCAATCCGACTTTAGACTCAAATGCTGTGTTTTAATTTAAGAGCATGGCTAGCTTTTTAGAAAAAATGGAAAGGATTGGGTTACCATATATGAGTTGGATGGCTGTAGATATTGATTATCCAGAGACATCCACATTCACACCTGTTTTGCCAACATAACTAATAGTGCCCCCCTTCACTCTCAAAAGTGTCTAGTAGTTTGAATGATAAATTATATGGTCATCCTGTTACAGTAGGTAGCTAGTCAGACACAAACAGGACAGAAGAGGGTCCCCACACCCCACCGGGAAAGTCAGGCGACCATCGGGTGATGGTCAGGCCATTGTTAACTGTCTCTCTAAAATAATAATTGGTTGCAGCCAGCTCCAGGGAAAGGCAGTCTCCCTATAGATAGAAGAAACCTGAAACTGGTGATCATCAGCTTCCTGATAAGATCCCAGGAGTTGGGCGTGCGGACTCACACATGAGCACCAAGAGGCAAAATGGCGGAGTTTAACTGGTATTTGATCTTCTGGGGGCATGTCACCAGTAAAGGGAAGAATGTTTCAAGTGAGCATAAGTACAACTCCAGTAAACACACTGCGCATGCTCACCTCCCAAGTGCTAGCAGGTCACTACACATATGGACAAACCACCCTCAACGAAAGAATCAGGGGAGAAGACCCCAGAAGTATGCCAACATATAAAACCCTAAGTCAAACCACACTTGTCCTTCAAGTCGCCCACTTGGACCTCTTCTAAGTGTCCTTTCCTTCCAATCCTGCTCTAAAGCTTTTTAATAAACTTTCACTCCTGCTCTAAAACTTGCCTGGGTCTCTCCCTCTGCCTTATGCCCCGATTGAGGTTGCTGCCGACCCGTACGAATTCTCCACTGTTAACAATTCCATTCACAGTGACCCAAACTGTGAATACTTGGCTATACTCAGTAAGACAAGATTATACTTGGTTAGTCCTACATAAGAGATCTCTGGTTTTCTTTGTGGAAGCCTGAGGAAACAGAACGTGAACTCCACCCGGCTGTTACTGTTAAACCCATTCTAACTTGCTGACTCACTGTTGTCCTTCTCTGGCTAGACCCAGGGCATCCTAGGGCCTGCAGGAGGCTGGGAAGGCAAGTCTCCTCTCTGCCATAAGCATGCCCTGAACCCTGCTGGGAGTAGCTCTAAACCTTTACTCTCTCTTGGAGCGGGAGACTCCTTACTTGCCCACCAGAACTGAAAACGAAGGGAAGTAGCAGTAAAGCTGCTTTCATGTTTATCTATAGCTGGTGTCTTTAATCTGCCTGTAAAGGACCACTTGGCTAGAGGAAAAAAACATGTTCTCAGTTTTATCTTTGTGACTAGGAAATTAGTCTAACCAGATGAACACACTCAACACTAAACTGATTCTGCTGTTTGTTCTATTCTGTCACTCTGTCTGTGTCACTCTAACTATAGTGGCCTGCTCACATATCATGCCTTAGGCATTTCAGAAAATATCAGCCCTGGGCCATGGCCCTGATTCAGATATTTGTCCAGCCTTCCTCTCTGTGCACACCCCATCCGCTACTGAATACCTTGTGTCCCTTGACAGCCTCACTTCATATTCAGCACCTGATGGCAGCCTCAGGTTTGTCTCCTTGCTTTGATCACCAGGCTTTCTTCTCTGGGTTATCAAATTTGCCCCTTTTTCCACCTGTGCCTCTGCTTGACTTAGGGCTTTATAGATCCCTGAGTTACAGCATTCGTACAGCTCTAAGAGGCATAAAAGATACACCTGTTATCTTTGCTTTCATGGGACCCCTCAGGACGTTATACCTGAGACCCTCGATACCTTAGTTCCCTACCTATCACTTAACTGGGATAAACATTCTGTCTAGGTAACATCATTCACAGTATAGCCATATTATTCAAGTGTCCCAGACCTCACCATTCTGGGAGTACCACATATAGTCACAGTTCTTGTTCAGAACAGCAGTCAGTTCAGTCTTTTCTCTTCTTTCTGTACCTCTCCCCCAAAATGCCTGAGTTACTTCCCTTGTCTGCATATTGGCCTCCATACAGCTGCCTCCTGAAAAGAAAATAGGAGCTCTGATGAGTACTTGCAAGCCAATCTCCATACCTACTGATTTCCAGACTGACCAGAAAGCCTTGCTGCCATAGCCAAAGTGGATGGCTGGTCCTCCTGCTGACACCTGCGCAGTCTAGGAAGGCCAAAAAGGAAAAGCGAACTCTATTTTTTTTTTTTTTTGAGATGGAGTTTCACTCTTCTCGCCCAGGCTGGAGTGCAGTGGTGCAATCTCAGCTCACTGCAACCTCAGCATCCCTAGTTCAAGCAATTCTCTTGCCTCAGCCTCTCAAGTAGCTGGGATTACAGGTGCTCACCATCATGTCCGGCTATTTTTTGTATTATTAGTAGAGATAGGATTTCACCACTTTGGCCAGGCTGATCTCAAACTCCTGACCTCAGGTTATCTGCCAGCCTCTGCCTCCCAAAGTGCTAGGATTACAGGCGTGAGCCGCTGCACCTGGCCAGAACTCTAATTAAAAAAAAAATAAAATTAAAATTATTATGACCATACCCACTTGCTGGTCTTCGATTTTCCAGACCAACTTGTTGGGGTTTTATCTTCCCACTGAGCCTTAGGGGCACCTACAGCTTCTCACAGATCAAGATGAACAATGACAGAGAAAGTTCTCCCAGACAAGCCTCAGCCAGGCTGAGTACCCAACCACTCCAGGCAAAGCAACTGCTCTGAGCTGCCAGATAACCCGATGCTGAGAGCTGTCAGCATGTGTAGATATCCATGGATCTCCTGTTCCCCAAATCCCTGCTGTGTGCTCCACCCATCTCCTGCAACACCACCTGTTACCCTGACTGGATTGTTCTGACAGCAAATGCCAGGTCCCTAATGCCCACTGCATCCTCTGTGGTCATGGTGATTCCCCTCCTTGGCCACTTCTTGCCATAACTGCAGCTGGGGCTGCCACTAAGTATCTGGTCACTACTGTGGTTTGGGTTTGGTCTTTCCAAGTACCCTTCAGTCAAATGCCTTCGAGCAACCCTTCCAACAGTATGCTGGGGTAAAAAACAACACAGATGGAAAAGAGGAGCATGCTCAGGCAGGAGCAACTGAGAGGTGCCAGGGAAGAGCAGAGCAAATATACCAGATAACCCTGGTTCCTGATAGCCTTTTTGTGCCCTTTTCTATTATCACTAATTCACTGAGCCTGGAATGCAGTGACTCAAGCCCCACCGTAGGACTGAAAATAGAAAGGCCAATTCAGATTTTCCCTACCCTAAGATGACTTACCATATAAAACCTTTAAAAAATGTAAGCGTGGCGTTCTTTGGTATTCCTAGAACAAGTTGAATTCAGCAGATATTTAAACATAATTTAATTTGCCAAAAACTATACACTTCTAAAAGGAGTTTGATTACTATGTAAGTTACTAACTATAGAAGTATTATTTTATAAGCTGTTAGGTTAGTACTAACATAATTTGTTGGAGGGCAAAGTTGCAACAGCTTGTAAACTAAGTAAATACTGCTGAACATTTAGTGGGCTGAATGTTCTCTCTGCTAACTTAGCCAGTAAAGGTGTAGGTTATACAAAGTCATTTCTAATGTATGTGAACTATGTAGATCTATAAAATAAAACCATTTCAGTAATTGCTGGGCCAGAGAAGAGACATATCTTTATTTCTTTGGAACTCTGAGGTACAGCTAAAAATCCAAATGCCAGGTATCTCTAAATATAACTTCTAGTGTATCTGCTCTTTTTGAGACACCCTAGGAGGAACAGCTAAACAGTAGGGTAATGCCCTGTGCACTCTAGACTTTGTATGATCCTGGTTCTATGACCTCGCATTCCTGTAGATTCTAACTACCTCCTGGCTGGCACAGTGCCTCCCAGGAACTGCCCTTGCTCTGAAGAGATACACAGTTCTTATATCGAGTGCTTGTGGGCTTCATTTTCTGAACTCCTCGATATCACCTACTTTATCTCTGTGCCTCACCCTCATTCTCTTGATCCCTTTCACCTCCACCCTGGATGCCCTTACATTCTTATTTTGTTTTGCTCCCTCAGCTCATATCTTGGGGAGACAAAATAGCATTTTGATTCCATTTCTGCCACTTACTAATTCTTGTCAACTTACCCTCTCTAAGCCTCACTTTTTTCCTCTGTAATAATACTAATGTATCTTCTCATATGGTTATTATGAAGGTTAAAGGAGACAAAGCATGGAAGATGCTTAGCAAACTGCCTGGCACATAGTAACCACTAAATCAATGTTAGCTATTATTACTATTATTTTGCTTTCCTGAGGTGGCTATAGTTTCAGTCATTCTTTTTTTTTTTTTTTTTAAATGGAGTCTGGCTCTGTCACCCAGGCTGGAGTGCAGTGTCGTGATCTTGGCTCACTGCAACCTCCGCCTCCCAGTTTCAAGTGATTCTCCTGCCTCAGCCTCCTGAGTAGCTGGGATTACAGGCACACACCACCACGCCCAGCTAATTTTTGTATTTTTAGTAGAGACGGGGTTTCACCATGTTGGTCAGGCTGGTCTCGAGCTCCTGACCTCGTGATCCACCCACCTCGGCCTCCCAAAGTGCTGGGATTACAGGCATGAACCACCGTGCCCGGCCGGGTTTTTCTTTTCCACTGCATTGTCAGGCTGCAAATTTTCTGAACTTTTATGCTCTGTTTCCCTTTTAAAATGGAATGCTTTTAACAGCACCCAAGTCACCTCTTGAATGCTTTGCTGCTTAGAAATTTCTTCCACCAGATACCTGAAATTGTCTCTCTTAAGTTCAAAGTTCCACAAATCTCTAGGGCAGGGGCAAAAATGCTGCCAGTCTATTTGCTAAAACATAACAAGTGCTTTGCTCCAGTTCCCAATAAGTTCCTCATCTCCATCTGAGACCACCTCAGCCTGGACCTTATTGTCCATATCACTATCAGCATTTTTATCAGTCATTCACCAAGTCTCTAGGAGGTTCCAAACTTTCCCACATTTTCCCGTCTTTTTCTGAGCCCTCCAAACTGTTCCAACCTTTGCCTGTTGCCCAGTTCCAAAGTTGCTTTCACTTTTTGGGGTATCTTTTCAGCAACGCCCCACTCTACTGGTACCAATTTACTGTATTAGTCCGTTTTCATACTGCTGATAAAGACATACCTGAGACTGGGAAGAAAAAGGTTTATTTGATTGGACTTACAGTTCCACGTGGCTGGGGAGGCCTCAGAGTCATGGCAGGGTGTGGGGGTGGTGAAAGGCACTTCTTACATGGCAGTGGCAAGAGAAAACGAGGAAGAAGCAAAAGCAGAAACTCTTGATAAACCCATCAGATCTCGTGGGACTTATTCATTATCACGAGAATAGCACAGGAAAGACCAGCCTCCATGATTCAATTACCTCCCCCTGGGTCCCTCCCACAACGCATGGGAATTCTGGGAGATACGATTCAAGTTGAGATTTAGGTGGGGACACAGTCAAACCACATCAACATGGAAGGAAGCAGTAGAGATAAGTCTTACATGATCACTTCATGATCACAAATGCCAAATTTTATTAAATCAAGAAGCACAGGCTAGGCACAGTAGCTAACACCTGTAATCCCAAATTTTGGGAGGCCAAGGCGGGCGGATTGCTTGAGCTCAGGAGTTCAAGACCAGCCCGAACAATATGACAAAACCCAATCTCTACAAAAAAAAATATAAAAAATTAATTGGGTGTGGTGGCACACACCTGTAGTCCCAGCTACCCTGGAAGCTGAGGTAGATCACCTGAGCCCAGGAGTTCAAGCTGCAGTGAGCTGTGATTGCACCACTGCACTCCAGCCTGGGCGACATAGTGAAACCCTGTCTCAAAAACAAAAACAAAAAAGTACATTTTGAGGGTTTTTATCATAAATGTCAAACTCAGGATGATCTAATGTTGATCTTATCAAGAATAGCAGCTATGAAATTCTCCAAATGGGTACACTGAAATACTTATTTATTTATTTATTTTTGAGATGGAGTCTCATTCTGTCACCCAGGCTGGAGTGCAGTGGCGCGATCTCGGCTGACTGCAACCTCCGCCTCCTGGGTTCAAGCGATTCACCTGTCTCACCTTCCTGAGTAGCTGGGATTACAGCTGCCTATCAACATGTCGGCTACTTTTTTGTATTTTTAGTAGAGGCAGGGTTTTACCATGTTGGCCAGGCTGGTCTCGAACTCCTGACCTCAAGTGATCTGCCCACCTCAGCCTCTCAAAGTGCTGGGATTACAGGTGTGAACCACCGTACCTGACCTGAAATACTTTTATAGTCAGTAATGCTTTCAGCTGATTGTTGACTCCATTTATGAAATTTAAATCTAAATAGTAACCCATGAAACTGCAGAGAATTATGCTTTCTATAATCCTACAAATTCATCTAATATTAGTCTAAGTTAAAGTGGTAGTTGGGGGAGACTTTACTATGACTTGGGTTTGAGCCGCCACAAATTTTTCTGTTTGGAGAATAGCATGCTTTCATTCATGGCCCATTTGTTCACTTTGAGATAGAATGGAAGCCTCTTTGTATGTCATTTCCAGAAAATATTGACATTGGCCACCAAGCGTCTATGTTAAGCATGGTGCTTATGTGATCATTTTAAACTCTTTGATATTCTACCTGTTGAGAGGTTGGATCTATGTCCCTTTACTTGAATCTGGGCAAGTATAGACAATAGAGTTTGGTGAAAATTCTTTTGCAAGATTAGGAATAGGGTGAATCAGGGGAGGTGCCTAGGGTGCAAAATTGATAGGCACTCACTATTAGGGCCATGAAAGTGCAGGTATTAATGTGTGATACAAAAATCCTTATGCATGTGCCCATGTCTACATCCAGCCACATGCCCTCACCCCAGACCTCCTGGTCTTCAGTCATTTTGTCTTTTTTCTTCTTCTAAGCCCCTGATCAGATCCACTCTCTGGGAACCTGTATGTATTCTTACCTGGAATGCCTTCTTCCACATACACTGGATGCCAGGTATACTGCTCTCTGGACCACCCATTAGGAAGATTTTCCCTTTTCAACTGTCTTTCAAGGCCACCCCTTAAAACACCCACAAATAAAACTCACCAGTTTATAAGCTAAACTTAGGCAGGTCTTTCAGCTGGTCCAGTGGGATCTATATGATCACAACTACAACTCAGTGCAACTATGGTGGGTGACATGGGGCTCTAGGCTACCTGGTCATGCAGCTGTCTCATACCCTCAGGTCCTGCCTGGGCTCAATCCTGATTGTACCACTGTTAACTTATGCTGCTTTGCTGGGACTATCTGACTTTATGACTTGGTGTATGTGACAAACCCAGCTCATAGTTAACAGTTCCAGAATCATAGTCACTTGGTGTTTCATGATTAGGTGCTCTATCCCTGCTAGTAACACACCAAGAGCTGTTTTTCAAAGGGCACATTGTTTCTGATGTAGATGGCGTGAACTTACTCCAGAATCTCAGAGGTCTGCACTGGGGTGATTCTTTCTGGAGCTTGCCATGAACTTCTTACTGCATGTTTCCTTACCTATGATACTTCCAATAACATAAGATCTGATAGATTATGTGGCCCAGGTGGCAGGGTTGATTGCAGCAAAGCCTGGACTTGCTGCGAGTCTTTCTGCTCTGGGCTCTACTCAAAAACTGGAAACCTTTGGTGTCACCTTGAATATTGGCTGGAGCAACATTTCTAGGTGTGAAATGTGTTGCTTCCAAAACCCAAAGTGGGCAGACCAGGAGCTGTGTTTTCTTCCTTTTGGTAGAGAATGCAAAGTGCAGCAATTTCTTTTACTTTGGTTTCATTGATCTTCCCTATTCTTCTTTTGCCTCTCCTATAACGGATAAAGTTGAATGTAATAAACCCATTACCAGGTGGCTGCTGGGTCCCCCCAGGAACTCCGCGTTGGTCCCTGCTGTTGGCAAATGAGGCACTTAACAATGGCAGTAGCCATATCGACCTTGGTGAGAAGTTGGTATAGTTGAGCCCACAACTACTTAGGGCATGGACCCATCGAGTAAGGACTGGAGCGTCTGAGAGCCACAGAATACTTCCACCTATCACTTTGATTTTTTGATGGCCTTCTCTGCAGTGAGCATACACAAGGGAAACAAATATCCTCATACCCCATGCCCGCTTTAAGATGTCTATCCTTATGCCATTTTCCTGTTCTCCAATCACCAATCTTCCAATCCTGTTCTTTCCAATTCTCTGACCACCCATCCACTGTCTATGAATGACTGCCTATTTGCAGTCCTGACAGGGTGGGTAACCAAATGTACTTCTCTCAGTTTTGCCTATTGGAAGAATTTCTCTTTACTACCCTCTTACATGCACCTGATTTGGGCTGTAATGCTGAAGCAGCCTACTTCTGGAACCATTTGTAAACTAAATATGAGTTTTTCTCCCTCAGTCAGCTGATTAAAAGAAACTCCCCATGACACCATAAGGTTTGTACTGAGAAACAGGAGGCAATGCCACAGGACTAGGTGCTACATGAGTCTAAGGCACTGCTCATGCAACTTACTTGTGTTTTTAGGATCTTCTTGAGTCCTATCTCATTATTATTTTCATGTAGTGATAGATTGGTGCTGAGTATACTCCCAACTTAGAACCTGCTGGACCAGATACCACCAAGTTTGTGATAAGCATCTTGGTTTACATTGTCACTTGTTGCCTGTAGCAAACTGCAATAGCAAGTGAGGAATTGTTTCATGGGATGAGAATTGTCATCTTAAGAAGAGAACACAGCTTTGCCCACAAATCCTAGCAGTCTGCACTGTGACTCTCTTGTTGGAAGTTGCCAAAAGTGTCCCTATTTGCCACAGATACTTTGAGTACCACTGGATCTGCCAGGTCATATGACCACAAATTGCTGTAGAACCTTCTCTTCTTTTGAGCCCCATTCAAAACTGGCAGCCTTTGGGTTATTCAGTAAACAGCTTGTAGTAACCCACCAAAATTAGGTGCATATTACCTCTAAGATCCATAAAAAGATGCATTTTCATGAGGTTTATATCATGCTACTCTATAGCATGCATGTGTTTAGCTAATGTCTTTGGTGCTTGCTATCTCCTGCTGCTCAGGCCTAATTAGCAAATTATCAATTAATGGAGCATCATAATGTTACATGGAGTGGTAAGATGACTAAGGTATCTTCAGCCTAGATGATTGCAGAAAGCAAAAGTGTTGATATAACCTTGAGGCAAATCTTTGCCAATTGGAAACAAACCTTTGCTGGTGGGTCTTTTAAATTGATTTGGAGAAAAAAGCACTCACGAGATCAATAGCTGCATATTGGGAGCCAAGGTCTGAGATGATTTGCCCCAATATATATACCAAATTGGGAAAAACAGCTGCAAAACAAAAAGCCAATTAATTTATAATAATCTATAGTCATTCTCTAAAATGTATCTACCTCTTGCACAATCCAAACAGGTGCGTTAAATGGGGATGTGATAGTGATCACTGCCTTGGGATCTTTCCGGTTTTGGATGGTATCAATAAAATTGACAGTTGCCCCCGGGGTGCAGTATTGGTTTTCATTTACTATTCTGATTAGGAGAGAATGCTCCAAGATGCTCTACTTGCTGTTCCTACTATGATAGCCCCACCTCCATGGGTCAGGAAGCCAATGTGGATATTCTGTCAGTTGCCTAGCATGTCTATTCTGATTATACATTTAGGAACTTGGAAAATAACCACACATGGGTCCATGGATCTACGGGGCTCACTGTGGGATGGACTTATGCCAAAATGTCATTTGTTTACCTGACCTCCATATTCCCCCTGGTGGGCTTCTGGGTCCTCAGAGATCAGCATCAAGTTAGAACCTGTATTAATTTCCTAGGGCTGCAATAACAAATTACCACAAATTTGGTGGTTTTAAACAACAGAAATATATTCTCTCATAGTTCTGGAGGCCAGAAGTCTAAAATTAAGGTGTTGGCAGGGCTACTCTCCCTCCAAATGCTGTAGGGGAGGATCCTTCCAGCTTCTGTTGGCTCCTGGTAGCTCTTGGCAGCTCCTAGAAGTCCTTGGCTTATGGCTGTATAACTCCAAACTTTGCCTCCATCTACACATGGCCTTCTTCCCTTACTCTCTAGCTCATAAAAGAGTATTTTCATAGATTTGGGTCCTCCGCTAATCCAGTATGACCTCATTTTGACTGTTACTTTATAATAACATCTGTAAAGATGTTATTTCCATATAGATCACATTCTGAGGTTCCAAGTGGAAGTGAATTTGGGGGGACATTGTTCAACCTACTACAGAGCCAGTGTCTCATAATTTCATAAAATTATGGGTTTTTTCCCTTTTTCCTATGTACAAGCAGTCTAGTAAGTGAATGTAGATCCTTTGTAGAAGGGTTATAGGAAGATTTATACTATCTTTTTGTTGCAGCATTGTAGTATTCTTCTTCAAAATGGCCCAATCTCCTTTTCAGCCAAGGGGCTGTGGATCGCTGAATTGGCTTAGATATGGCAACTGACTGAGGGGACACATGAAATTAATTCTGGGGGCAACAAACACTAAATTACTGCAGCATACATCTAAAAGAACTTCAAAAGACATTTTTTAAAATAGCTAAATTTAGGTTGCAGAATTTTTCAGTATACTGAACAGTTGGCATGGAACTGGCTGCTTTGGTTCATGAAGGGTATAGTTGCAGCCGGGCACAGTGGCTTACGCCTGTAATCCCAACACTTTGGGAGGCCGAGGCGGGTGGATCACCTGAGGTCAGAAGTTCAAGAACAGCTGGCCAACATGGTGAAATTCCGTCTCTGCTAAAAATAAAATAACTAGCCAAGTATAGCGGTGGGTGCCTGTAATCCCAGCTACTGGGAAGGCCGAGGCAGGTGAATAGCTTGAACCCAGGAGGCAGAGGTTGCAGTGAGCCAAGATCTCACCACTGCACTCTAGCCTGGGCAACAGAGTGAGACTCTGTCTCAAAAACTAACTAACTAACTAACTAAATAAATAAATAAATAAATAAATAAATAAATAGTATAGTTGCAAAACAAGTAGAGCATAACAGTTAAAATAACAAAAAGAAAAAATGAACAGAAACAAAAAACAAGGCAATAGCCCATAGCCCACCAGGCTTTATCATACTTTCTTACCCTGAGCTCCTAATTATGTTTTCCTTTGTCTTGATCAAACTTTGGATGAAGGAGTGTACCAGCTGTGCAGATGCCCAGGGCACCTATTAATAAGTAGGCAAGAAAACATCAATAGAGTACATTGGCTATATGGTGGCAGTTAATGCAGGTCTCCACAAGAGAATTTTTATATAGTTGGCTAAAATAAAATTCAGTCGTACTCTCATCAAACTAGATAGTAATCTCAAGTGGAAATTTTAAAATATTTCTCTCCCACAAAATAAATATTGAATCAACATCTAAAGAGCATTGGTTTGAAGAGGGACTAAATTATTAGCCTTCCGGACCTGTCTTGGTCTAGTCTTGCCTACCTGCCCTTGTCCACACTATGACTCTCAACTGGTTTTCTTTATGTCCTAGCTATTATCAAAATTCCTCTTGAGTTAATCTCTTTTCCATTTGGTGTCCTGGTAAATACTTGCAGGGTATTTAAAGTAACAGGCCTTAAAATGTGGAATTTGCTGAACTGAGTTTGCTAGCACCTCCCTCTTTCTCTAGAGGGAAGATGGCAACCCTTTCAGAAGATAGCAAAGCAACTGGTTGAATTGTTCCCTATTGTTTCATGGGGTTCAGACAATGTGCCTCCTAAGGCTGGAAATTTAGAGCACTTTGTAAAAAGGTATCAGGTAGGATTTTGGATATGTTGGCTGCTTCTGAAAGCTTTCAATTATGTCTTAAAAAAAAACTTCTATATTAACTGGTCCATCTGAGAACAGAAAGAAAAAATAGGCAGTTTTATT
Source organism: Homo sapiens (assembly GCF_000001405.40). Taxonomy (NCBI): domain Eukaryota; kingdom Metazoa; phylum Chordata; class Mammalia; order Primates; family Hominidae; genus Homo; species Homo sapiens. The sequence continues at coordinate 180,552,349 of NC_000001.11, read as the reverse complement.
AAAGAGAAGCCCTTTCTGCATGGCCAGAAAAGTCATGCACCTTACAGAATTGTCAAAGCTGAATTTTCTGGTCCAATCTAAAGTTAGTGTGAACAAAGTCAAGCATGCTGACTCATCATAAGGAATCGTAAGACAAAGCCCTGGGTAGAGCCAGAGTAATGGGAAGGACATGGTCCCCAAGTCACTATGGGTCACCATATAACACAGTGTCCAGGCTGTGTTAAAATGTATGGAGCATTGACACACCAAGGGCAAGGGTGGTTGGAGCAGTTCACCCCAGATGCAGACAATAAAATGATGCATTGTCTGTAGAGAATATGGAAGTGTAAATGCCTGTACTTCTGAGGAATCATTAAAGCTCTCTTCTGCTGCAGAGCATGTCTTTAACCCTGTGGAACACATGTTCCTGTCTTTAAAAAGTAGATTTGAAATTAACTAGAAAAGTATAGCAATTGTAAAAGTCAAAAAAAAAAGAAAGAAAGAACTTGAGATACTTCAATTCTGTCATTCTATGTGACATTTTGGAATGTTTATTTCTGCTTAAAATTGAAAAACACTGAAACAGAATGAACTGCAAGGTGTAATTTTATTGTTGATAAGTATAAACTGTAGTTCATACCTGAAACATTTTACTGATTTTGAATATCTTTAAAATAGAAATGTATTTTCCTTTCTTGATTATTAATTATTTTAAAAACTGAAGAATGGATCAAGAAAATAAAATATGACATTTTGGCTAGGCACGATGGCTCATGCCTATAATCACAGCAGTTTGGGAGGCCGAGGCAGGCAGATCGCTTGAGCTCAGGAGTTTGAGAGCAGCCTGGGCAACATGGCGAAACCCCATCTCTACTAAAAATACAAAAATTAGCCAGGCATGATGGTGTACCTGTAGTGCCAGCTAGTCAGGAGGCTGAGGCAGGAGGATCACTTAAGCCAGGGAAGCAGATGTTATAGTGAGCTGAGATTGCGCCACTGCACTCCAGCCTGGGTGACAGAGAAACACCTTGACTGAAAAAAAAAAAAAAAAAAAAAAAAATATATATATATATATATATATGCCTTATGATTTCAGTTTTATTAATATTTACTGATTAGCTAGTGGACACTTATGTACATAATGTACTATTATATCATACTGTAACCAAACGGTCAAAGTTTAAACTGCTAGGGAAATATAAACATTATTGAATAAATATTGTGCCTCTTTTTTTTTTAGTATTATAATTTTTTTTTTACTGACATGATTACATCTATAACGTTCAATAAAAGAAAATTTTCACCTTCTGCATTTCTATTCTGATCATTACTATTGTTTGTTTCATTTCATAAGGATTACCAAAAATAGCTTCATCGTATAGAGGAGGGGAGTGTTTAAAATGACTGTTCTGGGCATCAAATGTAGTTGGGCATTAAGTGAGTTGATAATATGGAAGCTCTGTGATAGGTTCACGGAGGTTTATTATACTACCTTCTCTACTTCGACACATTTTTTCATAATAAAAAGTTTTTAAAAATTATGGAGACCAAATGCAAGCTATTGAGTGCTTATATCTGGAGGCATCACAAGGTTGGGATTATAAATGTAGCCAGCAGTGGGATGAAACAGTAAATAGAGACTGGACCTGAGTGAATTCCTGGACAGACATTATTTAATGTGCCTGCTTGAGTATAGTGAACGCAAAGGTAGCTACATTCAAAAAAGAATGGAACAGATTGAGAGAAATTCATAATTGTTAATATGAGGTTGGAAATTACAAAAGTAGTTCCAAGATTATTACTATTGTGCGTACCCTTGGGATTCTAGAGACCCCAGGATGAAAGAATCTAGAATAGCTATATAAATTGTTATTTTCCTTTGTGGACTATATCCAAGAAGTTAATTAGGGTAAAGGGAATAGCAATAATTGAGGCCCACCAATAACAGCGGGAACTGAAGAGTTCCAGTGGTAATCTTCCTCTGGAGCCTGCTTTAATTAATTAGATCCTTTATAATCATAGGAGTTATCATATCCCAGTAAAGTAAAATTCCTGAAAGCCTAAAATAAAGAACAAAGAACCAGGGCTGTAGAGTCCAGAGTAAAGGCCAGTCGAGACAACAGTGATGATGTCTGCTTCATTGCTTCCTCTCAGTACAGCCATGCCATGTGTAGTAATTTCCAAGAATCTGCATTTGTAGGACTGTTTGCTAAACGCAGGGTCTCCTGTTGAGATGTATCGAATTGCAGTTTTTTTTTTTTATGTTCTGAGAAAACAAGCTATTTGTAAATAGATTTCAATTTAATAGGTTTCTGGGTTGTTTCCTTAGAACCAATTTTTTTTTTTTTTTTTTTTGAGACAGGGTCTCGCTCTGTCGCCAGCCTGGAGTGAAGTGGCATGATCTTGGCTCACTGCAATCTCCGCCTCCCAGGTTCAAGCGATTCCCTTGCCTCAGCCTCCAGAGTAGCAGGGACTACAGGAGCGCACCAACGTGCCCAGTTAAATTTTTTTTTTTTTTTTTTTTTTTTGTATTTTAGTAGAGACAGGGTTTCACCATATTGGCCAGGATGGTTTCCATCTCCTGACCTTGTGATCCACCCACCTCGGCCTCCCAAAGTGCTGGGATTAAAGGGGTGAGCCACCACGCCCGGCCAGAACCAATTTTTTACTGTTATCTTTGTTTACTTCACGGTAAGCTTTGCTCCATATTAGCCCCAAGGGAAGGCTGGTTGGGTAGCCCTTTGACTAAAAGTTTTGGATGATGATGGGAAAAGAGTAAAATCACACCATAGCCCAACAAACTCCTTAGAATCCAGTAGCACATATTTCTGTTCTAAACAGTAAGTGGTTGGCCAGCCCTTTGACTGAGCATCTTGCGCTAGCCCTGGCTTCCACCTTACTGGGCTTTGTATCTCTTAATCTCTTCCCTCTCTTTCCTATTTTCCCTGCCAGTTAGCACTCTTATATTGAATCATAGAATTTTAGAGGCTATAGGTGCTTTAGAATTAATTTAATCCAAACCTCTCATTTAATAAATGAGGACACGGAAGTCCTGAGAGGTGGGGCAATTTGCCTGAGACATCTCAGCAAGGCTATGACAGAGCTGGACCTAAAAATGAGGTTTTGCTTCCTAATCTAGGACTCCTGCACAAAGCTGTGCTGTTGCCATGGTTCTGAAACTAGCAAGTCAGACAGATTTGAGGTGCTTATGGATGGATGAATGCACAGCATCAAACAATAGCTCTGTCGATGAAAAGAAAACCTGGCTGATAATTGAAGCCGCTGAACCACAAGCGGGTGAAAGAAGTAAAAGGCTCTGTGGGCTGCTGCCCCACTTGGGAGATTGGGGGAGGAGGGCAGGAGGAGTTGAAAGTGGATGGACAGAGACTTGGGTGAGGCCCTGGCTCCACTGTGTCCCAGATGGATCATGTGGGAAGCCCTTTGGTTGCGTGACACTGTTGTAGGCACCCTGTGGATTTTACATCACCCAAAGCTATAAATGGTTTGCACGAGGGGAAAAAAAAAAAAGAATTACAGGTCTCCCACAGCCCACAAAAATATGCTCCACCTAAAAAGAAGCCCATAATTTGGCTGCATCCAGCCGGGTTAGACAAAATTGGAGCCAAGGTTGCCCTGGATTGTCCTGAGAGGTGGCCTAGCATTAGCAGGAACGAAAGAAATGTGAAATTGCTCACAATGGACTAGATTTTCTTCATAGGCAAAGCTCTAATAGTTACACAGCGAGACCCTTGGCATCAGCCAGGTTAGGTCTACTAGCTACATTAAAATCACTCCAAGCTATTATTTATAATTTCATACCATCTCACATTTGCAAATTGCCTAGTGACTAATTGAGGCAGTTTCTTACAACAATTCTGAGCGTGAGGTTCAGATTTTAACCCTTCTTTTACTAAGACACAAATAAATTGAGACAAATAATATACATCAACCATAAAAATACCTGAACAGTCTATTCATTTTGGCCATGGCCTGAGTTCTGTGACTTGGCCTGCTCTTGGGTGACCAAATGTTCCAGTTTGCCTGGGACCAAGGTGTTTCCTGGGATGTGGGACTTACAGTGCTAAAACCCAGACAGTACTGGGAAAACTGAGGCAATTGGTCACCTTAAACCCTGTGCATGGCACTAATACTTGGCAATTTCTATCTGCATATCTTAAATGAATATGGGTCTATATTTTTTTATCCTAATCTGTCTTATATGGCTGTGTTTAAGAAGGCAGAGCCTGAAACTGGGTTTTTTGCTGCCTTAAAATCCCTTAGGCCGGGCGCAGTGGTTCATGCCTGTAATCCCAGCACTTTGGGAGGCTGAGGCGGGTGGATCACCTAAGGTCAGGAGTTTGACACCAGCCTGGCCAACGTGGTGAAACCCCTTTTCTACTAAAAATACAAAAATTCCCCAGGCATGGTGGCACACGTCTGTAATCCCAGCTACTCGGGAGGCTGAGGCAGGAGAATCGCTTGAACCCGGGAGGCGGAGGTTGCAGTGAGCCGAGATCACACAACTGCACTCCAGGCTGGGTGACAGAGCAAGACTCCACCTCAAAAAAAAATCCCTTAAAAATAGTATTTACTAGTTGATTGTTTGTTGTTGCTTCATTTGAGGGTATTCAGATGCCTGCTACTGACCTCTGAAATGCTTTTGGTACTGTGTGTCAACAAAATGGCTTGAAGAAAAATGCAAGTAAGAGAATATGATTCTATTTTTATATTAAGTAATCCAACCTGGATACCATTCTCTGTCTCCTAGAATACCTTAGCCAAAAGTCACACTTTATATCTGAGATATTTTCTTTGACAGAAAAACGTTTAAACTTATACAATTCAGATGGCCACCAGTATAGATATAAAGAAACAATTTACCTCTGGCCAAGAAACCCCTTGAGTCAAAATCGTTTCCAGCTGGAATCGCAGACTATTTTATCACTAGCCAAGAGGAGATGAAAGGGCCATGCATGCCAACATTGTTATTAGTGGGATGCCATCAATTGGATAAAGCTTTCATTAGCATTACAGGATTGAAAATCCAAAAGGGTCTCAGTGAGGCAGTCACTGGAAAGGCCTAGTGGTGTGAGGCCTCAGGTCAATGGGCAAGCAGGCTCCAAACACACAGCAGGTAACAGTGAAAAAATCAGAGTGGGCTTTATCTGCAGAATTCTATTCTTAACACACTCATTCCATTGCCCTCTGGTGGGAGATAGCATGACCTATTTAAAGAAGGTTGGGGAAGCAGAGAGGGTGCACAGAAGCAATGGCACAGATGCAGAACTGGGTTGAGGGGCAGGCAGGACAGCTGCCTTAGGAGTCAATTTCTAAAGACCACTTTTAAGAATTAAGTAGATGGCCAGGCCCGGTGGTTCATGCCTGTCATCCCAGCACTTTGGGAGGCCGAGGCAGGTGGATCACTTGAGGTCAGGAGTTCAAGACCACCCTGGCCAACATGGTGAAATCCTGTCTGTACTAAAGTTACAAGAATTAGCTGGGCGTGGTGGTGCACACCTGTGGTCCCAGCTGCTCAGGAGGCTGAGGCAGAAGAATCGCTTGAACCTGGCAGATGGCAGATGGTGGCTGTAGTGAGCCGAGATCGCACCACTGCACTCCAGCCTGGAAACAGAGCAAGACTCCGTTTCAGAAAAAGAAAAAAAAAATTAGCTGGGCATGGTGGCGGGTGCCTGTAATCCCAGCTACCTGGGAGGCTGAGGCAAGAGAATCGCTTGAACCTAGGAGGCGGACATTGCAGTAAGCAGAGATCACGCCACTGCACTGCAGCCTGGGCAACAGAGCAAGACTCTGTCTCAAAAAAAAAAAAGAATAAAGTAGAAATACAGTGCCAGCTAAGTCCAATACAAGACTCCATATATAACTGGAAAAAATGCAAATTGGCCTTACTTCAGTGAAGTAGACCATGTGCTTCAGTGAAAATAAGACAACACCTTTCCCCACTGTCACCCCTCACCAGCACTAAGTCAATTGGAAAGGCACTTAATTCTTAACCCAACTGGGATCCCCATATTTCTTAATCTGCTGTATAGAAAATCCTAGAGTATTTCTCATGCCAGGTGCATGCTGGTTAAGAGTGCCCTGCCTCCACTTCTGGGTACCAGGTTGTCTTGCTTGAAACCTGTTCTCTGAAGCATTCAGATGGAAACAGTGTGGTATAACACTGTGGGCCTTGAGAAAGGTGCTTAAAAGTTATGACAGCCTATCTATCATATGTCTAGAGGTGACTAAGGTCATTCTGCAGCATCTTTTTTCTCTCTTGTATAGTCCCTGCCTGGTTAGTCAGCTGTGGCTGCGCACAAGCATCTGTTACCTTGGGGGAAGGGGTAATATAGGTCTTTTTATGATCTGCCAAAGCCAATCAATGATACTTTTAGCTCAAATATCTTTATTTATTTATTTTTTGTTTGTTTGTTTGGTTTGAGACAGGGTCTTGCTCTGTCACCCAGGCTGGAGTGCAGTGGTATGATCATGGTTCACTGCAGCCTCAACCTCCCAGGCTCAAGCAATCCTCCCATCTCAGCCTCCCAAGCAGCTGACACTATAAGCACACACTACCATACCTGGCTAAGTTTTAAAATTTTTTGTAGAGATGGGGGTCTCACTATGTTGCCCAGGCTGGTCTCAAACTCCTGCAGCCAAACAATCCTCCTGCTTTGGTCTCCCAAATCACTGGGATTACAGGCGTGAGCCACTGCGGCCCAGCTGAAAAATCTTTGGATCTCAGCACAAAGCCCGGGTAACCAGCTCCAAATCTTCCTTCTGTCCTGGTGAGTCTCTCTTTGGGGGTTATATAGAAAAAATAAACTGTTTTTCCCTATACTCATGCTCACTACAGAGCACTTCTGACGCCAGATGTGTGGGATTTTTTTCCCAACACCTATTCCTCACTTCTCAGAAGACACCAACCAGGTGTTCCACAAGTCAACTCAATTCTGACACTATCTACCTGAAGTTAGCATCTGATCTCACAAGCTAAGGGCATGATTTCATGAGACTGCCCCCTACCCTAGATGTCAACTGCAAGTGGTGAGTCCCCAGTTTACCCACAACTTTGCCTGACTTGGCTCCAGATCAGAGGTTCCCAGGACCCTCTCCACAGGTTTGACCGTTTGCTATTGCAGCTTGCAGAACTCAGGAGAACAGTTTCCTTACTAGATTACCAGTTTATTAGGACATATTAAAGAATACAAACAAACAACCACATGAAGAGACACATAGGGCAAGGTCTGGAAGGGTCTTGAGCATAGGAATCTTCTGTCTCCATGAACGAGTTCTGCCACCCTCTCAGTATGTGGGTGCAGTCTCGCTCACGAACACCAAAGCTCTCCAAACCCCATACTTTAGGGATTTGTATGGAGGCTTCATTAGGTAGGCATTACTAACTCAATCTCTAGCTCCTCTCCCCTCCCTGAAGGACAAAGGATGGGACTAAAAGTTTCCAGTGTCTACTCATGGGGCCCCAGAGGGCAGAGACCAAATATGTATTTCTCTCTCTGTTTTTTTGTTTTGTTTTGTTTTTTGTTTTGTTGTTGTTGTTGTTGTTTGTTTAGACAGGGTCTTGCTTTGTCACCAGGCTGGAGTGCAGTGGCACAACCATGGCCCACTACAACCTTGACCTCCAGGGTTCAATCAATCCTCTCACCTCAGCCTCCCAAGTAGCTGGGACTACAGGAGTGTACCACCATGCCCAGCTAATTTTTGTACTTTTTGTAGAGACAGTTTTTGCTATGTTGCCCAGTCCAGTCATGAACTCCTGGGTTCAAGCAATCCTCCCGCCTCTGCCACTCAAAGTGCTGGGATTACAGGCATGAGCCACTGTGCCCAGCCCAAATATGTATTTCTTACACGTCACAGGAATATTCTTTCCTCAGAGGGACTGGTTCATCCCTACCACAGCAGATCCAAAAGTATTGTCTGAGACCTGGCTCTGACAAACCCAGTCGGCTCCATTTCCCTGGAACCTTGGCAGTGCTCTGGTGAACGTGTGGCATAGGCAGGAAGCCCCTCGGCATGTAGCTGCCCTGGCTGGGCACTGAGAGTGTGAACAAACCTCAGAGTCAGGCCAGGAGTCCATCACAGCAGGGACCTGAGCTGGCAAGGACGTTGCTGCAGAGTAAACAAGTTCTGTTGGATTGTGCAGTGCCAGCTTTTGACAGCCCTGATTGACTGGCTTGGGTCATTTGCCTGCCCTGAACTAATGACAATGGTCAGAATGATGGTGTACTCAGATTGGCCAATCTGGGTCAGCATATTTCCCACTGGAGCCAGAAGAGGGATGGGGTACTGTGATTGACAACCTCACCAGGGCCTGAGGGGGTGAGGAGGGATATATTCCTAAAGAAAAGAGGGAGCGTGTCATTAAAATAAAAGGGGAACTGCCGGCCAGGGGCGGTGGCTCATGCCTGTAATCCCAGCACTTTGGGAGGCCGAGGCGGGCGGATTACCTGAGGTCAGGAGTTTGAGACCAGCCTGACCAACATGGAGAAACCCCGTCTCTACTAAAAATACAAAATTAGGCAGGTGTGGTGGTGCATGACTGTAATCCCAGCTACTCGGGAGGCTGAGGCTGGAGAATCGGTTGAACCCGGGAGGCAGAGGTTGCGGTGAGCCGAGATCACACCATTGCATTCCAGCCTGGGCAAAAAGAGCACAACTCCGTCTCAAAAAAAAAAAAAAGTAAAAGAGGAACTACCATTTCTTGGTGAACTATTCTTTCAATGCTTTCTCATTGCCTATGCAAGTCCAGTGTTTCTGCAAGATTCCCATTTCTTGCAGCAAGTGGAAGACTGACAAAGGGTTGCTGTATTTCTTCCTGCTCCAAGAAAAAGATTAACATTATTTTACTACAACCCACTTGGAACATTGCTCTGTTGAACTGTTAGTGGGAATACAACCTAGCTTTTCTTTACAAATATGGTTGAGTTACAAAATAATATGATGGACTAAAATAGAAAGGACACCAAATTCCTTTATGCTTCTCAAAATCAGGTGATTAATGGAAAAGACATCTGAGGAGAATATGGGAAGAAAATGGCATCATTCCCACGGCACAGAAAGGGGTCTTCTTCCAGGGGGCCAGGTGCAGTCACTATTTTATTAATTTTTATAAAATCCCAGAGTAGGGAGGGAAAAGATAAATATAGAAGTATGATTCTTCCTCTCCCTCTCCCTCTCCCCCTCCTCCCCCTCCCCTCTTCTTCTCTCCCCCTTTTTCTCCCTCCTCCCTCCTCCCCTCTTCTTCTCCCTCTCCCCCTCCTCCTCTCCCTCTCTCTCTCAATCCATTTCAGAAATTCAGGAACTGAGGCCAAGGTGGCACCGAGGAGTGTTCTTGGTTGCTATGGATATGTTCAGCATCTGACATTTTTTCTGAGTGGGGCCTGGGAGAGAGGAGATGTCTCTGATGCCTGAGTCATTAAGGGAATGTAGGTACTTTAGTCTTCTTCAGAGTGCCGTCTGAGAATAGACATGGCTGCATACTCTTCATCCACTTCTATTTGTCCAGTAGATTCAGAGAAACAGTGCTCAGCCACGTTGTAGATAATTTAAGTTTGTTTTCATCCTCCCTATTCCCAGGGCCCTCTGCTGTCTCTAGTTTTTGCCAGCAAGGGAAGGAAGAACGTGATCTTAGTCCTTTCTGCATTAGGGTGAATAAGCTGCAGTCATAGCCAAGAATTTTAACACTGTAAACTGAGCTCTAGATGTGGAAAAGAAAGACCTCACCCGTTTGGGTAGAATTTTAGGTAAAGAAAGAGGGAGGGGAAATATTTTGGGAGCAGAGACAGCCCTTCCCAAGCCTCCCACAATCACACCATGCCTATTCCTAAAAAGCACTGTTAAGAGAATCTTGTCATTTTAGGGCATGTGAACTCCAGAGAAAACAGTAATTTCTATTTTTTTCTCTCTACACGTTTTCTCTGTTTCCAGAGGAAAGACTAGCCAAAGACTAGCCCTGCTCTGCTGGAGACAGGATAGCACATTCCAAGAAGCAACGGGGGTGTAACATGGCCTGGATGGCACCCAGCGAGCAGAGGTGGAATCCTGCAGCCTGTGTCTCGGTTGGATCTCTCTCCTCTTCCCCCAGTTCTTGACAGAGCACTGGCCTGTCTCACTTTACAGCCCTCTCTTTCCCCCAGACTCCAGGATACAGAATTCACTTTCACCAGAAACTCTCACCACCTCCAGCCCCGGTAATGTTCACCTCTGGTCCAGGTTTCAATCGCCCCTCATGGCCTCCCTTGCTATCAGTATTCAATCCGTTGCCCATGGCCTACCAATCTTGAGTTTCTACTGCCAAAAACTTTTGGTCAGCAACCTTTTTTGTTTTTTTGTTTTTGGCATGAGAGCTAATTCAGTAAAGTAGAGAAAAAAACAGGAGACACTGCCATATGCCCACCCCCCATATCCATAATTATGAAGTTTTTGCTACATTATTTGATCTATCCTCCCTTTTTTGTTTATTTTTTATTTGCTGAGCTCCTTTCAAGCAAATTCCAGACCTTATATTATTTCACCTCTGAATCTCTCAAAATATTTTTTTTGAAAACAAAATAAGTAAATAACCACAATGCCATTATCACACCTAACAAAAGTAACCACAGTGCTTTGGTATTATGGCTACCCAGTCTGTAATTAAGGTTCCCCGATTGTCTCTAAAATGTCTTCTTATAGTTGCTTTGTTTGACTCAGGACCCAAACAAGGTCCCCACATTACATTTTGGCTATCATTAAGCATCCCTGATTTGTTTCATTTTGAGGTATATTTTCATTTTTAAAAAAGCAATCTGAATAGCATATAGAGGCAGTATTTGATTAGAATGCTTGGGGGCGGGAGGGTTGCTGTTATTGTTGTTTGTTTTTCGATGAAATGAGACCTGGTAGGCTGGGTGTGGCACGGGTGAAGAGGGGCATTGAGATACTGGCGTCTGAAGAGACAAGTGGCACTGCATCTGTCTTCAGACCACAGACAAAAATAACAACTATAGCTAGCACGTAGTCAGTGCTGAATATGCGCCAGGCATTGTTCTAAGTGCTTCGTGTGTAATTATCTCATTTTAAAAAGATAAATTCATTGGGAGATTTTCAGGGGCTGGTGAAAGTGCGTTCTTTTTTGGTTGAGGGGAGGTTATCTAAATGGGTCAGAGTTTGTGAGTGTGTCAGGCCAGGGAGCATTAGCTGATGCAAAATACTCTACAAGGTGGCTGAACTGTCTCCTCAACTTCCAAATAGAAGTCACGTCGAGGAAATGTTTTTGCTGTCACCAGGTCTCAGGAGGTGAGTGTAGTCCTGGTGACCTTTGAATCCTTTGCCCTGGACGGATCTTATGTCTTCTCTTTCTCACCTCCACTCCCATCCTGTGTCTTAAGTTGTATGTGCAGAGTCCCAAAATGTCCCATCTCTGGCAGCAGCCTCTGTGATTCATCACCGGTGGTGGCGGCTGAAGGCTGCCTGGAATTGCTTAGCCTGGCAAGGTTTTCTTAATGTTCCTGTGAATCAGTGGGGTTATTATTCATCGACTATAATAATTTTGGTTTCTTACCCATGAAATGGGATCACAGGGGATATTGCAAAGCTTGGAGGGATATGTTTTGTTAAATATTGCATTCTTAAGATACTCTGAGGTCAGACCTCAAAAAAATAAGGAGTAGACAGTGAAGCCAAAACTGCAGCTGAAGGACTCTAGGTAGAGGCACCACGGGAGATGGGCCTAAGCACAGGGAAACCTCTGAGCTCCAGGTGAGTCAGAGTGAGGGGCTCACAGGGGAACTTAACTACTGGGACACTGTCAAGATAAAGTCAGGGGCAGGCCAAGATTGGTGCTGGGAAAGCCTGGGCTGGACCCTAGAATCTAGTCCATGAAACCGAAGTAGAGTTGATACAGTCCAAGGTTCGGTACCTGCTTAAATCAGAATCCCAGGTATATATATATAACCAAAGGGTATATCTGTGAACAAGCTGGCAAAATATGTCAGGAAGATAAGGCATAAAATTGGGATGGCACCAGTCAGCATAGACCCATTAAAATTCTTTTCCATCTGTCCCCTGCTGAAGACCAGAGGACCTGACACTGTTAGCAGGCCTACTTCTTTTCTTTCCTTCTTTCCTTCTTTCCTCCTTCCTTTCTTTCTTTCTTTCTTTCTTTCTTTCTTTCTTTCTTTCTTTCTTTCTTTCTTTCTTTCGTTCGTTCGTTCTGTTGTTTCTTTCGACAGAGTCTCACTCTGTTACCCAGGCTGGAGTGCAGTGGTGCGATCTTGGCTCACTGCAACCTCCGCCTCCCAGGTTCAAGCGATTCTCCTGCCTCAGCCTCCCGAGTAGCTGGGATTACAGGCGCATGCCACCAGGCCTGACTAATTTTTGTATTTTTAGTAGAGATAGGGTCTCACCATGTTGGCCAGGCTGTATATGTACTTTAAAGGCGCTGCTCTCTGAGCCCAGTGTCTTCCCCATAGGCCTGCCCTGCAGGCCCTTTCCCAACCTACCTCCTCTTGCTGTCAGTGTCCACAGAGCTGAACATTGCTGCTTGGCCAGGTGGATGAGTATGAGGGAAGAACTGCTTATCCTGGCCAGTCCCTGGGCATTTTTCTTAACTGAGAAATAAAACAAGGAGCCATTGTTCAGGCAAAATATTTGGGTGTAAGCTTCCAGCTCTTGTTGTAGCCCTAGTTACTTTATCCATTAAGATCTTTAGAAAAAAAAATACATTTTTAAGATCCATAAATGCCAACATCTTCTTTTCTGCCTTAGGGACACAAATCTATATCGAGATCCACAACCAAAATAAGTAGGAATTTAAATCGAATGGGCTTGCACACCTAATGACCCCCTTCAGTGGTAGAAATATTTAATGATAGCTTAGTTTGTGGAAAACCCCAGCGACCAGGTTCCAAACAGTCTCAGCTGGGAAACCCAAGTCTTTTTCATTTGGAAATTCTCGATGATAGGTTTTCAAAGCAGCTGATAAAACAGTTAATTATAGTGAGGTGTTTGGCTTCTCTGTAACATACACTTTCAACTGGTCTATGATTGGAGCTTCTTGTCATGTACTCTGAGCAGGGCCAACTAATGCTACCGTACTTTTTTTTTCCTTTGGGGGAGAGGCTTCTTAAATTACTACATAAGTAGAACTTCAGATAAAAATGCGACGTCTAGCATGAGAGCATTCAATAGAGCCCCTCCAATCTCCGCTATCGCTTCTTTTTCTCTGGTGCATTTCACTTTAGTTATGCTGGGGTTGTACAAGCCTGGCACAAGCTCAGCACAAACCCACTAGATCTTTCCTCTTGATCAGTAGCTCTCAAATTTTAGGGAACACCAGAACCCTCCAGTGAAAGATTGCTGGGCCTTCCAGAGTTTCAGATGGGACCTGAAAATGTGTATTTCCAACAGGTTCCCAGATCATGTTAATGCACTTTGTCTTGACAGGGAATCACATTTTGAGAACTATCACTCTAGCTGTTCCTTCTGCCTGAAGCTCCTTCTCCATAAATCTGCTTGACTCACTCCTTCACCTCTTTCAAGCCTTTCTTACATGTTACCATATCAGTGAAGCCCAGCTTGACCACCCTATTTTATATTGCCACCTAATATCTCAAACTCCTGGTGCTTTGGATCACCCTACCCTACTGTAGTATGTCTTTTCTATTGTACTCATAACCTTCTAACATTCTGTATAATTTATTTATTATGTTTAGTGGCAGTCTCACCCACTAGCACGTAAGCTCCTCAACCTTTTAATTTGTCCACTAATGCATCCCTAGCACTTAGAGTAGTGCCTGGCACGTAGTAGGTGCTCACTGAATATTTTCTGCATGCATGATTCAATGCTTAATGTTCCTGTAAATTACAAGGGGAAAAATTCTAATTTCTTCACAGGCTTCAAAAGAGACTTTTTTTCCTGCCTGTGTTCCTATTTTCATGCTAACCCCTTTATATAAAATGTCTCCTCTCAATTGCTTCTCCTTAAATCTATTTATTCTTTAAGTCAGATCATTCTCTTTTAATTCCTTTCTTCTTCGATGGTAGCTCAGCTGCTTCTAACCATTCTCATTGGTTTCCTAGGTGTCATTTTGGGATCCCTGGTTATAAAGTCTCTGAGCACAGAGATCATGTTCTGAATAAATGGCCAAATAGTAGGATCTGAATAAATGCATGTTAGGTAATTGAACATTCTTTTCATAGTACTATAAAGAGTGTTTCATAAAAGAATGGCTATTATATTCACAAATAAAAAATTGACAATTTGCAAGATCCCTTCACATTAAATTCTTTTCATCTTCATAAGAACTCTTTAGGCTAGGTAGGAAAGGTATTACACTCATGTTATTTCTGGGTAAAGTAAATTTAGGTTAAATTTAGATAACAGCCACTTCATCAAGATTAAATGACAAAAGTCATGGAAGTTTCTGGCACAAAGCTGGAACTCAAGATAGGTTAGTTTTCCTTCTCTAAGAGATCTTAGAAAAGGCTTTTAGATAAATGCATATATATTGTGTGTGTTCTTACAATGTGCGAAGAGCTTATAACAGATCTTCAATTCTGTGTCTGAATCTGAAGCTACAATTCTGTGAAGTATTGTTTAGTCTTATTTACTAACAAAGTTAACAGATTCAGAAAAGTTAAGTAACTTGCACAAAGTCACCCTAGCAAATGATGGAGTCAGAATTTGAACTCAGCTCCAAAAGCATGATTTTTTTCACTTCTGTAGTGCATAATGCCTCCTTGATGGCATGGAACTCATGTCTTTTGATTCACAGTCTGAGACTCTTCTGTGTACACCAACCGCTAATTGTTATGCTAACCCTGTGCTAATTGCCTGAAAAATATTAATACTGATTCTCTTGATTCTGCTACAGGGCAGTGAGTCAATAACTCCTGCAAGATATTTTTTCTCCTTTGGCTTTTACATACACAGAATCATAAAAAGTTAGAGCTGAAAAGGACATCAGAAGTCATTGGTCCTACCCTTTTGTTTCAAGAATCAGAAAAATAAGGTCCAAAAAGTATAAATGGCTTGCTTAAAATCAAAGCTGGGGACGAGGGAAACCAAGGTATGTTTTGCTCTCTGTGCAGACTTTATTTTGTGGAGTGCTTTTGTGGCAGCTTTTGCATCAAGCTGGACATCTGGGTTTGCGGTTGCATGTAAAGCTGCTTGGCAATGCTGGTGTTGTCAGGTAGCAATGGAAGCCTGGTCCCTTCCTCCTCTGGTGGCTGCGGCTGTTGCTCCTCCAGTTTCCTGTCATAATCACTGCATGATGGTGCATTGACCCGTATCTGCATCACAGAACAGTTCCCATGCCTGGAGAAATAATGGATAGAAGCAGCCAAGACACAAACACTTGATGCAGCACCCAGAGGACCAAGCTCAGAGGGACGGAAGGTAGCAAGGGACACACCAAACACTGGCTGAGAATCTGACCAGCTCCTGTCTGCAGTAAGAGGCTGATGTACTATTGGTGTGTGCAGGATGTAAGATCGCAGGTATGCTCCTTCCATTTGCTAGAAGTGGACGGGGGCATGGAATCCTGTCCATTGTGGACCACAGTGCTTAGGGCATTTCTGTTAACCAGATTATACAACGCTGACTGTTCTAGAGGCTGATATTTGACCTCAACCTTTGTGGAGAAATTGAAACGGAGGTAGTGGGGCGTCTCTCAGAGCAAGTCTTGGTGTTAGGAACAGGGCAAATGCCTAATTAGCCAAAAATCTGGCTCTTCTGCCTACTCAGGTTTAGAATCCTGGAAAGGCTTCTGGCAAATTCCTTGAACGGTTCTCTAATTGATTGTAACTTTAATACTGAGTGTAATCTTGGGAGCAGTTTTAAAAGCAGTACTTGCTTCACCCCTCCCATCTCATCAGCACTTCTGTATAACCTTGATCATGTCAATAAAATGGGGTTTAAAAGCAGCTGCTTCTCTTCACTGTAATATATCAATATTTCAGTTTGGAGCCTTGGGGCTTTTCAGACATCACCAATGCACAGAGTAGAAGCTCAACAAATATTTTTAAAATAACTTTGAAAACTACTTCCTCATTTGAAATGAAAGCTGATCAAAAGTATGAACTTTTTTTTTTTTTTTTTTGAGACAGGGTCTCGCTCAAAGATTGGAGTGCAGTGGCATGATCTTGGCTTACTACAACCTCTGCCTCCTGGGCTCAAGCAATCCTCCTACCTCAGCCTCCCAGGTAGCTGGATCTACAAGCATGTGCAACCATGCCTAGATCATTTTTGTATATAGAGACGGGATGGAGTTTCACCATGTTGCCCAGGCTGGTCTCAAACTCCTGAGCCCAAGTGATCTGCCTGCCTTGGCCTCCCAAAGTGCTGAACCTTTTTATTTTTTTTAATCCTGTGAAAGGAAAATAAATGTTGGGACCCCCAAATCGCTAAGCCAAAGGGAAAAGCCAAGCTGGGAGCTGCTTAGGGCAAACCTGCCTCCCATGCTATTCCTTAAAAAGATAGCTACTAAGACTTAAAAAAAAGCGACATACCTTCCTTACAATTTGATCACAAGGAAATTCCTTGTGGACAAAGGACAGATAGACTCAAAGTCATCCCTCTGCTCACGTGAGACAAATGCATATCTGATTGTCTCCTTTGCGCTATTGTTTCACTAAGCCAGACTAAAGTGTAGTGACTATTCCTATAAATCATGTATTCAGAGAAAGGCTAATCAGAAACTAAAAAGAATGCAACCATTTGTCTTTTATCTGCCTATGACCTGGAAGGCTCCTCCCTGCTTTGAGTTGTCCCACCTTTCCTGACCGAACCAATGTTCATCTTACATATGTTGATTGATGTCTCATGTCTCCCTAAAATATATAAAACCAAGCTGTCCCCTGACCACTTTGGGCACATGTTGTTAGGACCTCCTGAGGCTGTGTCACAGGTGTGTCCTTAACCTTGGCAAGATAAACTTTCTTTTTTTGTTGTTTTTTTTTTGAGACGGAGTCGCACTCTGTCGCCTAGGCTGGAGTGCAGTGGCGCGATCTTGGCTCACTGCAACCTCCGCCTCCCGGGTTCAAGCAATTTTCCTGCCTCAGCCTCCCAAGTAGCTGGAACTACAGGAGTCCGCCACCATGCCTGGCTAATTTTTGTATTTTTAGTAGAGACAGGGTTTCACCGTATTGGCCAGGCTGATCTCGAACTCCTGACCTTGTGATCTGCCAGCCTCGGCCTCCCAGAGTGCTGGGATTACAGGCATGAGCCACCATGCCCAGACAAGATAAACTTTCTAAATTGATTGAGACTTATTTCAGATACCCTTGGTTTACAATCCTTTAAAAGTTCATCTCTTGGCTGGGCACAGTGGCTCACACCTGTAATCCCACACTATGGAAGGCCAAGGCAGGAGTACTGCTTGAGCTCAAGAGTTCGAGACCAGCCTGGGCAACATGGCAAAACCCTGTCTCTACAAAAATATACAAAAATTATCCAGGCATGTCGGTGCATGCTTATAGTCCCAGCTACTTGGGAGGCTGAGGTGGGAGGGTCACTTGAGCTCAGGAGGTTGAGGCTGCAGTGAGCAGTACCACTGCACTCCAACCTGGGCAACAGAGCAAGACCCTGTCTCAAAAAAAAAAAAAAGGTTCATTTCTTGTGCTCACTTATGCAAAACCCTTTGCTCAGTGCTGAGCATATAATAGTCCATGCATATTTGATGGCTAAATGAATAAATTACAGGAACAGAGGAAGTAGGCATGATTTACAGCCCTGTTCTTATGGGTTTGTATTCCCTTGCTGTGTTCTCCCTCCCCACCTCAGGAACTCAAACCATTACACGCGTATTCAATGCACACCCTCTGCCATCCACCCCAGGCCCTGGCACCAGTGAGGGCCACCTGAGTACTTTTTCTGTGCGGATTCACCCAGGGGTAGAACCCTGCCAAATAATTACTTTCTAGGAACCATACGACTCTGTTCTGTTTCTGTAATGCAGCCAGAGTGATGTGCCAACATGTGCAAAGATGGATCTCACTCGTTCATGACACTGTATCAGAAAAATCTACCATCGGGCTGTTTGCCCATTAATTAAATTGCCTGGTGAGCATGGAAGGGTGGGGAAAGGATCTGGGCAAGCTGTTTATTCCCGTGTTTAAGTGAATTTTTATTAAACTTTGAAAGGGAATTGTGATTTTTTTTCTTCCCTGAGTTAAAACCATTTTATGAGCACACACAGGAAAATAATGTGATTCTGTGATTTCCTTTTTCTATTGAATTATTTGTACTGCTATTTGTTGTTTGGCTGTCTTCATTAAACAATGATCTTCCTGCAAAATAAAAGCTGGATTTTATTTCGGCATGATTGGAGGAAAGAGCACTGACCAAAGAATCAGAAAGCCTGCCCCTTCAGAGCCATTTGAGGTTTAAACATTGATTTAACCTTCCCAAGCCAAGGTGTCTGTTCTGAAACAGGTGATCACCATGGCTGCCCTGCCTACATCCTTCTAAGAGATAGTACTCCTGAATACTCCTTGAAAAACGGTATGAGTGCAATGTAGCATTTTTCCATATGTTAAGAATGCCACCCTTTGCTTCTTTTTAAATAAACTGCAGAGATTGGTAATGACCATTCTATTATAAGAGAGACCAGAAACCAGGTCAAACACCTAAGAGAGAAGGCAGGCGGGAAAATGGCGATGGGAAGGGACAGAGGCATTAGACTGCCCCCAAGTGGCGACTTGGGCATGATGCCTTGAAAGCGGTGGGGAGGGATGACCCCGCCAGGGTGACTATAATGAAAAAAGGAAACAATCTAAGAAGAGGTCATACTCATTTCTCATAAGAGCATTTAAATGCCATCAAAAAAAACAGGCAATAATAATATATTTCACGCAAATGATGCTCCGACTCACTGGCTTCCCTTTTAAGGCCTGCCACTTTATATTCAATTCGCTGCTCCGGTGAACACAATGAAATGTTTAGACTCCATTAAGAAACCTCAGAGAAAACAAACCTTGGGCCTTTAGAGTTAGCAGAAAAGCTCTTTAAATGCTTCTCACAAGCTGTCATTTGTGCATTCAGAAAACCATTAGGACTTCCTCCTTTGGAAATATGTGTGATTCTTTAGCTTCTCATTTGAAACATTAATATTTTCTTACAGTGACCCTTATCCTCGAGAACAAATTTCCTATGCTTCACCAGACAATGCAATCAATTTCTGAGATGCTGAGATGTGAACTGGGTTGGTAACAGTTAAGCAGCGTATCTGATGGGAGGAAAACTGGAGTTAGGAGTTGGGAAAGTGGGTAGCATATATATCCTGAATACTTAGAAATGCAGTAGATGCACCAGGGCTTTGGGAGAGCCTTGTGGCTGAGAAGGGTGCTTGCCAATTGTAGTGAAGATATCAGGAGACCAGACAGATTCACAGTGGAGAACATCTACTCTTCCCTCCTAACTCTGTCAGGAAATGGGACTTGGGCAGACACCCGGAGAGGCATCATGAAGTGGCTGGCAGAATCACGCAAACTCAGGGCAATTTCTTAGATTCGACCCCCTGTTCTGTCTCTAGTTGCATGGGCTGGGAAGCCAGAGAGTGGTGTCTTCAGTAGCCCTGAGAGCAAAATCCCAGGTAATTCCTATCAGATTCCACAGTCTCCTATTTAACAAGACTAATACCCCTCTTTTTACTCAACAAACCTGGTTTGAGTAAGTTCATGAATTGGATATGCCTTCCCGGTTCTCCCTGTAAAGGAAGGAGTATGTATGGGTAGCTGTGAAGAGTGTGGGCTTTGGAGCCAGACTGCCAGAGTTCAAATGCCAGCCCCACCACTTAGTAGGTAGCCACATACTGTCTCAATTTCTTCATCTGTAAACTGGGAATAATAATAATTTCTAGCTCAGGGTTGTTGTGAGGATTAAATCCAATAATATATACATATGTACATATATACACACACACATACACACATACATACATACTTCTTAACACACTACCTGGCACAGAATAAGTACTCAATAAATTGTAACTATAGTAATAATAATAATTTTTATTCTTAATATTTGAAACATGATATTATCATTCTTGGTCAAGCTGAGGAAAATTGGAATGTCAAAGACATCCTCTATATAAATGTTTAAATCAAAAGTTCTTTCATAGAGTGTTTGACCTTCATATCTCCCTTTTAAAAAATGAAATTAGTTGCGTTTATTCCTAATCAGAAAGTGATACTTGAATGCAATATAAAATTTGGATATTTCAGAAAGCACAGACATACCCATTGTAATTGTTTGATATGTGACAACCCTTAAATATGGAGATATATGTATATATCTTAAACAAAACCACTTCGTACTTACAGTTTTATAAGCAGCTTTTTTCACTCAACAATATTGTGTGAATACTGTGAAATTTGTTCTTTGAAAAAACATGATGTTTAATTTCTGCATACATTTGACTGATGACTATGGAATCACTTAATGCTGTGTTGTTGAACATTTAGATTGTTTCCAGTTTTTAACCTATTAAACTTATAATGCATATTTCTTCAGTATAATATTTCAGTAGAGAAAGTTATGAACCTTTTATGACTTTTGGTTCATGTTGCCAGATTTCCCACTAGAGCAGTGGTACCAATATACATTCTTCTAGTAGTATTTGAGTATTGAGTATTGACTTTTTAAATGTCGATTTTTCTGAATACTATAAAAATGTTTAGCCTGGGCAACATAGAAAGACCTCGTCTGTACAAAATTTTTTTTTTAAATTAGCTGGGCATGGTGGTGCACCTGTAGTCCCAACTACTCAGGAGGCTGGGGTGGGAGGATTGCTTGAGCCCAAGAGGTCGAGGCTTCAGTGAGCCATGATCGCACCACTACACTTCAGCCTGAGTGATAAAGACGCTGTCTTTTTTTTTTTTTTTTTTAAAAAAAAAAAGGCCGGGCCTGTAATCCCAGCATTTAGGGAGGCTGAGGCGGGCAGCTGGCTTGAGCCCAGGAGTTCGAGACCAGCCTGGGCAGCATGGCAAAACCCTGTCTCTACAAAAAATACAAAAATTAGCCAGGCATGGTGGTGTTTGGGCCTGTAGTCCCAGCTACTCAGGAGGCTGAGGTGGGAGGATCCATTGAGCGCAGGAGGTCGAGGCTGTGATGAGCAGTAATCATTCCATTACACTCCAGCCTAGACAAAAAAGTGAGACCTTGTTTTTATTAAAAAAAAAAAAAAAAAAAAAGGAATTGGCTGGGCTTGGTGGCTCACGCCTGTAATCCCAGCACTTTGGGAAGCTGAGGAGGGTTGATTGCCTCAGGTCAGGAGTTTGTGACCAGCCTGGCCAACATGGTGAAACCCTTTCTCTACTAAAAACACAAAAATTAGCCAGGTGTGGTGACACAAGCCTGTAATCCCAGCTACTCGGGAGGCTGAGGCAGGGGAATTGCTTGAACCAGGAAGGTGGAGGTTGCAGTGAGCCAAGATCGTGCCACTGCACTCCAGCCTGGGCAACAGAGCGAGACTCCATCTCAAAAACACACACACACACACACACACAGAAAGAATCAAGACTTTAGGCTTCTGGTTGATATGAGATTCCAGCAGCTAAACGTGGGCAATGAGTAGAGAAAGTGGTGCTTTGATTAAACTCTGCCCTCCTGCTATTGCTACATGGCATTTCCTTACAGTACAGAGTCAAAAGGGAATTTCCGGGATTGCTTTGTCTCTTGGCTTGTTAGGAGTGCAGCAAATGCGGTCCCACAACTATGTGAAGAGGAGGCTTGCTGGTAGGGAGTGGTCAGGACTGGCGGTCAGGAAACCTGAGTTTCCTGCAAATGGACAAAGGCATTTGTTAAGTAATATTGAATAGTAGCTAAGAAATAATATTCCATTTAGTAAGATTGAGGTCACAGTTGCCAACGTATTAAGATCAACTATTGTTAATGATTTTGCCTTAATGAAAATGAGTTAGAAATCCAGCTCTTTGAGGATAAGCTCTAAGTAGGGACTGAGCGATTGGGATTTAGGGTGCTTCATGCTTTAGGCAGCAAAGCCAGTTATTGGGAGATTGTCATATCGACTTTGCCTTGAAGGGTTCTCTCTTTGCCTGAATATCAGATCATGGCCTTCTTAGAAAAGTGCTCCGTGACATTTTATTGATTAGCCTTCAAAAAAGAGCATAGCAGTAGGGAGAGGTCGGGCCAGTCTCCCTCAGTCCTCTGGGCCGGCCGAAGCCCAGACACCTTCACAGGATGATGGAGACTTGGCAAAATGCTGTATTCACCTGGGAGGGTCCTTGTGTACCCGACTACAATTCTGAAGATACTCAGTATGGTTGCCTGAGACTTCTCCTGGTCAGCTCTTCCCAATATTCTTTTCTCCTCCCTCCCTGACACCCTCCCCTTAACACCTCCCCACTCTGCCACCCCCATATCACTTGCTGGAACACCTATTTCCTCATCTTATTTGAAAAAATGTATTATATTGTCAAATAAATCAAACTGTTCAGGAGGTGTAGCAGAAAAAGCCCTTTGTCCCCATACAGAAGGCACTTATAAAAATCTCACCCATTATCTTCCAGGTAATTTTTCCTTTAAATACTTTTCTTTCATGGAGAACATTCCAAGTGACAGTAAAAACAGAAATAGTTCATTTGGAAGACACAATATAACAGTATTTTCTTAGGGTATTAAATAATGATCCTCTAATTGCTGAACTTAAATCACACAAAAATGCTAGACATAAAAGTCACCTTTTAAAAGGAAGCTTTGCACATACCTCATTTTCCCCCAAATAGCCACCTCTATGATTCCTTTGTGTTGTAGAAAAACCTGTCATTTACAAAGTGCTTTTGTATACATTTTCTCACTTGGTCATTATGTGTTAAGGCAGGCTAGAGCACAAATCTTAGCTCACTGTAGCTTCAAATTTGTGGGCTCAAGTGATCCTCCCACCTCAGCCTCCCGAGTAGCTGAGACTACAGGTACACACCACCACGTCCAGTTAATTTTTTATTTTTTAAAATTTTTTGTAGAGATGAGGTCTCTCTGTGTTGCCCAGGCTGGTCTCAAACGATCCGCCTGCCTCGACCTCCCATAGTGCTGGGATTACAGGCGTGAGCCCCTATGCCCAGCCGCTCATTTTCTAAATGAAGATGCTCAGAGAGGTTGGGTGAGTTGGCCAAGGACACCCAGCTCCCTGCAGCTCGGGTTTGCTTGCTCCTGGTTCTGTGCATGTTCTCAGCTCCCTGCTGTGTTTCATTGCTTAAAACAAAACAGAAAACAGTGTATTACCCTTGGCACTACTTTGTGGCTAGGTTATACTTGGCTTAGCTTTGCACCTAGGCACCCTTTGAAATGTGATTCTGAGCTAGGAAAAAGGCTATTTTAATACATCCAAATGAGGCTTAGTTGAATTTTCCCTCCTATGTGCCTGTGACTAAGAGAACACGATGTCTCGAGTAGTTGTTCCTTTAGTACTCTAGTGTTTGTTTTGCTTTTTATTTTGCTGAAGTCATGAAGTGAGAATTAATTTCCTTTCGAAATACACTGGAAATGTATAGTAACCATTTAGGAAAGCTAGTTTGGTTAAAAAACATTTTTAAAATATGATAAGTATAGAGAGCTTCCTGTATGTTTTGAGTTAGAGGTAGCTAGTATTCCTCAATAGAAAACACTGGAAAACAAAAGCATCTTCCATAGAAAATATCAGAAAAGCAAAACAATCTTCCTGCTTCTGTCATGGAGGTGAGACTGCCTCAGTGCTGGGGAACTACCATACAAGACACCTCCATGAACACAAACCCTGGAACTCAGAGACAGAGGACGGCGCTCATCTGCAACAGCAGTCTAATCCTCAAGAAATGCGTGGCTAACAACGTGAAACCCCATCTCTACTAAACACACACACACACACACACACAATTAGCCGGGCGTGGTTGCGGGCACCTGTAGTCCCAGCTACTCGGGAGGCTGAGGCAGGAGAATGGCATGAACCCAGGAAGCGGAGCTTGCAGTGAGCTGAGATAGTGCCACTGCACTCCAGCCTGGGCGACAGAGCGAGACTCCATCTCAAAAAACAAAAAATAAAACAAACAAACAAACAAAACACACCCCACAACAACTGCGGATGTGAAATCACCAAGACATTTGTGTAGCACTCATTAAAGAGGGCAACACTAGGCGTGGTGGCTCGCGCCTGTAATCCCAGCACTTTGGGAGGCCAAAGTGGGCAGATCACCTGAGGTCAGGAGTTTGAGACCAGCCTGGCCAACATGGCGAAACCTCGTCTCTACTAAAAATAGAAAAATTAGCTGGGTGTGGTGGTGCGCAGCTATAATCCCAGCTACTAGGGAGGCTGAGGCAGGAGAATCGCTTGAACCTGGGAGGTGGAGGTTGTAGTGAGCCAAGATCACACCACTGCACTCCAGCCTAGACAACAAAGTGAGAGTCCGTCTCAAGAAAAAAAAAAAAGAGGACAACAGTGTTTCCTAACAGGATTAGCCTCCTCGTAGAGATATTTCCTGGCTCCAAATAGCTCTGAAGTGTTTTAAAACGGGGAAAGTTAGTGACCAATTCTGACAAAGTCAAAATCATAAATGATGCTATGCTTAGTAATTAAGATTTGACCAGGTTATTTTTTAGGTTTTCCAAAGATTAGACTCCTGAACCACAGCATTAAATCAATGGAGTTTCCAGCAAATGAGGGTGAGAATTTTGACAGGGCTCGGATTCACCTTGACCTCCTCAGGGTCACTGAGCACTGGGGTCACTGAGCACTAAATTGAGAGTCTGAGTCTCTTGCTTTATTCTTGAGGTCTTTAAAAACAGAAAATAATAATAATCAGTTATGTGTCCACTATTATGTGGCAGCTGTAAAGAAAGCCAAGTGAATGAGTCATTGTCCCTTGAATACACCATTCACATTCCTGTCCCCGCACCTTTGCTCATGCCATTCTCCACACCAGACTCTGTATGTCCTTCCCCCTCTGGCCTACTGAAGAAGTCTATGCACAAGCCTTATCTCTTCTCAGTGAAAGTCTCCTTGTCCTTTCCCAGGTCAGTGCTGCCTCCCCTCTCTGAACTCCCGGAGCCCTTGCTGTCTACCTAACACATTTATAACTTGGCATATCATCTCCGGAACGGATAATTATTCTTTTCTATCCTATCTTTGGAAACAGGCTGTAAATTCCATCAGTGCAGCTTATCTTTCAGCCTTTCTTTCTTTTTTTTTTTTTAACGTCTCTGATAGCATGCCTCCTACCAAATTGGTTCTCAAAAAACCCATTGATTGGTTCATGCCTTCATGTAACCAACTGCTGTCATTGTCATCTCTTGGTACTTAGAGACAGGGCTATATATTAGTTTGGGTTGCTTCTCACCATCCTCTGGGTTAAGGTCTCTGTGGGACTGTGGATTTGTTTTGTGACAGTGTATAGAGCAAGGTCAGGGAGGAGAACCACGGTGTGTACTTTATAACTCCATTTGAATGTCCGCTCCCTTTTATCTGTGGCTGTTATCCCAACCAGGGGCAAGGACATAGTTAAGAATTATGAGGATTCAGGTGGGCTGAAAGTCCTGGCTTAATGGAGTGCCAAGCTCAGGAAGAAAATATGGCTTCGGGTTGGGAGGGGTCCCCCTTCTCTCCCACACCACTGAAAAAGGCACCTGAGAAATTCAGTGCAGAGTCCACCGTCCTGTTGCCTTATCTATGGGGATTGATTCCCTTGCTTCAAGAGGGGAGGGAGGCAAATGGATCCTAGTTCCTGGCATTAAATGAGGCTCTTTCCTTAGAGGAGCTGACAAAGCAGCGAAAAGGGCAGTGGGGGAAGCAGAGACAGCAGAAAGTTATCTAGAAGTGTAAGTGAGGAGAAACACTTCAGCGCAAAGGAAATCAGAGTGAATATGAAACTTATCTCGGGAGAGGGAGGGCCGTTTTTGCAAGGGAGCTCTTGGAGAAGGGATTCAATTGCATGGAAGAAAATGTTAGGGAAAAATTTTACCTGACTCTACAGAAAGCTTTGCTGAGTTAAGGGGTAAAGTAATAGATTTAAATTCTGATGACCTGAGGGTATGCGAAGACTAGGACTACACAGGGAGACAGCAAGTGTTGCAGTGAGGAGCATGGGTGTGGGGTAGAAGGAACTGGATGCAAATCTCAGCAGTGGGTTCCTGGCCAGGTTACCATCTCTGAGACTCAGTTTCCTCATCTGTAAAATAGGAATGTATACCACAGAACACTGCTGAGAGGATTAAGTGAGAGAATCAGACTGTTAGTGCAGTCAGTCCCTGGCATGTAATACATGGTAGTTCCATCCATACGGAAGGATATTTCTTGATCTCTTTTTAGGCAATTCTGGCATTGGAGTGCCTGGGGGTGCCAAGGAGGGACACAGATAGAAAGAAATTCCTCATGGAGGGAATGGCCAATGCATTTCTAGAAACAATCATCTCTGATGTTGTATTTGAAATTATTTCCTACCCCAGGCTATAATAGCTCTGTCTGTTCTCATTAGTTATGACATCTTCAGAAAAATCTGTTTCATGCAACTGCTCTGTATTAGTGGTGCTCTGCAACAGAGAGGAGACAGGCTGTGTCTGCTTTGGCTACCTCGAGAGGGAGGAAAGAGCAAGCAGCAAGGATTGAGCAGGAAGCAGGATTCCAGAGCCAGAGATGATGGATGCATTAAAGGGCAACGGTGTTTCCACAATGAATAGCAAAGGCAGGAGGCCTCAGAAGCAAACTGGACTTGGTAACATCCAGGTTACAATTACATTCGTAACTGAAACAGGAAGAAGAAATCAGGAAATACCATTAGTTGTTGAACGAATCAACCCAGAGCTGAAAGTTGGTAAGAAGCCTTTCTCAGGTCCTTTGCCTAACAGCAGTTTATCCCTTACTGAGTAAGTTAAGTGACTCACCTGGAGTAGCTCTAGCACGTTCTAATTAGTCTGTACCTGTCCAGTTTACGAGGCCAGCATCGCCAAGTGTCAGATGTTGCTCCATGCACTCATACTTCTCCTGTCTGTGACAGGAGTGTTTCCCCAGGTGGCCAGCCTCACGTCTAAGCAAGGAGGCAAATTAATAATAGCACAACAATGATTTGGCTCCAAATGAGGAAGGATTTCTAAGATGGCTCACAACTGCTGTTGTGTTGTGTCCAGGGCAGCAGTGACCCTTCCTTGACTGGCTGCTCCAGCACCTACCAATGAAATAATTCACAAAGCCCCTCAGATGATGAACCAGCCACTGTGGCCACTACCCTCATGATTGACTTCCCTCTAGGGCTGTGCCCTTGCACATATGGGCTTCCTTTGCCTGGGGCTGGGGGCAGGGCCCACCCTCATAATACAGGCAGGAGCAGGGCCTTGCTATTCTCAGGCTCTCACCTCATCATGTGGTACTGTTGAGTCTCCTTGCTCTGCCTGCGATGTCTTCTGGAAGGTAAGCAGCTCTGCTAAGGGCAGGAGTGAAATGCTGTCACTCATTTTTTCCTACCCCTTTCAATGAACCCAGTCCACCCTCACACGTGGCTGGAAAGCCTTTGCAGGCCTCTGTCCTAAGTCTTTAGAATCTCTCCAGACCCTCTCCCACTTGCTCACTCTGCCAGTCATTAGTCATTCTCAGCTTTCCCATCAGTGACCTCTGCTTTCCTACCCATCCTCCTCCCTACTTCTGATTCCACATGTCAGCTTCTGTCCTTCATATTAGGAACTCATTTCTCTGGCTCGAACTCCAGCACCCGTTTGGACAGAGTCCCAGCTTTCCTCCACCTCAAACACTTAGGGGTGGACTAAAGCCTTTAAAACCTCTAAGCGATGAAATATGTAAACTATACATTTTACATTATAAATTATAAAATAAATATAAACCCCAGCAAATTAAATGATGACCCTTTAAATGCTTTCTTAACTGTCAAAAGCTCCTCCTGCTGAAATATTTTGGAGGCCTGATTTTCTGATACCAAAAGCCCATGCTTACCCTGCCCACTGGTGATGGGTGCATGTTCCTCTCTAGCCCCATGCTCAGCTGACCACAGGCGCCTGTAAGGACTAACCAGCTGGGCTGCCCTGTTCAGCCTTCCTTGTGGAGTGAGGGGTCAGTCCAGCTTGTGGGTTCACCACATACCTTGCTCCTAGCTCATTCCCCTAGCAAAGTCACCTCTTCTCTTCCTTCCCATCCGCCCAAGACAGTGTGACAATACGTGTATCTGTTTTGTCCCTTCAACTCATTCTCATTGACTTGATTGCTACTCATTGGTTTTGCAACAAAGACGACTAAAACCCCTGGTGGTAGGCATTACGGTAGAGGTATGTATTGACTTAACAGTCCCTCCTCCAGCCAGGCCCAACGTGATGCTAGGAATAGAGAGAGCAATTTGAGCAACAGGCTGAGACAATGGTTCTGAATCCAAGCAAATTTACATGGGTCACCAGAACATCCATCATTTCTCACTACAGGTACCTGAATGCCAGCGGAGAAGGTTATGAATAATTTATTATCTAATTGATTGACTAAAAGGCCATGAGAGGAATAACAGGCATGCCCAGGAGGCTTCTCACTCTCTCCTTCCCTTCCTCCCTCCTTTGTTCTCTGTCTCCCTCTCCCCAACCTTTCTCTTTCTTTTTTTTTCAAAGTGAATTCAAACCTGGGCCTACTTTTTATGCATAACTCAAAATCTTGATCTCATGACTTCATTCTTTGTGGCACAATCCTCCCTAAACCCCTTCTCACACCTTCCTTTGAACCAAGTGGAACAGTTGTACCACTTATGGCTCTGTCTTTACTCTTGAATAATTGCCATTGCAGGCAGTTTTCTCATCATAATTTAGAGAGGATTTAGAGATTTTTACCCAAGAAGAGAGAATTTGATTGCATCACAACAAAAGAGGTCCTCAGATGGACAATGGGGCATGGATCAGATGGAGGAAACAAAACATACAGGCCTGAGCAGTGTGTGTTTTCTAGGGCTGCTGTAACAAAGAACCACAGACTAAGGGGCTTAAAACAAGAGACATTTATTGTCTTACAGTTCAAGTGGCTAGAAGTCCAAAACCAAGATGTTGGCAGGGCCATGCTCAAACCGAAACGCGGAGGAGAGAATCCTTCCTTGCCTCTTCTGGCTACTGGTGGTTCGCTGGCAGTCCTTAGCATTCTTTGGCTAGCAGCTGCACCACCTCAATCTCTGCTTGCATTGTCACATGGTGTTCTCTCTGTGTGTCTCTCTTCACATGGCCACCTCCTTATAAGGACATCTCCTTATACATTGGCACCTTCTTAGGGCCCACCATAATCCAGTATGACCTCATCTTAATTAATTACATTTGCAGTGACCTTATTTCCACATCAGGTCACATTCTCAGGTACAGGGATCAGGACTTCAACATATATTTTTGTGGGGGGGTGGGGACAAAATCCAACCCATAACAAGAAACATGCCTATTCTGAGAATGGCCAGTAGTTCCATTTGGCTGGAAAGTTGGGCATGACTAGAGTGTGGTGGGAGAGGAAAACAATCTAGCAACTAAAATAATGGGAAAGCAAAGCTGTGGACTTATTAGCTTAGTTTACTGTGGTGAAGGTCTCTGCATCTCTCATTCCAGTCCAATAGCTTGCAATTTTTTGCCATTGGTCAAGAGAAAGATAGAGAACTACCATGCAGGTGAGTCAATAATGTCTTCTCTATCTGTCATTCATTCATGTATTTATTCAATAATATTTATTGAGCACCATGTGCCAGGAACCATGCCAAGCAATGGGATTCAGTGGCAAACCAGACAGACATGACTTCTGTTCTCCTAGAGAAACAGCTCAAAGTATGGTTTCACTTGTCTTCAGTCATGACCTTCCTTATCAACATGTAACAATGTCTAGAAGGAATTCCAAGGTAGATTAATTAAAAATAGATGGGTGGCAAAGTTGTGAAACAAAACAGGAAATCATTTTAAAAGCAGAAAATAAGTAGACATATCCCCAGGCGAACGACAAGCCTGTGCAAAGTTCTTTCTATGTCAAAGCCAGTGTCCTTTACGGTATCAGATAACTAACTCCTCCAAATTGCTAAGGCATGCTCGTCATTCCCGTCATTCCCGTAATGCAAATAGAAAACCCTCACGTAACCCTGCCAGAAGGTGACAGTGTAACACATTGCCCAGTCCTCAACCAGTAGCTGAAGATCAAGGGGCACAGTAGGAAGTACATAGCTTCTTCTCCCATGCATTAAAGTTAAGTGATCATGCCTGGACAAGCACCATGGATTGGAAGAAAGCCTTCGACTGGAATCTGGTCAGCACACTTGTTGATAAATTGCAAAATATCTCATGTTTCTGTGGAAAACAGGGCACTACTGACATGTGGCTCCGTGTAATTATAGTCACTAAAGTTAATATTTTCCATAAACTATAGATGGTCTCTGAATTGGGCTACATTTGCAGAAATTGTGCTGTAGTCCTTGAAAACACCGCATGGAATTACCTTTCAAAGTAATAATGTGCATGAGGTATCTCACCTCTTATTATTCAGCAAGTGATCCTATCCCGGCAGGGAGTTTTCCATTAAATAATATATGTTTATACAAAAAGGAGGGAAGAAGGAAGAGAAAAGAAAAAGAACGTCCCTAATGACATTCACAAATACTCTGGCTTTCCTCTCTTTCCAGGAATGTAGTAAGACTGCACGTCACTGTCCCCTTTGAAGTTAGGTTTGACCATGTGACTCACTTTGACTGATGAAATGTGTGCAGAAGTGACCTAAGTCCTACCTGAGTGAAAGCTTTAAGAGCCACAATATGCTACATTCTCCTTTACTGCTGCCTTCGAGATTGTGTGAGCAGATGTCAAGATGGGTCTTGTCAGCATGCTTCCCCCAGTGATGCTGACGAGCAGAGCAACAGAGTGCAAGCAAAAATAAAAGATTTGCTGGGTGCGGTGGCTCACACCTGTAATCCCAAATTACAGGCAAATTATGCCTGTAATTTGCTGGGATTGGGAGGGCAAGGTGGGCAGATCACCTGAGGTCAGGAGTTCAAGACCAGCCTGGCCAACATGGTGAAACCCTGTCTCTACTAAAAATACAAAAAATTAGCCAGATGTGGTGGCAGGTGCCTGTAATCCCAGCTACTCGGGAGGCTGAGGCAGGATAATCGCTTGAATCCGGGAGGCGGAGGTTGCAGCAAGCTGAGATTGCACCATTATACTCCAGCCTGGGAGACACAGCAAAACTCTTTCTCAAAAAAAAAAAAAAATAAAATAAAATAAATAAAATAAAATAAAAGATTTGTGGGGCTAAGCAATTGAAGTTTTGGGTTTTTTGTTGTTGCTGTTGTTGCTGCCACATAACCTGTCCTGTCCTGACTAAAATTGACAGTGAATTCTGCATGTTAACTCCTATGGACCAACTAACCAACACCGTCAGTGTTAATGAGACAGAGTTATCAGATGCATGAAAGGGGCTCCCTAGAGCAGGTTCTCCTGGGTATTCACCTGCCAGGGCAGATCTGTCAGGAAGGCCAAGGTTGGGCTCCAGAGAGGCTGTACAGGTTTTAGTAGGAAGTACTAGAACACATTTATTTTAACTATTCAGTTGTAATGGATGCATTGGATAACTATGAAATACTTTGATATGTAGAATGATAATACAATTTCATTATAGCCAATACTGAGCAATAAAGTCCTGAGAATATTATGAAGAGCAAAGGGATAAAGGAAAAAGAAAAACAAGTCAGCGGAATGCCATTTTAATAGATGGATTGTAGTCATCAAATTAAATTAATGTCAAAGTCATCCATCCTTCCCGTTCTCAATTATTTTAACTAAGCCAAAATTCCACTCCAACACTTCGACAATAACTTTCATAGCTACCTAAAATTACTTCCAGGGGGCCAGGAGTGGTGGTGCATGCTTGTAGTCCCAGTTATTTGGGAGGCTGAGACAGGAGGATTGCTTGAGCACAGGGGTTCGAGGCTCCAGTGAGCTATGATAGTGGCACTGCACTCCAGCCTGGGTGACAGGGTAAGACCCGGTCTCAATCAACAAATAAACAACTTCCAGGGGGAAGGCAGGGTACAAATGAAAGACCAGACTAAAACTATTTCTTTATCCTCGGAAAACTGGAGGTTTATTCTACTATGGCTTTATCATTTCACTGCTCATTTTTCCTTTTCCCTCCCAGCTTCCCAATCAATTCATTTTACCCTAAACCACTGTCCTGCAAGTGCGCCCTAATGGCTTTCTCACATGCCTTCACTCACCTGCCAAATGCCCATCTCTCTCACTTTTTTCTGTTCAAATCTCACCATCCCTCTGGGCTAGCTCCCATCTCCAGGAAGCACTGGCCTCTCTCTCAACTCCAGGCCTCACAGATCTTTCCTGTTTCCTGAATTCCTGAGGCAGCAACAATTCTGAGCACACGATTTAGTGCTGACTTACATAACGGTTCTCTCTCTTTCATGTGTGGCAGTCCTGTCTCTCAATCACTCTACGGCAGGGACCCCAGCCCTGAGCCCTGCTCCTGTGAGCTCCTGAGCTCTGTCCCAGATCAGCAGTGGTATTAGATTGTCATAGGACCACAAGCCCTATTGTGAAGTGCAAGGGATCTAGGTTGCACGCTCCTTATGAGAATCTAACGCCTGATGATCTGAGGTGGAACAGTTCATCCTGAAACCACCTGCCCTCTTGTCTTCCACAAAATCCATCCCTGGTGCCAAAAAGGTTGGGGACTACTGCTATATGCATCTGTGCACACCTCAAGAATTCTCTTCCTTTTCCAACTCTTCTTTCTCAGTCTTCTCTCTTCATAAACAACTCACCCTGTACCATGCATTGAAATGCAACAGGAAACAGACCTTACTATTAAAAAGGGCATGACAGCTGGGCGCGGTGGCTAATGCCTGTAATCCCAGCACTTTCCGAGGCCGAGGGGGGCAGATCATGAGGTCAAGAGATCGAGACCATCCTGGCCAACATGGTGAAACCTCATCTCTACTAAAAATACAAAAATTAGCTGAGTGTGGTGGTGCACGCTTGTAGTCCCAGCTACTCAGGAGGCTGAGGCAGAAGAATTGCTTGAACCCGGGAGGCAGAGGTTGCAGTGAGCCGAGATCACGCCACTGCACTCCAGCCTGGTAACAGAGCAAGACTCTGTCAAAAAAAAAAAAAAAAAAAAAAAAGAGCATGACAACATAATGTACTCAAAATAATTCAAATATTACCTTTACTTATGATAGATAACATGCCCTTTCATAAAAGTATGTTCTATGTAAGATGACTATCACATGGAAGCTATTTCACTGTTTAAAAGCAAGAAAAAGCCTGGTCCAAGTGCAGTGGTATTTACAACTAATGGATCGCACAATCAGTTAC
Organism: Homo sapiens; assembly: GCF_000001405.40. Taxonomy (NCBI): domain Eukaryota; kingdom Metazoa; phylum Chordata; class Mammalia; order Primates; family Hominidae; genus Homo; species Homo sapiens. Next base: position 180,519,066 of record NC_000001.11, on the reverse strand, counting down.
AGATTTCTTTGTTCCTTCTCCACTCCCACTGCTTCACTTGACTAGGCTTAAAAAAATAATAAAAATGAAAGCAAGAAAAGAACAAACTACTTATTTAGGATAAAATATCACAAATACACTTTATTTCTATCTTCTGGATATTTTATATGAAATTATGTCTCTTTGAAACATTTTTAAAACATGCCAATTAAAAAGAAATTTGGGGAGCCTTTCACTGATATGTTATGCTTTTATTATATTAAGTACAAATATAGGCTCAATATATTAGTTATATTAAGTATAAACATAGACTCAATGCCTTTGATGCTTTTATATACTCATAGACTCAGAAGTGGTAATTAACATGTGGGCAATTGTCAATAAATTCTTGCTGATTATTCACCTTCCATACAAAGTGATTTTTTTCACCAAGTCTTTTCAAAAAGCTCTGGCTTTCATATGCTAGCTTTTACTGACGCTGTATATGTGATGTGATGTGTGTGTGTGTGTGTGTGTATATATATATATATATATAAGTCATATGTAATTTGTGTTTGTGTGTATTTATTTATTTATTTTGAGACAGGGTCTTGCTCTGTCACCCAGGCTGGAGTGCAGTGGCACAATCGCAGCTCGCTGCAGCCTCAACCTCCTGGGACTCAAGCAATCCCTCCCACCTCAGTCTCCTGAGTAGCTGGAACCACAGGTGCGTGCCACCATTCCTGGCTAATTTTTTGGATTTTTTTGTAGAGAGGGGTCTTGCCATGTTTCCCAGGCTGTTCTCAACTCTTGGGGTCAAGCAGTCCACTTGCCTCGACCTCCCAAAGTGCTGGGATTACAGGCATGAGCCACTGCATCTGGCCATTTATTTTTATTTGAAAAAATATAGTTTTTTTGAGACAGGGTCTTGCTCTGTCACCCAGGCTGGAGTGTAGTGGTACAATCATGGCTCACTGTAGCCTGAACCTCCTGGGTTCAAGTGATCCTCCCACCTCAGCCTCTCAAGTAGCTGAGACTACAGGTGTGAGCCACCATGCCCTGCTAATTTTTGTATATATTTATATATTTTTTGGTAGAGATTGGTTTTCGTCATGTTGCCTAGGCTGGACCCGAACTCCTAACCTCAAACAGTTCTCCCACCTTGGCCTCCCAAGGTGCTAGGATTACAGGCATGAGCCACCATGTCTGGCCTGTGTGTGTATTTAAAAGCTTTCTTTGAAAAATGGGAAATTTGGGCTGGGCGTGGTGGCTCACACCTGTAATCCCAGCTCTTTGGGAGGCCGAGGCGGGCGGATCATGAGGTCAGGAGTTCGAGACCAGCCTGGCCAACATGGTGAAACCCCGTCTCTATTAAAAATACAAAGATTAGCTGGGCATGGTGGCTGGCGTAATCCCAGCTACTCAGGAGGCTGAAGCAGGAGAATCATTTGAACCCGGGAGGTGGAGGTTGCAGTGAGCTGAGATCACGCCATTGTACTCCAGCCTGGGCAACAAGAGCGAAATTCCATCCCCGCTCCCCAAAAAAAGAAATATGGGAAATTTGAATACAAAGGACTGCATTCTAGATGATATTTGTCAATTTTCTTAGGTATGATAATGTCATATTATGGCTCTATAATAGAATTTATTTTTAGAAGATACATACTACAGAATTCAGGATTGAAATATCATAATGTCTGCAACTTATTTTCAAGTCATTTATCAAAAATATTGGTAGATAGATAATGCAAATATGGCAAAATGTTAACAATTGTTGAATTCAGGAAGTGAATTCAATATGAGTGATCATTTACTATTCTGTCAACTTTTCTATATGTTTGAGAATTTTCGTAATGGTTTATTTAAAAAAACAAGTTATCATGAAAAAAACATCAGAAGCAGAAACATCAATATTCAGGCCAATTAAAAGAACCAGTGTTCTGTGTGTGTGTGTGTGTGATGGCATATCTGCCTGTAAGGTTTAAAGTGCTGTCACTTCAAAGCCATATTTGATGCACTCAAATAAACGTTACTATTTTCTTGACTCATCTGGAGGATGAGGGAAAAGAGCTTTAATTCTACAGCCAAAATAATGGCCTAAAGGTATTCATAGTCATATGACATTTGAAGCAATAGAAATTTAAAACTTATAATCAGACTTCAACCAGAAAAATAAATGGGTAATTTTATTTTTAATCTAAAGACATTTTTTTAATGTCTTCAGAACCGTTTGAATGTTATTTCCTGTTCTTAAGGTAAAATAAACAAAATTGTTTATATCTGATTGTGTATGCCTGACCAGATTTTCTTGATGATAAAAACCATTCCCAGCTTTTGAAGACTGATGTCTGATTAACTCTTTCAAACATAAATGCCACAAAATTAATCAAAGCTGTGGTTTTTTCCCAGGATGATACTCAGCTGTGGACATTAGTATCAACAAAGAAGGGATATTTTGATGAATACAAACTTAAAGAAAATTTAGCATATACAAAATTTTAGTTTTTAGTATATTTTCATTTGCAGTTTTTAAACTTTAGTAAACATATGTTAACATATACATGCTAAACATTTCATCTTCTTGTGCATATTTTAGAATGTCAATTTTAAATTTAAAGTTCCCCAAAATATTTGGGAGAAGAGGGTGAGGCACAGGAACTGGGGAATGGTAAAAATGTTAATATATACATAAGGAAAGAAAATCCAAACAAAAGCAAAAGCAACAATCCAAAGGGAGTAATGATGTAGGTTCAGAGCTAAGTTGATCTCAGCCTACACTGTATGACCCTTATTTCTCATTGTTACAACATTCAGAATAGTAAGTGGACTTGTCAGAGCATGTTTTTTAAAACCAAGCACATCTTAACAAAGCCTGTTTTCGTCTTTATTCTCAGTTCCTGGGTTCTAAGTCTAAAGAAGAAACACAATTAGGGTTTGGCTGCTGTTTAAAATAAAGATATAATTACATAAACAATTTGTTCCATTTACTGTGCCATACAACGTGCAAGGCCTCTCTTTCCTAAGCCTAAGGACCCAAAGAACAAAGATAATCCAGCCAGCCCGTTACACGGGCAGAACCCAAACCTAGCTCCATGCCGCCATCATCTGGTCAATATGTATATTCCACTTGCACTCCAGCAGTGCCCAGAAGACGGTGGATATCCGGAATCCTGAACCACCCAGAGTGGAATTCAAACTCACGGGACTCATTTTTCATGCAAAGAAATTATATTTTATGAAGGCACAATATAAAATTATATATTCTGTCTTACTGAGGCCCTTTGTTCTTCAAACCAGTAACTGAAACCAGAAAAATATTGCAGAAATGGATAAAAAAATTTCAGTTTCTTAGCTTCAAGTTCAGGGAGACTTTCCTTAAAGATCTTTACTTCAGGCCAGGTTCAGTGGCTCATGCCTGTAATCCCAGTGCTTTGGGTGGCTGAGGCGGGAGCATCGCTTGAGGCCAGGAGTTTAAAGTTACACTGAGCTATGATCTTATCACTACACTCCAGTCTGGATGACAGAATGAGACCCTGTCTCTAAAAAAAAAAAAAAAAAACTTTACTGCAAATGCATCTGCAAATAGTTCAATAGCACCTTCTGCCAATTGAGCAGAATGCGTTTTAGTAGATATGAAAGGCCCACACTCCTTAGAAGACCTGGGAGTTAGATCCACTTGGTCAGTCACCTAAATGTAAGGCCTAAGGCAAGTCACCTAATATTTAGGGGCCTCTTCTGGAAAGTAATGGGGCTCAACTGAGACCTTTTTATGGAGAGGATATCCAGCTTAAAAAATCCTATTATTATTTAACTTCAGTTTGTACCACAAAATTTAGTACTTAATTTTACTGTCTTGCTGGATTTTCTAATTGTTTCATGAGCACTAATTTTGTTTTTCCAACTAAAATTTAGGTTACTTAATGGCAAGGATGATATCAGACTCCCCAGTCTGTGTACTTTTTACTGTATTACATTACCTGAAAGATCAGTATCAGCATTTAACAAGTTATTGTTGATTAATTTTTAGAAAGTCAAAATATGAAAATTTAAAAATATATTTACTAATAAATACACACTGAACACATTTAATATAATAGCTACTGCATTTACAACAACAAAAATGTTGCAAATGTGGGCAGAAGTCAGCTAGCCACTATGCCCTTAATTGAGTCCACCAATTTTGCCTTCCTCAGTGGTTCCATACTTATCAAGCACAATGAAATCTCTTCAGGACTGGTGTCTAAGAGAATGCTAGGCTTTTATAATCTAATCCTATTTTGCTTTGTGGCATTTGATTTACCCCTATATTTGTATCATGTAATGATAAATAACATCTCTAAAGTCAGTTTGTAAACCCACAAACACATTTCCCAGAAGTCTTTCTTATTCATGCTGGGTTAAGTTGTCCATCATCATCAAACAGCCTCTGCCGAGGGGGTTTCAAAGTTAATGACATTTCCATTTCCCCCTCCTCCTCCCCTCCTCCTCCTCGTCCCCCCCTCCTCCTCCTCTTCCTCCCCCCCTCCTCCTCCTCTTCTTCCTCCTTCTCTCTGAAACCTGTCACCCAGGCTGGAGTGCAGTGGCATTATCACAGCTCACCGCAGCCTCCACCTCCTGGGCTCAAGAGATCTTCCCACCTCAGCCTCCAGAGTAGCTGGGACCACGGGTGCATCCCACCACGCCCAGCTAATTTTTGTATTTTTTGTAGAGACAGGGTAGCGATATGTTTCTCAGGCTGGTCTTGAACTCCTGGACTCAAGCGATCCACCCATCTTGGCCTCCCACAGTGCCAGGATTACAGGCATGAGCCACCATGCCTGGCCCATTTCTTCTTAATTTTTAGTAGGAAATACCTATTTTTGAGAACTTGAAGATGTGATGTTTTTCATTAAATTTTGCTCATTATACAGATTTCACAAAGACTCCAAGGTCAAGACTCTGGTTTTCTTGTTGTGATTCCTTTTTTTGCATTTAATAAAATTCTGTAATTATTTTATTTGAAGGTTGTCAAATGAACTTCCAGATTATGCAAATTAGATAATGCTGTCTAATATCTCTACCTGCTTATCTGCCTATATGCTAGAGTCCTCCTAATGGGCTTAAAGAGTTGGATTAGAGGTCATGGATTTCCTAGGAGATTATGTTTTAGGTAAATACTGCCAATTTGACTTAGTGCAGTAAAAATATGAGACTTTATTTCAGTGAACAGTTTGCAAATCAGGAATATACAGCTTCCAGCGTGAAACCAAGGTGCCTTTCAGAGAATAAAGTGAGGGTTTGGCTTTTATAAAGTTCCTGCCCTGGTTCCCAATCAGATCAGTTTACGCAAATGAATGATTCAAATTTGCTTAGTTCCGATTGATTGACAGCTGAGCCCTGATTGGCAGAGGTAGTGAGACCTAATTTGTCTGTTTGGGTGAGCTCTGATTGGTTGGTTCAGTTGAGCTCTGAAACTGCCAGAGTTGAACAGAGGTGTGGACTTCTGGGGAACTCAAGGTACATGTATGACTTACGGTCAGCAAATGACTGCTTGGCTCGATTTTAAATTTAGACCCAGTTAGCTGCTCCGGATTTATCTTGAAGGATTGGGTCTTTCAGGTTCACATTTGTTTACATAACACACATCCCAATTATAAATGTATACTAGATAAGAGAGGAAAACAGCTAACTGCTTTTCTGCTGTTTGCTTATTGAATCTTACTTATTTTCAAGTGAAAACAAGCAACACTGGTTGCTGTTTTTGCACTACTACTATGCTTTTGCCCATGCAACTCCTGCCTGACATGCCCTTTTCTGCATCACTTGCAGTATTTTACCGACCTTATTAATTTACTATCTATAAACCCTTAAAGAATGATGACTGCAGCTGGTCACGGTGGCTCACGCCTGTAATCCCAGCACTTTGGAAGGCCGAGGCGGGCGGATCACAAGGTCAGGAGATCGAGACCATCCTGGCTAACACGGTGAAACCCCGTCTCTACTGAAAATACAAAAAAAAATTAGCTGGGCATTGTGGCGGGTGCCTGTAGTCCCAGCTACTCGGGAGGCTGAGGCAGGAGAATGGCATGAACCGGGAGGTGGAGCAGCCTGGGCGACAGAGCGAGACTCCATCTCAAAAAAAAAAAAAAAGGCCAACGACTGTGTCTTTTACACATTCACTCATTTATTTATTCAATAAAGATTTAGCTGGCTGGGCGAAGTGGGTCACACCTGTAATTCCAGCACTTTGGGAGGCCAAGGCAGGCAGATCACTTGAGGTCAGGAGTTGGAGACCAGCCTGGGCAACATGGCGAAACCCCATCTCTACCAAAATTCAAAAGTTACACAGGCGTGGTGGTGGTGCACGCGTGTAGTCCCAGCTACACAGGAGGCTGAGGTGGGAGGATTGCTTGAGTCCAGGAGGGGGAGATTGCAGTGTTACAAGAGTTATTAAGAAATTATGTTAGGCAGATAGAGAGGAAAAGGGGTTGTTGTAAAGTTATTTCTTTTAAAGCAGCTCCAGAAACATTTCTTGTCTAGCAGGAAAGCCCTGGCTCTTAGAGCTAGGCCAGCAACCTTTGATACGCAAATACAGGCCATTAGAAACCGGGTCCACCCAAACATGGCAATTCCTGCCCCCTTCTTCTTGCCCTTGCCCAAACATGTGCCTGGTAACATGGCTGCCCCCATATATCCCTACCTGTGTGGAACATCATGGCACCCTGAATTTGCATCTTAAAAGGCTAGGGTGGGATGGCCAGTTTTTTCCTCAGGCTACCATGAAAGACGTGGCTGATCAAACCAATCCCCTGAGCCCTACGCAAATCAGACACCACTTCCTCCAGTCTACTCGTGTAAGCAGCCACTTTTCCATGGCTTGTGGGGTTTCATCTCTCCACTTTGGAGCCCCTCTGCCCCCTCCCCCTCGTCTGTGCATGGGGGAGCTTCTTCCTCCTTACTTGCCTATTAAACTCTCTGCTCCTGAAAACCACTACGTGTGTCCATGCCGTTTTATCTAATTTGACTCGAGACGAAGAACCCTGGTGTTCCTCCACTCATTGGAACCGTATCAGCAGCAAGACAAGATCGTGTCACTGCATTCCAGCCTGGGTGACACACTGAGACCCCATCTCAAAAAAAAAAAAGAAAATATTTAGCTATGTGTCAACTCTGGAGAGTATAGCAGCAATAAAAACTGACAAAAATCCCTTCCCTCATGAAACTTATATAGATTAGATGTAATAAATGAGTAAAAGATACCACGTATTAGATGCAACAAGTGCTAAAGAAGTAGAATAGAGAGTGTTGCTGGGAGTCGGGTCGCAAGTTTTTAATATGGTTGTCAAGGAAGCTTTTATTAATGTGACATTTGAGCAAAGACCTGAAAGAGATGAGGGCAAATTGTGGATATTTTGGGGCAAAGTGTTCCAGAACGAGGGAATAACAAGTCCAAGGATACTAAAATGGTAATATGTTGGATCATGCTTGACTTGTAGAAGAGCTACAGGGAGGTTCATGTGGCTGGAGTAGAGTGAGGGAAAGAAAATTTTGTTCATTGTAGTATTCTTAGGAGTTAGCACTGTGTCTGAATCATATCAGGAATTAATGTATTTTTAATGGATCAATCAGTATTTTGGTGCTAATGTAAAAAAAGTTGCCAAACATTAACATCATTTTTCACAGAATTAGAAAAAACAATTCTAAAATTCATATGGAACGAAAAAAAGAGCCCCAATAGCCAAAGCAATCCTAATCAAAAAAAACAAATCTGGAGGCATCACATTATCGAGCTTCAAATTATGCTATAAAACTGCAGTTACCAAAACAGCATGGTACTGGTATAAAAGTAGGCACACAGACCAATAAAACAGAACAGAGAACCCAGAAATAAACCCAAATACATGCAGCCAACTGATCTTTGACAAAGCATACAAAAACATCAATCGGGAAATGGACATCCTATTTAATAAACGATGCTGGGGAAACTGGCAAGCCACATGTAGAAGAATGAAATTGGATCCCTATCTCATCTTATACAAATATCAACTCAAGATGAATCAAATACTTAAATATAAGACCTGAAACCATAAAAATTCTAGAAGACAACATTGTAAAAACTCTTCTAGTCATCAGCCTTGGCAAAGTATTCATGACTAAGACCCCAAAAGCAAATGCAACAAAAACAAAAATAAATAAATGGGACCTAATTAAACTAAAAAGCTTCTTCATAGCAAAAGAAATAATAATCAGAGTAAACAGACAACCCAGAGTGGGAGAAAATATTTGTAAACTATGCATCCCACATAGGACTAGTGTCAAGAATCTACATGGAACCCAAACAAATCAGCAAGAAAAAAAAAAATCCCATCCAAAAGTGGGCAAAGGACATGCACGGACATTTCCAAAAGAAGATATACAAATGGCCAACAAACATATGAAAAATGCTCAACATTACTAATCATCAGGGAAATGCAAATTAAAACCACAATGAGTTACTGCCTTACTCCTGTAAGAACGGCCATTATTAAAAAGTCAAAACACAATAGATGCTGGCATGGATGTGGGGAAAAGGGAATGCTTATTCACTGCTGGTGGGAATGCAAATTAATACAACCTCTATAGAAAATGGTATGGAGATTCCTTAAAGAACTAAAAGTAGGTCGACCATTTGATCCAGCAAGCCCACTACTGACTGTATGTACCCAAAGGAAAAGAAGTCATTTATATAAAAAAAACACTTGCACACACATTTATAGTAGCACAAATGCAAAAGATGTGGAACCAACCTAAGTGCCCATCAACCAATGACTAAAGAAAATGTGGTATATAGACACCACGGAATACCACTCAGCCATGAAAAGGAATAAAACAATGTCTTTGGCAGCAACTTGTATGGAGCTGGAAGCCATTATTCTAAATGAAGTAACTCAGGAGTGGGAAACCAAAACCTGTATGTTCTCGCTTGTAAGCGGGAGCTAAGCTTTGAGTACATGAAGACATACAGAGTGGTATAATGGAGTTTAGAGACTCAGCAGGGGGAGGGTGGGAATGGGGTTAGAGATAAATAACCACATATTAAGTACAATGTACACTACTTGGGTGACAGGTGCACTAAAGTCTCAGAAGTCACCACTACATTATTCATCCATATAACAAAAAAAATTTATACCTCAAAAGGTATTGATACAAAAATTTTTTAAATGTCAATATTTCACAAAAACCTAAATTGTACTAAACCCAGTGCAGTTACTTTTGTAACGAGGAAAATATTTTGTCTGGTTGCCCTGACTTCAGTTATGCTACTGAAACAGTTATTGTGTCTGCAATTGGTGGGTTCTTGAACTCACTGACTTCAAGAATGAAAACGTGGACCCTCACGGTGAGTGTTACAGTTCTTAAAGATGGTGTGTCGGGAGTTTGTTCCTTCTGATGTTCGGACGTGTTTGGAGTTTCTTCCTTCTGGTGGGTTCGTGATCTCCCTGGCTTCAGGAGTGAAGCTGCAGACCTTGGCGGTGAGTGTTACAGCTCTCAAGGCGGTGCGTCTGGAGTTGTTCATTCCTCCCAGTGGGTTCGTGGTCTTGCTGGCCTCAAGAGTGAAGCTGCAGACCTTCGCCATGAGTGTCACAGCTCACAAAGACAGTGCGGACCCAAACAGTTAGCACCAGCAAGAGTTACTGCAGAGAGCAAAACAACTAAGCTGGAGACCTGAGCGACTTGCCGCAGCTGGCTCTTGGCAGCCTGCTTTTATTCTCTTATCTGGCCCCACCCACATCCTGCTGAGATTGGTCCATTTTACAGAGAGCTGATTGGTCCGTTTTGACAGGGTGCAGATTGGTGCATTTACAATCCCTGAGCTAGACACAAAAGTTCTCCAAGTCCCCCACTAGATTAGCCAGACACAGAGCACTGATTGATGCATTTACAAAGCCTGAGCTAGATACAGACTGCTGATTGGTGCATTCACAAACCTTGAGCTAGACACAGGGTGCTGATTGGTGCATTTACAATCCTCCAGCTAGACATAAAAGTTCTCCAAGTCCCACCTCCCCCCACCAACTCAGGAGGTCAGCCAGCTTCGCCTGGTGGATCCCGTGCCAGGGCAGCGGGCGGAGCTGTTCAACCAGTCCAGCGCTGCGTGCCTGCGGGCTCCTCAGCCCTTGGGCGGTAGATGGGACCGGGTGCTGCGGAGCAGGGGGCGGCACTCGTTGGGGAGGCTAGGGCTGCGCAGGAGCCCATGGCGGGGTGGGGGAAGGCTCGGGCATGGTGGGCTGCAGGTCCTGAGCCCTGTCCTGCAGGGAAGCAGCTGCGGCCCTGTGAGGATCCGAGTGCAGTGCCGGTGGGCCGGTACTGCTGGGGGACCCGGCCCACCCTCTGCAGCTGCTGGCCCAGGTGCTAAGCCGCTCACTGCCCGGGGCCAGTGTTTCCGGTCTGCCGCTCCAAGTGCAGGGCCCACAGATCCCATGCCCTCCTGGAACTCACGCTGGCCTGCGACCGCCACGCGCAGCCCCGGTTCCAGCCTGCTCCTCTCCCTCCACACCTCCCTGCAAGCAGAGGGAGCCGGCTCTAGCCTTGGCCAGCCCAGAGAGGGGCTCCCACAGTGCAGCGGCAGGCTGAAGGGCTCCTCAAGCACTGCCGAGGCCGAGGAGGTGCTGACAGCCAGCCCTCTGTGAGGGCTGCCAGTAGGTCGTCACCTCTCATTATGACTTTTGTTAATTCAGATGTTTAGATCAGTTCAGATGTTATGTTGGGAAGCATTTTACAACAATCACATATTTTTCTCTTTGCATTTCTTCTTGAAATACTTAGAACTGTAGTTTATAATGAATATAAACACTGGAAAATGCCACAACATTGTTGGGTAGTATTCTAATAACATAACATTCAGACCTTCTAGCAAGGTTAATAGAACTACTCAGCATCACTTAAACAAATTGCCAGTTTGAGGACTTATTTTGCTTCTAATTTCTTAGAACATGACTCATAGAATTTTATTTATTATGCATATCATGTCATCAATATTTATTTTACTTGCAAGAATGACTCATTGTTACCAGAAGATGGGGCTGTGAACACCATATGCAACATGGCCACCATCATGAGCCAGACTGATTAGATCTTCACTACTTCTTTCCTGCCTGCTCCTTTTTCTGCTCACTTTAGACTCCATTTGTCAGTGTTTCCTGCCATTGCTTTTCACTTGTTAGCGGGTTTGTTTGAATCAGTGTATGTTGACTGCTAAACTTCAATTCCTGCAGAACTGTAATACTTTCTTTTGACTTCCTGATTTCTTGGCTGATTTTTCTTGGGATTCAAAGAAACATAAACAGTTAAGCTTTGAACAACTCAGCAATAAGGGGATCGACCCCTAAGCAGTCAACTACTGTTGACTGCAAGCCATGCCAAGAACACAAACAGTTGAGTAACACATATTTTGTATATGTATTATGTACTGTCTTCTTGAAATAAAGTAAGCTAGAGAAAAGAAAATGTCATTAAGAAAACCATAAGGAAAATACATTTATAGTAATTATTATTATTGTACTTATTTACCAATACTGTAAGTTTATTTCTTTTGCTTACAAGATGAATCCCTGCCTGAAATGGCAGCAACCACAGCTGCAGACCTCAATCTACAGTACTTATTAAGCAATTAAACTTTTCCTTGTAATGACTATTCTCTGCTTCTTGGGAGCATTTACAGCATCGCTAGTGGCACTTTGTATAGGTACCACGGTGTTATTCAAGGTTGACGGCAGTGCACTAAACACGATGAAAAATACAGGAACCATGAGTGATCACTTTTTACTATGATACACAATTTACTGGAGAGACAACTGCTCTTGTGGAGATGATTAACATCACGAAGTGTTTTAAGTGGATACATTCAAAACACTTGGGCTCACTGCAATAGCAATGAGAGGTGCCATGAAATTAGTACAGCACTACAGTATGTATGAGTTATATGCAGTTATGATTTAATGCTGCATCGTTATGTTTGTTTCAATTTCTCTCAACTGTTAATGGTGCCACGGTCTGTGTTTATGTGTGTATGTTTTGATAAATTTTAACTTTTTATAATACATTTGTGGGCCGGGAGCAGTGGCTCACACCTATAATCCAGCACGAGGCAGGTGGATCACCTGAGGTCAGGAGTTCAAGACCAGCCTGACCAACATGGTGAAACCCCATCTCTACTAAAAATACAAAAATTAGCTGTGCATGGTGGCGGGCACCTGTAATCCCAGCTACTCGGGAGGCTGAGGCAGGAGAATCACTTGAACCTGGGAGGCAGAGGTTGCAGTGAGCCAAGATCGCTTCATTGCACTCCAGCCTGGGCAACAAGAGTGAGGCTCTGTCTCAAAAAAAAAGTTATATTTGTGTATATTTTAGGGTATTAAATGATAAAAGATGAGTATCTACATATTTTATGCATTATGACATACTTTTCTTAATTTTTCAATATTTCTAGGCTATACAGTTTATCTGTGTTTTTTAAATTGTTGCAAATATCCAAAACTTTTTCCAATATATGTAGAAAAAAACCCGTGTATAAATGTATGCACAGAGTTCAAACTTGTGTTGTTCCAGGGTCAACTGTACTATCTTTCCCAAAAAATGGGTGAAGGGAAACACTAATGGTAAAATATCTGTCTCCTCAGTGTCACCAGATCCTGAGAGTTTTGGGATTTCGATAGACTCTTCAAGAAATAAAAGCTTCTCAAGTGTCAATGTCCTTCAGGCAGAGACCTCCAGGAACACATCTGTAGTTAACCAAGTTGGAATTATTTCTGGTTGCAGTGAGGAAGAACACACACCTTGAGGAAGAATGGGCTGCCTCGGTAAAAGGGTGTTAAGAAAGAACCTATTATACGATTTGGGCTTTGTGGTGATTTGGGAGAGCATCTAAGGAAGCGGGAATATGCTCTCAATTGGATGCAGTCAGAAAGCTGGGGGAAGTCTATGATTGTGTCAGCAGGGAAACGTATCTGAGTCACACGACTTCAAAATAGTAATACCAGTGGTGAATCCCTTGGGGTCTGCAGCACCCTCAATTCTGGCCTCCTCCGAATAAAGTATTCAACTGATGGACATAGGCAGAAGGAGAGACCCAGGCAAGTTTTAGAGCAGCAGTAAAAGTTTATTAAAAAGCTTTAGAGCAGGAATAAAAAGAAGGAAAGTATGCTTGGAAGAAAGCCAAACAGGCAACTTGAAAGGCAAGTACACAGCTTGATATTTTGACTCAGGGTTTGTTTTTGTTTGTCTTGAGACAGATTCTTGCTCTGTTGCCTAGGCTGGAGTGTAGTAGCGCGATCTTGGCTTGCACCCTCCACCTCCCAGGTTCAAGCAATTCTTGTGCCTCAGCCTCCTGAGTAGTTAATTCTGTTTTTTTTGTTTTTTTTGTTTTGTTTTGTTTTGTTTTGTATTTTTAGTAGAGACAGGGTTTCACCATGTTGGCCAGGCTGGTCTCAAACTCCTGACCTCAGATGATCCGCCCGTCTTGGCCCTGCAAAGTGCTGGGATTACAGGCATGAGCCACTGTGTGCCTGGCCTTGGGGTTTTATATATTGGCTTACTTCTGCGGTCTTGCATTACTTCTCCCCGATTCTTCCCTTGGGGTGGGCTGTCCGCATGCACATGCTTGAGCCCACTCGCCCCACTCCTGAGATCTTATCGGGAAGCTGCTGATCACTAGTTTCAGGTGTTTTCTATCAGGAGCCTGCTGTTCCCTGGTGCCAGCTGTGATCAATTATTATTTTAGTGAGACAGTTAACAACCGCTTGACCATCACCTGATGGTTGCCCGACATTCCTGATATGTGCGTGTGGTGCGGAGCCCTCTCCTGCCCTGCTCATTCCTGACTAGCTACCTACTGTAACAAGATTGAGATCTTGGGCATCTCAGTCTTATCTATAGAGAAGTGGCTAGCATGAGAATAAAGCTGCAATTTTAAAGTAGTAGTAGTTATTTGTTTGGGCCAAGAAAAAGGTGTTGTATTTTGTAGTCAGTAAAGTGAGCTTTTTGTCTGTGCTTAGAAAAGCTTAATGAAGTGGTTTGCTTTGTATCATTGTATCATGATTTCAGAGTGACCTTGTCTGCAGTTGCTATTTTGTGAGATTATTTCTCTTCAATAGGAGAATAACAAGGCCTAGCTGTGAGTGTCAGGCCAGCTTCTCAATGTTAAGGACTCTTTCCTTTTTCTTTCTTACATTTTAGTTTTATAATACATTTTTCATTCAAATATACATACAGAAAAGTACATAAATTATAAATGAATTTTCATAAAGTGAACACATCAGTGTACTAATGTTCGGCTTAAGAAACAACATATCCAACTTCCAGAAGTCCCCTTCATGCACCCTTCAGATCACTAACCCTGAGGTTACCCACTATCCTGAGTCTAACACCACAGATTAGTTTTGCCTGATTTTGAATTTTTTATGACTAGAAACATGTAATATGCACTTTTTTGAGTATAGGCTTATACTCAACATTATGTTTGAGATTCATTCATGTTATTCTGTGTCATTGTAATTAGTTCATTCTCACTGATGAATAGTATTCCATCATGTAAGCACACCAGTTTATCTCCATTCTAGTGTTGATGGACATTCAGGAGCTTCCAGTTTGGAGCAATTAGGAATTAGTTCATAGTGCTGCTATGAATGTTCTCGTACATGTTTTTGGTGAATGCCATGTATATATTCCCGCTGGGGAGGAGTCGAATTGTTGTATATTTATGTTCAGCTTTAGTAGATAGTGCCAAACATTTTTCCACAGTGATTGTACCAATTTATGCTCACACCAGCAGTGTAAAAGAATTCTGGTTGCTCTCTTTCCCATGTTATGTAAACTCTTCCAGAATACAGAAAAAGATGAAAACTTCTAAATGCATTCTACAAGGATTCTATTACCTTGATACAAAATTGAGAAAGTATAGAAAAGGAAAACTATAGGTTAATGACATCTTTAAATGGAACTGTAAAGATAATGAAAATATTAGCAAACTGAACCTACAAATTTTTTAAAAAAACCAAACCAGGACCAGAATGGGTTTATTCCAAGAACAGAAGTAATGCTCAAAACTAGGAGGTTTTGAAATAATGCATACTAATTTATCAATGTTAGCTATTATATAATTCATTAAATCCCAAATTTATTTTTGTTAATATAATTCATTAAAATAGAAACTGTTAATATAATTCCTTTCGAAGACTAGAGGAGAAAAGCAGATAATCTCCAAAGATGCCAAAAAAGCCGTTGATAATATTCAATTCTCACTTTAATAAAAATTCTAGAAACAAAGATATAAAAGTCCATGTTATATCTCCTTCAGTCTACTTGTCGGGTTCATCATCCATTATTACCCCACATGAAAGCTAACTTCTTTTTCCTTGCTCCTCCATTTGCTAGCTGTGTAGCCTTTGACAAGTTACTTAACCACTCTGTGCTGATTTCCTATGTGTAGTAAAATAAGAGTACCTACCTTATGTTGTAATGATCAAGTCCTCAATACATTATTCTTAATCACTTTTTAATTGCAAGAATTTGGTCATTAAACATCCCTTTGACTGGATTGCGAGCACCTTGACAGCAGGGACTAACAGTGGAACTTTCTGGAGACTTAAGGAATGTCTGTTGAATCCTGATGCAAGCTTTCTCACCTTCCTGTGTTCTCTCATTGCTTCCTCATCCTGTCCAGCCGTCCGTCCACCCGTCGCAAGCCTAACCCCAGTCAATAACCACTGTTTACAACACTTTCTTTGTACCCTTCTTATAGTGCTTATTACATTGTTTTGAATACTAAATGAATATATAGTGCGTCGTTGTGTTTAACATTTAGGACATAACCACTCATAATGTTACAGTTAAAAAAATAGTTTTGTGCATTCCTCTAGGGCCGAACTGTGCCGTACTTCTGGTTTCACTGTACAGTGTCTACAAAGCACAGTGTCAAAGACAGAGCTCGGGATGAGAACTGGGCTAAGGCGCGCCCCGAACTCCCCAAACCCTATTATTCAGGGCCCGGAGAGGTGCGGGCTCCGAAGGTGTGGAGAGCGAAACACGCAGAGCAGTGATTCCACTCATCAGTCACACAGTAAGACGGGACAGCCCCATCTCGCAGTTTTTCATTATTCAACACAGAGCCCAACGCGCACGCAACAGATCCGCGCGCAGGGCTGTTTGGAGGCGCTTGGGGCGCACAATCTGGGGCAGGCGGAACCTTAGTCCTCAGCCTCGCGTTTCCCGCGACTCCGCTCTCACCGCTACACTACCACACAAACGGCCTCCTTCCCCCACCCCCGGGGGCCCATCCCGGTGGCGGGCTCCGGAGCTCGGGACTGCTAATTTCAGCGAAACGATTAAAAGACGCCCCTACAGCTGACGGCACTTTCTCTCCTCCGGCAGGGAAGGACGTCCAGCGTAGCGTCGCCCGCGCTTCCCCGCCGGCGCAGAGCAGGCCTCACAGAATCGCACGCCGCTGGCACGCACGCCGCCCCGCCCCCACGGCCCAGCGCCAGCCGCGCCCCGCGCTCGCACGCATCCCGGCCTCACTGCCCCTCGACTCCTGTTCCGTTGGAGGGGCCTGAGGCGAGCCTGAGCGCGCTGTTGGCCGGAGGGAAGCCGGAGGAGACCGGGTCGACTGGGCAGAGCGGCAGAGGGTCGAGGA
Source organism: Homo sapiens (assembly GCF_000001405.40). Classification (NCBI taxonomy): domain Eukaryota; kingdom Metazoa; phylum Chordata; class Mammalia; order Primates; family Hominidae; genus Homo; species Homo sapiens. The sequence goes on along the minus strand of NC_000001.11, from coordinate 180,502,460 downwards.
GCCTGCTCTGCACGCCCAGGGAGTAGAAGTGGGCAGGGAGCAGGGTCACGTGAGGGAGCGCGCCGCGACTGAGCTTGGGTCCGACTGGAGCTCAGGCTCGCGACCCAGACTGGTGGGCCAGGCCTCCAAGCCGGCCTTACACCCAATCCAAGGAGGACAGACCGGACACAGAGGGACGGAGCGAGCAAGGAGACATGGCTTCATCATTCCTGCCCGCGGGGGCCATCACCGGCGACAGCGGTGGAGAGCTGAGCTCAGGGGACGACTCCGGGGAGGTGGAGTTCCCCCATAGCCCTGAGATCGAGGAGACCAGTTGCCTGGCCGAGCTGTTTGAGAAGGCTGCCGCGCACCTGCAAGGCCTGATTCAGGTGGCCAGCAGGGAGCAGCTCTTGTACCTGTATGCCAGGTACAAACAGGTAAAGTAGCAGGGAGAGGGTGGATGGGGGAGAAAGACACGGAGCCTTCTTCCTCAACAACTGATAGCAAGCATGTATGGTTAATAGCTAGGTGTAATGAAGCTTGTGTATGTGTATTTTGTTTTGTTTTTTTTTTTTTGACCATCTGCTGGGGATGAGCATCATCCTGAACGTGGAAAAGATGTTTGCTTTCTTAGGAGTGATGTTTATTTAGCTGGACACTGGACATTGTTTTTGTGTTTTTTTCTCTGACTTATTCAGTGATCTTGCATTTTACCAGCCCAAGAACCTTTACAAAATGAGGATAAAATAAGATATATCATTCATTTACTCTTTCCCAGAGGGCCACATGGAAGTAAATACGGTAAAGTTAATAAAACTATATAGAGATCCAAAAAGATAATAGGATTGTAATAATGTGATGCAGGGCTGGGCGTGGTTGCTCACGGCTGTAATCCCAGCACTTTGGGAGGCCGAGGCGGGAGGATCACCTGAGGTCGGGAGTTGGAGACCAGCCTGACCAACATGGAGAAACCCCGTCTCTACTAAGTTAGCCGAGCGTGGTGGCGCATGCCTGTAATCCCAGCTACTCGGGAGGCTGAGGAGGCGGAGGTTGCGGTGAGCGAAGATTGTGCGCCATTGCACTCCAGCCTGGGCAACAAGAGCGAAGAAACTCCACCTCAAATAATAATAATAATAATAATGTGATGCAATGCAAAATGCAGTATTACAACTTTTATTGTGATTTTTATAAAATCCTAAATATCTTTGATTTATGTTTTCGTTGAGTATGTCTTCCTTTCTGTTTGATACAATCTAAAAATTTTAGAGCTATGAACACCAGAGGAAATAATGCCCTTCTTTTACAGTAAAGGAAACTGAAGGCCATAGAGAGTAGGCACCTTTCCTAGGGTCATACAAATACATCAGTCAGAACTGGATTGTAGCTCCTGACTCAGTCTAAGGCTGTGAACTTTACCTGGAAATAGGGAGGTGTATAGACACGTTTAATTTATAATTCAGGGTGACATTGGTTGGTACCAGAAGGAAAATAATTGCTTTATCATAAGCAACATATATTTGTTCAGCAGCTTTTATGTGCAAGACACTTGGGTATAATGCCTACAGAGAATGCAGAGAAGCAAAAACATCATGACACTTTGCAGAGAAGCAAAAACATCATGACACTCACTTTTTTTTTTTTTTTTTTTTTTTACAGAGGGTCTGGGTTTCACCACATTTCCCAGGCTGGTCTTGAACTCCTGAGCTCAGACGATCCACCTGCCCAAAGTGCTGGGATTACAGGCATGAGCCACTGCACCTGGCTGACACTTTTTTTTTTTTTTTTTTGAGATGGAGTTTTGCTCCTGTTGCCCAGGCTGGAGTGCAGTGGCTGGATCTTAGCTCACTGCAACCTCTACCTCCCCGGTTCAAGCGATTGTCCTGTCCCAGCCTCCCGAGTAGCTGGGATTACAGGTGCCTGCCGCCATGCCCAACTAATTTCTTGTATTTTTAGAAGAGACGGGGTTTCATCATGTTCGCCAGGCTGGTCTTGAACTCCTGACCTTAGGTGATCTGCCTGCCTTGGCCTCCCAAAGTGCTGGGATTACAGGTGTGAGCCACCACGCCCCGCCAACATTTGCTTTAAGAGACTTAAAGTACTTGAGGAGTCTAGGTTTGAACATACCTGAAAAATTGCTGACAAGAGTTAAATAACAGTTCAGGAAAATTACAGCTCTTTGAAACACTAGAGGAAAGGAAATTCTGGATAATAGCCTATTTTGTTTTATTAAAAATGTGTAAACTTTTTTTCTTTTTGCCTCTTGACATAGTTACGTATTTTCCCCTGTATTTGTTAAAGGAAAAATAAGTTGGGGGAGAGGTCCTGCTGTGTTCTTTTTTTTTTTTTTTTAACTAAAAAAGTTTTTTTAGAGACAGGATCTTGTTTCGTTGCTCAGGCTGGAGGGCAGTTACACACTCATAGCTCACTGCAGCCTTGAAGCTTCTGGCTTCAAGCGATCCTCCTGCTTACGCCTCCTGAAGTACTGTTATTACAGACATGATCCCGCATGCCCAGCCCCACTGTGTTCTTAAACTGGATGTACTGAGTAAAAATGAACCTTGTTTTGAAGGTTGATGGTCATTATTATGAATATCAGTTAATGTGACCTGAGAGAGAAAGCTGTAGGAACAAATGGTATAAATTATAGTGTCGAATGAAAATTACCTCCAAATTGGCCTTGGAATTAGCTTTCTTGGAAAAGTTGTAGATATCTGTTTTCTCTTTGGTCATTTGTTATACTTTGTCCTAATAACATTAGAGTGAAACTTTTGATTATTTAACAAATATTTACTGAGAATCATATTTTAGGACCTGTAATATGTCTGATGATTCTCTGGGCAGTATGAGACTAATTTTCCCCAAATTCCCTAGAAAATATTATTTTTCGTTCTAGGACATATCTTTGTTTATTGATATTGGTGTCATTATTAAAATACTATATTTCTAAGTCATCAGTGAACTGTAGTCACCTATCGACTTGGGAACCATTTTGTCTCAGGTATACTCACTTCATCCAGATAATATGAAGGAGGGATGTCCCTCATCCTTTCAAGAACTTGACTTTATGGTGTTTAGAGATATTCTGTATCTGAAAATAAAATTCTGCATTGTTAGAGAATAATATGCTTACTTATATATGACACTGGGCCGCAGTTTTCATCAATCTCCTAAATATTTTTGACAAAATTGTGAGATAGTGTTAAGAATAGCATCTTTGATAGAATAATAAAGTTGGAAGTCCAATATCATTTCTGCATATTGGATCAAAATTTATAAAATAACGTTTTGTATTCAGAATAGCACCCTATTTTGTAGGCTGGATGAGGTTGTTGGCAGGAAGATAATAAAAATAAGCTGAAATATGAACCTTATTTTCTCAGGGAGAACTCTAAACTTAGCATCATAGCTTTATTAGTCTCAGATAAGCCTATGGCTTCAGAATAATCTTTTAATAAAGTTTTAACAAAATCGAATGAACAATTTTTTGGTCCTTCTTTACATCAGCCTACACTCTCCCTCCTAAAGATAGCTAATTGACAGCTGTGAAAACTGGAGAGTAATGAAAATTTGTGAATTCCTGTTGACTTCATAAGATACTGTTTAATAATACTTTTTTTTTTTTTTTTGAGACAGTTTTGCTCTGTCATCCAGGCTGGAATGCAGTGGCGTAATCTGGGCTCACTACAACCTCCGCCTCCTAGGTTCAAGCTATTCTCTTGCCTCAGCTTCCCGAGTAGCTGTGATTACAGGTGTCTGCCACCGCACCTGATTGATTTTTGTATTTTTAGTAGAGATGGGGTTTCACCATGTTGGCCATGGTTGACCAGGCTGGTCTCCTGATCTCAGGTGATCCACCTGCCTTGGCCTCCCAAAGTGCTGGGATTACAGGCATGAGCCACCGTGCCTTAATACTACTTTATTAAATATTAACCCTTGAGTCAAGTCTTACATTTTGTGTGATGAGATGGGAAGTACACACAAAGTACTTCTGCTGCATACTGAATTATGTTAACTATTTTGAGGAAAAGCACTTGTGTAATTTCTGAGTCGCAAAATGAACTATATTCTTTTCCAATTTTACTTAACAGAACAACTCACAGATAATTATACCTACTCAAATTTGGGTATTTGGCAGGTAGTTTCTTAAAAATGAACGAAATAAGCCTGTCACTTCAAGGAAAACAACTCAAAGTGTTTGTTGCCAGTAATAACATTTGAACCTTCAAGTGAAAATGAGAAATTTGGAAAATCTATATCTGCCACCATGAGCTTGACAGCTTCCCAGTACTTAAAAACTTTTTTTGATGAGATAAGTGGTGACAGTCATGAATGTGAACGTTTGCTGTTATATCATGAAATGTGTCAACATTTGAAAAGTCTGTGTAACTCAGTAAACCATATTTTCTAAATATTTCATGGAATGATGTTACAAATTATGTGTTGGTAAAAGATGCCTTTCAAAGTGCAAGTCAGACCAATGGATTTCAGTGTTAACAGTATGAAAAATTCATTGATATGAGTTCAGATTCCTCGTTGCAACTGACCTTAAACTACCATCTGTTAGGTTTTGGCATAGTATCAAAGAAGAATATCTACAATTATCTGAAAATGCTGCTAAAATACTTCTCTCTCTTTCTAACAACATATCTGCGTGAAGCCGAATTTTCTTCATATACTTCAACCAAAACAACATATTGCAGTAGACTGGATGCAGCATTAGATATGCAAATGCAACTGGCTTCTACTAAGCGAGACATTAAAAAAATTAAAAAATGTAAAACAGTGCTACTTTTCTCACTAATTTTTTTTAGAATATGTAGTTATTTTGCATGAAATGTTATTTATGTTAACATCTAATGGGTTTATTATTTTTAAATGAATTAATACACATTTTTTAAATGTCCCAGTTTTAATTTCTAATGTGGTAAATATCGATAGATATAACCCATATAAATGATGGCTCTTTAAGATCCTTAATTTCTGAGAGTATAAAGGGATTACAAGACTAAAAAAATTGAAAACTGCTGCCCTAAGTTCCTTTTTCATGGTCAGAGGTGGCTTACCATCACCACATGTATATCCTATCCAGAGCAAAGGGAAAGGGGAAGACAAGCTCCTTTTCTTTTTAAGGAAGGTATTTGTATCACTTTTCCACACATCCAGTCCCCAGAACCTAGGCAGAAGTTGGATGGCCATGTATAATGTTTAGCCGGATGATCATGTGTCCAGCTGAGACTTCTGTTACTATAGGAGAAATGGAGAACTATTGGCATTTGTTTCTGCCACTGGATAGTGTCTGGATAAAAAACAAAAATAGTTATAATTGCTATTTTTATGTCTTAAAGTTTGTATAATTTATCTCATTTATTATTTCTAACAGTCTGGTAGTTCATGTGATTTTAGAGAGTCCAGAATTGAAGCCCAGACTCTATTTAGCATTTAAGACAGAATGATGTAGTAAAGGGATATTGAGCTTTGGAGTCAAACACTCTTTGATTTAAATCCGGACTACTAATTCAGGATATACTAATGTGTGAACTGAGACAACCCTCCTGAGCTTCTCTCTTCATTTATAAAATGAGTTTGTGATGGCATACCTAGCAGGATTTTTTTTTTGGCCCATTTGAGATAAAATATGTGAAGTGTTTGGTCTATCGTGATTGTTCAAGAAATGTGGCTCCTTCTTTTTCACCCTTTCTTCTCTCTATTCCATCATAACAGGGCTGCTTCTATGTAAGTATACATTTTAATAACAGCATAGGGCCATGCAATTAATCGCTAAGCAAATGATAGAGGTGGTAATTGTTATGAATTCAGAGGTAGATGAGATCATTGTAGACTGAAAGGGTTCTTAGAATCTGAAATTTGAGTAGAACTGGAAGGTCGTGCAGCATCTTGAAAAGCTGAGGAAAGAAGAAAAGGCATTTCAGGTGAGTGGAGTAACAAGCAAAACCCTGAACTAGGAATACCTAAGGCAGTCAGTAGATCATTCTGGTTAGATGAAGGCATCAGTTAGAGTAATGGGAAACAGTGGGAAAATCCCTGAGAAGTAGATAGGTTCTGTGGATGAGTTAAGAACAGTTACAGGCTCTATTCTAATAGAAAGATGAGACTTTACACAAAACTTTCTAAACACATGGTAGAAAAAGTGAAAAGTACCATAAAAGATATATAGAGTAAATGCTCTAAGAGTTCATAAGGAAGGAAGATGACTTCTGGCAGTGGGAATCAGGGCCTGTATAGTGAATTCTGCACTTGTGTGAATTTCATTTATGCTTATTCTTAATGAAAATTTCACTGTGCAGTTTAACTACAAATGTCGGTTGAGGATTAAAATTAAGTATTGACCTCAAACAAAAGATGATAAGACTATTGTAGAAAAACGGAATTGTATTTTTGAGAACCCATGAAATTTTTTGCATGGCTTTTGGCATCCAAATTTATATTGATGAATTTCATAATAGGGTACTTTAAAAGTAGTACACTGTTTTCCCTGGAATTTTGGAGAGTTAAAATGCTAATAGCGTTATGAGAATCAGCATGAAGAAACAGTGTTATGAATTCTGATAAATTATGAATTCTAAACCTTATTAATTTCATATTAAAAATTCTTTTACTTTATACATGGTAATAAAGAGTATTTAATCTATATTGATAACTTGTCTTATATATAGTCTACTAACTTCGAAGTGCAACCGTTTATCACAGTTTTTCTGTATTACAGTATTAGATAATAGTTGTTTTATGCAGTAAGCCAAAGTAGGCTGTATGTAATGTTTGATTCTGTTTGATTGTTTTTGTTTGCTTTGGCAAAGAATGTTAAATTTTGCTATTCCATATAGATGCAAATATTTTCCAACCTATGGTTACTGAATATACATAATACATTTGAAAAGGAAAAGTTTCCCAGACATTTCTTTGAAAAATAAGTTCTTGATTTTCCTTCCCTCATTTAGGTCAAAGTTGGAAATTGTAATACTCCTAAACCAAGCTTCTTTGATTTTGAAGGAAAGCAAAAATGGTAAGAAATTCCTGGAATCTTTAATGAGGTTGTTGGAAATGGCTTAGGTGTTTAGGAATTAGAAAGCAGTGAGCTGATTAAAGAATTATTTTTATATTAATCTCTCTCTCTGCTGTAGATTGTACTAATGACAGGCAATTGGGAGAGATTAAAGAAATCTACTTTTAGCTAAGTCTCCTGAAGGATTCTTATGCTAGCATGTTGGAATATAAGTGGTTCACAACAGACATACATGCCTTACATTTTAATACCATGAGAGCTATTGCTTGAGATTTTCCTTTCCTGTCATTCAACCCCTAATGGATCACCACTTCTCCCCTCTGGAGGGATTTTTGGAAGAAGGCCAGAATGATGGGAAGGGCAGAAGAGCAGGATAAATCCCCATTTTTCACCCATCTTCCTTGTCCCAGTTTTATCTCCCTGTCTCTTGCTACTTACTCTTGTGTTCCTTGCCCCACCCATGCCACAGTAAATAACTGCTTATAGTACTCTTGGGAAGAAGGGAAAAATTCAGTGAAAAGCCAAAACCAGATACTAACTTCTCTTTTTCTCTGAATATATAAAAAAAAGAGTATACTTTTGCAAACTTTTTTAACTTATAATTCAGAAGTTCCCCCTTGTCATTTATGAGACCTTATCTTCTCTTACCTTGTCTAAGTGAAAGAAGAGAAATTGCATACAACTGGGAATCTTAGTTATAGAAGGGAAGGCTTTGGAGCATCAGCCCTGGAATTAAGGTTAGAAGGTAGAGTTAGAAAAGAAAAAAGATAAAATATGGTTATAGAGAGAGGAAGTGATAAAATATGGGTTCTTACTTTACATTCTAGAGCAGTCCCACATAAAATCTGGTCCCCTGGATACATTTCCTGCCTGCCAACTGTTTGTTACCCAACTGTTAGGAGATACAGAGCTTGAACCCAGATATAAATCACGTATGTCACTAACCACGCTGTTTAGTTCAGCTGATTTTTTTTTGTATAGGACAGTCTCAGTGAAGGAAGCAGTGCATTGATTATATTCTTGCACAAGTTTTTTGGTTGATGATAACCAGCCAACATATTATTACTGTTCTAAAGAATACCTGATGTTAACGTTGACAGTGAGTTTTTTGTTATAATTTATGAAATTTTATACCTTTATTTTTTTCTGTGCTTTGCCTGTTTCTCCATTGTTTTTAGCAATTAAAAAATTTAGATTTTATAGCCACCATAATAATAGTTTATGCAAGAACATCAACGAATGATTAAATATTAGATGATAAAATATTGGGGAACTGTTAGAGAAAAACTATTGAGGAAAATTTTTGTTAAAATGCTAGGTGAAAAACTATTGGGGAGCAAAACCGTGGGTTACAGGCTGACCCACCATTTACTTTTTAATTATGAGAGAGAAACCTGACAGTTACTGCCGTTACCAAACCATGAATCTTATTGATGATGGGACAGACTAACATCACGTGCCCCCAGTGTGATGCATTGAAAAGGGCATGTCACCTATATATTACTCTGCTGAAATAATTTAACCCAATTCTAATCATGATTAATCATTTTTGGCAAGAACACTGTAGGTAAGGAAACAATTAGACAAATTCAAATTGAGGGATATGTTATAAAACAGTTGGACTCTTAAAAAATACCAACAATGTGGAAGACAAAAAAGCTGAAGATACATGAAACTCAATGCTGTGTGTGGATCTTGATTGGTTCCTGGTGTGGGAGAAGAAAGCCATAAAGGACATTATTGGGACAATCAGGAAAATCTGAATGTATAGCCTCTATATTGTATAATAGTAATTGATGATAAATTTCCTGAGTTTGTGTAAGCTGATCTATTTAGGGATGAAGTGTTATGATGCGTATAAGTAATTCTTAAGGAATTCAGTGAAAATAAATTTAGAAAACCTCAGAAAGATATTATATTCATCATAGAAGCAGGAAGGTAGTGAAAAAATGTGGGATTGAGTTCTGTTTGACAGCAAATCAGGGAAATCGAGAAACACTGGTTGGAATTTAGAAAGAATTGGCAGGGAAAAACCAAGAAGAAGGCCTGTCCTGGCAGCCTGTTGTGGGGGCAGGGGGGTAGATGACCCAAAAGGAAGCTCAGGACTAAAATGTTGCTTTTGCCATTTATATTGTAGGAAGTCCCTAACTTACTCATTAGTATTCTTTAGTTGCTGTTGTTGTTTTTTTTTTTTTTTTTTTTTTTTTTTTTTTGAGACAGAATTTTGCTCTGTTGCCCAGGCTGGAGTGTGGTGGTGCCATCTCAGCTTACTGCAACCTCTGCCTCCCAGGTTCAAGCAATTCTCCTGCCTCGGCCTCCAGAGTAGCTGGACTACAGGCGCACACCACCACGCCTGGCTAATTTTTGTATCTTTAGTAGAGATGGGGTTTCACCATGTTGGCCAGGCTGGTCTCAAACTCCTGACCTCAGGTGGTCCACCTGCCTCAGCCTCCCAAAGTGCTGGGATTACAGGCGTGAGCCACCAAGCCTGGCCAGTATTCTTATTTCTGCCCTCACCATCCCTTACTTTTGAAGTCCCAGACTAAGTCCCCAGGATCAGTTACTAGAAGCTTATAGATGAGATAACAGCAGAAAGGGAAGGTGGATTTCTTGTATCTTAGTAAGAAGTTTGATGCATTTTCCTTGGGAATATTGTTTTTTATGTGATGATTAGTTTCTGTACGACCAAAATGCCATAAGCACAGTTAATTTATGAGAATAATCTCTATTAGTCTGTAGATCATATATCCTCAATAGGGGTGAAATTTTGTTTGAGGAAATTATAAAATCTTAGATTACAGTGGTTTGTGGTCTTTCAAAATTTAATAGCTATGCATTGTATCTGTGTTTTTAAAATTTCACGGGGAGGACGATTAGGAAAAAAAATGTCTGAAAAGACTGCTTAGGTAGGGCAATAAGGTCTGTATAGCTCTAGACCAATGTAAATGCAAAAAGACAGAGCTTCTCTATCCATAGCTTATTATCTCTATATTCAGAGACCCTTGAAATGTGCATACAGTTTTTTTAATAATAAGAAAAATGCTGTTTGTGTTATTTGCATAATGACAGGCCATTTTGGATATTCCATATTGTAGGGAAGCTTGGAAAGCACTTGGTGATTCAAGCCCCAGCCAAGCAATGCAGGAATATATCGCAGTAGTTAAAAAACTAGATCCAGGTTGGAATCCTCAGGTAAGACTTAATGATTATAAATAATACTTTCCAAAAACTTATGATCCTTCTCTGAAATAAATGTCTAAAACTAAACTTAGTTTTAAGTAACATGCTTAAAGTTTTACTTTCTTGAAATATTTTAAAGTTATTGTAATATTTATCTAATAAAATAATTGCTGGCCAGGTGTGGTGGCTCATACCTGTAATCCCAGCACTCTGGGAGGCCAAGCCAGGTGGTTCACCTGAGGTAAGAGTTCAAGACCGGCCTGGCCAGCATGGTGAAATCTCATCTCTACTAAAAATACAAAAATTAGCTGGACGTGGTGGTACACACCTGTAATCCCAGCTACTCAGGAAGCTGAGGCAGGGGAATCAATTGAACCTGGGAGGCTGAGGCTGCAGTGAGCCAAAATCAGGCCACTGCACTCCAGCCTGGGTGACAGTGTGAGACTCCATCTCAGAAAAATGAAAAAAATTAATAATAATTACTTAAATAGTAATATAACCAGCTACTGATGCTGAGAACTTCTCTGAGTTGCAGAGTTTTTGAAAGCAGAAAAATTTGAATTACATAAGAATTGGAAAGAGTTTAACTTGAGATTATCATGCTGGAAAAAAGGTTACTCTTGGATTTCGTTTTTATGATCACTTTCTATGCAAGGGCAAAATGCTTATTAGGGATAAAAGATGAATAAGACATGATTTCTGCCATTATGTAGTTTAAAGTGTAATAGAGAAGATAAAACATATCAAAATATATATCTTTAATAGTATAAAACAATAATAATGTAAATGCTAGGGAATCCAGCAGGAAAAGGGATTGCTTTGGACTTTGGAAGCATTGGATATTGTTCACTTAAATATACCCTGTTTTTCTCATATACTTATTGGAGAACATCTAGAAAGAATTTAATAAAGGTGAGGTTACTATTTAAGAATATTGTTAAATGATTAACAGGTATTTCAGTGAGATAGAGGTTGCATTGTACCATGTAAAAAATGCAAATTGAATTTTTTTCAATAAAAATATTAAGGCCAAACATTTTAGCAGTTAATGAATTAAACAATTTTCAGTGTTTTTGTAATAATTACATAATTTCATGTGTACATAGTTGTTACTGGTATGAAGGAATTTGTTCCATTAATCATGGAATCTTAAAAATCTCAGACTTGTTAGGAACTTTAAAAGATTATATATTATGACATATTAAAAATGTATCTTAAGAGTACAAAGTGGGAGTGATAACCAACTTTGGATATCTTTAATGATATGACTGCCTTTTAGAAGTCATTGAAAAATGTCCTTTTTTTTTTTTTTTTTTTTTATATGAGACAGAGTCTCACTCTATCACTCAGACTGGAGCACAGTAGTAGGATCTTGGCTCAACGTAACCTCCACCTCCCAGGTTCAAGTGATTCTCCCACTTCAGCCTCTGGGACTATAGGTGCACACCACTACACCTGGCTAATTTTTAAATTTTTTTTCTTTTTTTTTTTTTTTGAGACAGAGTCTCACTCTGTCGCCCAGGCTGGAGTGCAGTGGCGCAATCTCGGCTCACTGTAAGCTCTGCCTCCTGGGTTCCCGCCATTCTCCTGCCTCAGCCGCCTGAGTAGCTGGGACTACAGGCGTCCACCACCACACCCGGTTAATTTTTTTATTTTTATTTTTATCTTTAGTAGAGACGGGGTTTCACCGTGTTAGCCAAGTTGGTCTCGATCTCCTGACCTCGTGATCTGCCCGCCTCGGCCTCCCAAAGTGCTGGGATTACAGGGGTGAGCCACTGCGCCTGGCCTCTTTTTTTTTTTTGTAGAGATAGGGTTTTGCCATGTTGGCCAGGCTGATCTTGAACTCCTGATCTCATGTGATCCACCCGCTTCGGCCTCCCAAAGTGCTGGGATTATAGGCATGAGAAATTTCCTTATGTTTCTGATGTGCATGAGTCTTCATTTTCAGAAATTTTCTATTTTATTATCTTTTATAAGACACCAAATATGCATACAAATATGTTTCTCAAGGTTCTGAGGGCTTAAAATCTGAAAATCAGTGCTCAAAACAGGTGCCCCCTGAGCTGAACTCAGCCTGAACAACTGTTGCACAATGTTTAGAAATGAAACAAAACTTGAATGTGAGTGCCTTTAGGCAGAGTATTTTTCAGGTCCAGTCACTGTGTTCTCATCCTTCCCTGTTGATTTATACTACACTATTGGTGATGCTTGGCCTATGAAGGCATTTTAGTTTATAAATTCTGATAAAAGACAGAATTTATGATTTCTTACCTTCAGTACTTTAGTAAAATTTTGTTAACTATTACTCTTAAAATGCTTGCAGGCCAAGCACAGTGGCTCACGCCTGTAATCCCAACACTTTGGGAGGCTGAGGCGGGTGGATCACCTGAGGTCAGGAGTTCGAGTCCAGCCTGACCAACATGGTGAAATCCCGTCTCTACTAAAAAAATGCAAAAATTAGCCAGCAATGGTGGCAAGTGCCTGTAGTCCCAGCTATGCGGGAGCCTGAGGCAGGAGAATCGCTTGAACCCGGGAGGCAGAGGTTGCAGTGAGCCGAGGTTGTGCCATTGCACTCCAGCCTGGGCGACAGAGCAAGACTCCATCTCAAAAAAAAAAACGACTTGCAGATTCCAAACAGGTGTTGAGGATGGTTTTTAAAAATGTCTAAATCTAACCTATTGAACATACACTTGAGTAAACCAAGCAGAACCAAAGGCACTTTCATATTCTTTAATTAATTATTTAATACATTAAATAATAAACTTTAAAAAATTAATATATTTAATACATTAAATAACATTAAAAGAATATATAACATACTATTCTAAAAGTATTTTAACATTGGAATCCAGTTGTAAGGAGGAATTTTATTTTTTATTTACATTTTAGTTTTTAGTTTAAACACTGAGCTGGTCCCCTTTGACTCATAGCTTTTTTTTTTGTCTTTACTTTTAAACTGTTAGGAGGCAGATCATAACCTCCATCTCAGAAGAGATTTGGCATTTAGTTCATTATCTTTTAGGTTAAATAATAATTTTCTTTTGATATTCTAAAAAATAAAATAAAATAAGAACAACACTCATTCTGAATGTGCTGAGTTTTTTTTTATTTTTTTGAGATGGAGTCTCTCTCTGTCACCCAGGCTGGAGTGCAGTGGCACAATCTCAGCTTACTGCACCCTCCGCCTCCCAGGTTCAAACAATTCTTCTGCCTCAGCCTCCTGAATAGCTAGCATGAGCCACTGCACCTGGCCTGAATGTGCTGAGTTCTTTACATGTATTGTCTTTTGATATCTTCACAAAAAGTCTTCACAGTTAGAAACTACTATAATCTGCATTTCAAAAACGAGGAAATTCAGACACAGACAGATTTAGTAACTTGCCTAAAATTAGCCAGCTAAGGCCAGGTGTGGTGGCTCACTCCTGTAATTCCTATAATTTGGGAGGCTGAGGCAGGAGGATCACTTGAGGCCAGGAGTTTGAGAGCAGCCTGGGCAACAAAGCAAGACCCCATCTCTATTTTAAAAAAAGAACAAAAAAATTAGCCAGGCATGGTGGTGTGCCCTGTAGTCTCAGCTACCTGGGAGACTGAGGTGGGAGAATCCATTGAACGTAGGAGTTCAGGGTTGCAGTCAGCTATGATTGCACCACTGCACTCCAGTCTGGGTGACAGAGTGAGACCCCATCTCAAAAAAAAAAAGCCAACTAACAAAAGATGGCACTGGATTTAGACCTATATTTATATGAGTCCAGAGCCCTGTTGTTAACCACTCTGCTATCTGTTCTACAGCTGATATTGGAAATATATCTATAAGGTATAAACTTAAGTGTATGTATACGTGTAAAAAATTCAAGGCAGCTATTTTTGTCAAAGCTCTGTGGTACCTTGAGGTATAAAACAATGCTTTAAAATTCATCTTTAAAAATAACTATGTTTTCTGTTATGTGTTTCATCTTATCTCAAGAATATGTTGTTCAATGTCTACTATAATTAAGGCAATTATTTTGCCTTTGTTTTGGGGGGAGGATAAGTTTTTTTTTGTTTTGTTTTTACAGTTTCGAATAATATAAGGAACTTCTGTAAGGCCTTTATCCAGATTCACTGCTGGTTATATTTGCTTTATCATTCTCTTTCTTTACACATAGACACACATGTATGTAACACACACACACACACAACACACACACAAATACATTTTTTCCGAATTGTTTGAGATAAGTTGGAGACATCATGTTCCTTTATCACTGGTTCAGGATTTTTTTCCTAAGAAAAAGAACCTTTTCTTATGCAGTGGTCCCTCCTTATCAGGGGATACGTTCCAAGACCCCCAGTGAGTACCTGAAACTGTGGCTAGTACTAACCTGATTGCTATCAGTTGGAAAACATTTCTGTGCATGTCTTCAATCCACAAAGTAAATGTTTTTGTCTTCTATACTGAGTACTTTTGTTGCATTATGGCTGTAACTTTTGTAGTTTAAGGTGTGACAGGAAAACTAGCACAAGTTTTTTTTTCTTCACAATTTCTTGGGTAGAAGATTTGTTCTTACTATAGACCTTAGTAACCTCAGCATATGATTTTTTTCTTTCCTTAAGTTGAGAACTTTTACCTTTTCACCTAAAGGAAGCAATTTATGGCTTCTCTTTGGCACACTGAATTGCCATTATCACAACTCTTGTACTTTGGGGCCATTATTAAGTAAAATAATGGTTACTTGAACACAAACATGGTACTGCAGCAGTCGACAGTCGATCTGATAACCTTGAAGGGAACTAAGTGACTAATGGGCAGGTAGCATATACAGTGCGACTATACTGGCTAGACAAAAGGATGATTTGTGTTCTAGGCGGGATGCAGTGGGTTGGAGTGGAGGGCGTGAGATGGTGTGAAATTTCATCACACTGCCCAGAATGGTGCACAGTTTAAAACTTAGGAATGGTTTATTTCTCGAATTTTCCATTTAATATTTTGGGTTGGCAGTGGGTAACTGCAATGGTGGAAAGTGAAACTGTGGATAAAGGAGGGCTACTGTATAAGTATACTATAATGATCAAAATCAGCAATTTTAACATTGATTTAGTATTTTCAAGTCTGTAGTCCATATTCAAATTTATCATTATAATGATAATGTCCTTAATAATGCCCTTCATAATTATTCTTCAAATGCTGATCCATCTTCTAACGCAGGGTCATGCATCGTATTTAGTTGTCATGTATCTTTAGTCTCCTCTAATGGAGCAGTTTCTCAGCCATTTTTTTTTCCCTTTCTTGCCCATGATACTTTTGCAGATTACAGACCAGTTGTTTTGTAGAATGTCCCTTATTTTGGGTTTGCCTGGTGTTTCCTTATAATTAGATTTAGATTATACATTTTCAAGAAGAATACCACACAATTTTGTCCTCCTCAATGCATCAGACCAGGAGGTACATGATATCTGTTTGTCCCAATATTGGGATGTTAACTTTGATCACTTGGGTAAGGTGGTGTCTGCCAGACTTCTTTACTATGAAGTTCCTATTTTTCCCTTTGTAATTAATGGGAAGTTAATTCCTTTTGTAATTAATTAATGAGTACTTTGTGGGGAAACAGTTTGAGACTATGTAAATATCCTTTTCCTAGTCAGATTTCACCCACTAGTTTTAATATTTGTGAATTATTTTTTAACTCCATAATTTTGTCTTCATTTATTATTTAGCATTCCACTGTAAGGATGGACTTTCCCTTTCTGCCCATTTATTCATTGTTGAGAACTTTCCTCCCATTTATTTATTTATTCGTTGTCAAGAACTGTGAAAGGTCTGAGATTTTACTCTACCTGGAACCTGGTAAGTTAGCCTGTTACTGTTTCTTAGATGCTGGCAGAAAGCATAAGACTCTTGGGTCAGAGCCAAAGGGCTTTATTATCCATGGCATGGCAAACTGTATGAGCTTCATTTGGTTTGCATTGATTTTTTTGTGTCCCTCACATTGATTTTTTTGTGTCCCTGCTGTGACCAGCAGGTGGTCCTAGCTGGATTCTTACATATGCAGTGTATTGTGCTATAGGGAAGGAGCACTGAACTATGGGGATTGACCACTTTTTTAGCAAGCCTGATTGTTGTCAGGGGATAGAGATACGTTACCTCATCCCTGAAGATGGCTTCCTGCATACACAATCCTGAGAAATGGCCCAGGTAAAGAATGGTCAGGGCCTGGTCTATTGAACAAGAATGTGTAGGGACACTCGGGGCTCATAGTAGATTGCCTCTCTCAACATTCATGTATTTATATCAGTTTAGACTCATGGATTTTTATTCAGTGGGATATAAAAATCCATTAAAATCATTTTTTTTTTTTTTGCTACTGGGAGTACCTTCAAGATGGCTCCTGTATTTATATTGGTATAAACTCATGGATTTTTCTTTTATTCAGTGGGGTATAATTCATTAAAAGCATTTATTTGGCTATTTGGAGCTTTTTAAAGATGGCTTCTATGTCCTTTTTGATACATCCCCATCATTGAGCATTTTCTTACTTCTTGGCACAAGACGTTTCAAGCAGTGTTAGTTTCCTAGGGCTACTGTAGTAAAGTACCACAGACGAGCACATTGTGGTTTAAAACAACAGAAAATTATTCTCTCACAGTTGTGGAGGTGTTGGAAAGAAGGTGTTAGTAGAGCCATGCTCCCTGTGAAGGTTGTAGAGAAGAATCATTTCTTGCCTCTTCCAGCTTATGGTGGCCCCAGGCATTGTTTGACTTGTGGCAGCCCAGCTCCATTCTTAGCCTTTGTCTTCACATGGCTTTCTTCCCTATGTTTCTATATCCAAATCTCCCTCTCCTTTTTCTGGTAGACACTAGTAATTGAATTTAGGGCCCACCTTAATCCAGTATGACCTCATTTTAACTTACATCTGCCAAGATCCTATTTCCAATTAAGGTCTCATTGACAGGTACTTGGGATTAAGATTTGGGCATACCTTTTTGGGGGTCACAATTCAACTCACTACACAGATTTATCTGATGTTTGCCCTGCCCTATCCCTGGAATTGGCTGCTTCTCTTTAACTCTTTAGTAGAGAATAGTATTTAGAAACCAAGGTCTGGATGCTAGGGTATGTTCATTGCTACTGGAGTGTCATTGCTTCTAGGCCCTCTCAGAAGACAGATCTAAAATTACATACCCTCAAATGTATGTATCTATAGATACACACACTTTTTTTTTTTTTTTGAGACAGAGTCTCACTCTGTTGCCCAGGCTGGACAGATTTGCAGTTGTGCAATCTCGGCTCACTGCAACCCCCGCCTTCCGGGTTCAAGCAATTCTCTGCCTCAGCCTCCTGAGTAGCTGGTAGCTGGGATTACAGGCGCCCACCACCACGCCCAGCTAATTTTTGTATTTTTAGTAGAGACGGGGTTTCACCATGTTGGCCAGGCTGGTCTTGAACTCCTGACCTCATGATCCACCCGCCTCAGCCTCCCAAAGTGCTGGGATTAAAGGTGTGAGCCACCGCGCCCAGCCATACACACATTTTGTATATACATGCATACATAACATATGTATGTATACGTATACATACGTGCGTAGATACACATGTTGAATACATATTCATTGTAGACACAGACGTGTATACATGTATTAATACTTATATTACTCTGACACGTGTATATCCTATATCAGTATTTATATATTTATCTACTTGTATACTAAAAACCATAAGTTTATATTCATACCTGTAATTCCAACCCAACACTACAGGGTACATGATAGCCTTCCCTCTTTCATATTTGTAACTCCTTTCTCCAACAGAACAACCCTGCTCCCAGTATCCTCAATGTAGTTACTCATTTGCTTAAGTCTAGAATATACAGAAAGTAGTTTCAGAATTTCTAACCTATACCACTGTGAAAAGAAAATTTACCAATAAAGTTCTCAATAGGAATCTTACTTTGTTTTTTGGCAAAATTTATGTATAGTGAAATGTACAAACATTAAGTGTGTAATTCAATGAGTTTTGACAAATAATAAGGCAGTTTTGTAAAAACTTTGGTGAAATTGGAAAATAACCGCACCCCAGTCACCTTGTTTTTTTGGCTACTACTAAATTGACTCTGATCACATGGAAGTGTAATAATTTTCTTTAGTGTGAATGCCCTGAGCCATGAGGTAACCCTGTTCTGAAGTGGTTTCCTTGCTTGTAAATAAATAATGTTGACATGTAAAGCAGGACCACCAAACTGTAAGTCTTGTAGTAATTTTAATGTATTTTCCACTCTGGACAAAAAGATGTGTTTTTATTCCTGATAAATATTAATAGTTCTAGAAGAGGACATTTTCCAAATTAAAGAATTAGGTATTTTTTCATAATTCCCGGGTAGTATCTGATATTTTCCATAGCTCTTTGGAGAAGATTCTTGTTCAAGATGCATGGGTACTATTTCTTTTGAGTCCTATTATACAAAAGCTTTCAAGTACTAATAGCAGAATGATTACATTTGAGTGTATTTGGTATCTTAGTCATATACACTAGGCAAAAACAAAAAAGCAGCCCATTAATGACATTAATGATCTCTCTCCAGATATCACTGATTAAAAGATTAATAGTATGTATTTTGCATATATAATTGTATCCTAATCTGTAATAGATTACCATTTTATATTGAACCAAATATAAAATGAGGCATTTTGTTCTTTTTTCTACCATGTATTAAGGTATTATTGATACTAGTCAGTCATTTATTTCACACATTAGTTTTATACTTACTGTGTGCAAGTTGTAGTTCTAGGGGCTGGGGATTTAGCACTGAACACAGCAGAACAACCCCTGCTCTTAGGAAGCTTACAGTCGGACAGAGATAAGTAATAAAGTAAATATTATAGTAAATATTAATAATGTATTAGTAAAGTTGTAGTGTCTTAGAAAGTGATTAGCACTGTGGAGAGAAAGCAGGGAAGAAGGATAGGGCACACAGGAGGCAGGGGTACCTTCTTAATTTAAAATAAGATGGTCAGGAGAGGCTCACTGAAAAGGTAACATTGAGCATAGATTGAAATTAAGTGAAAGAATGAGCCATACAGGGGGAAGAACATTCTGTATAGAGGAAACAGCTAGTGCAAGTCTCTAAAGTAGGATCATGCCTGACGTACTCTAGAAACTGCAATAAGGACTGAATGTATATGAGAACGAGGGGTGGAGAAATAGAAAATGAGGCAGAGTTGGGCACATGGTAATATAGCCTGCTGTAATAAGGATTGTGGCTTTTACTCTGAGAAGCGAAATATACTGATTGTAAACTTGTAAAAAGACTTAGGTATTCCTCCACATTGTCCACTAAATGATATTTTCATGAAAATAATAGAGGCTTATGGAAACAAAAATTCAAACAGTGTGGAAGAGTATAAAATGAAACTTTTAGAACAAGTACCTTGCCCCACACACTCACACACTTTCAGTCCCATTCCCTAGAAGTATCTTTTCACTTGTGACTGTTTCTGTAATCCTCAGAGCTACCTCCGTAACACTGAGCTCTAAATTCTTCTTTTAAAAAAGTTTTCTTTGAAAATTGAACGTTTGTCTGATATATAGATGAAGGTTAACTTAGTTTCTGCAATTCCACTTCTCTTTTGTCCTCTTCCTCCGTTTCTACTCGCATCTAGTAAAACCTTTAGTGACCACCAGAGGGAGCAAAGTTCAACATAAATAAGATGCGTTTTTATTCTCGGGAATTTCTAGTGTTTTCTGTGTGTTTCAGTGATATTGTTAATACCTTGGTTCTCTCTTGCTTTTTTTTTTTTAACTTCTTAGATCTTTAAAACTTTTATATTTACTCGGGATCTTATTATTAACTTCATTTCTCTTCACCTCACTGATCTGATGATGTTTAGACTAGCATCCATTGTTATTTGTGTGTTGACCATGGAGAAAAATAGCATAGATGGGAGAACTGACACTCTCCTTTCTTTAGTTCCAGCAGCCAAATAAGTGGTTGTCTAGCTGTCCAGTATCCATCTAGCCTTTTGCAAAATTGGCTGCTATTCATCTGTGGTTTTTGTAACATCAGCTAGTTATCTTTTACCTATAAAAATTATTGAAAGATAGATAAATTTATACCTGTTGTTTATACTTACCTATGAAGGCAGTCATAATTTTTATAATTTATATTTAAAAAAATAACTAAACAGATTTGTTTTTGACAAAAATTTACCTTTGACTTTTTTCTTGTTATTCATATCTAATTTTTGTTGACTATAAGGTATTAAATTGAGGTTCTCTAGGTGCCTTATGCTAGAGAATATTTCTTTAAGTTATATATTTCTCATGTATTAAAACTCTCATCTCAGAAAGAAATTCACCTGACTATCGAACTTGATAGTACTCCATCCAGCCCATAGACTCTTCAAGGCAAGGACCGTGTCAGATTCGCCTTTGTGTTACTATTTACCACCTACAAAGTTCAGCACAGGGCCATACCATAGAGGATACCTAGATTATTCTAATTTCCTTATAATTCTCTTTTCCAGGGTAAATAACATGAATCCATTATATTTCTCTCTTAGAGTGTATTTCCAACCTTCTGGTTCTTCTTTTGTTTCTTCAAGTTCCAGGGCATAACTTATGCTCAGTATAAGGGGAATACTTTATTTAATTTAATTAGCATTTTTAGAGCATATAGATATGTAGGATGCTATTAGCAATTCCTGAAAAAAGCTACCTGGGAATAAATAGAAAACTTAGCATTTTTGGTTAAAGACTAACAGTGTTGCTGAAGAAATTAAAATATACACAGGGAAAGTGAATTTTGAATTAAGATTTGAGTATGGTAAAGGCCACTTTTAAGGTAATAGAAATATTATAAAGCACAAAGTCTGCATGATTAAGTATTTTTTTGCCCCAAGTTTCAGCCTGTGTTGATGATTTTCAAAACTGTGTCTCTCCTTATCATTCTTGCAGTTTTAACCACAGTCTATATTGATTCTAAATTTATTTTTTAGCCCTGATCTTTTCTGTGATCCTGATCAGGGATTAGGGTTTTTAGACCAGGGTCACAAAAAAAAAAAATCAAAAACAAGCGCCTTCATGGGCCAAGCCATTAACATAAATGAATGAAGTCGGTTTTGATTTATATAGAGAGAATCACAAGGTTGTGGTTTGCAGTGAAGTGCATGCCCTATTTAAAGAGGGGAATTGGATGTTAGCTCCAGCCAGTTATTGCCATGAATGCTCAGTAGTGCCAGATCTGATATAAAATCTTGTTTTTTTTTTGTTTTTTTTTTTGAGACGGAGTCTCACTCTGTTGTCAGGCTGGAGTACAGTGGTGCGATCTCCGCTCACTGCAGACTCTGCCTCCCGGGTTCCAGCAATTCTCCTGCCTCAGCCTCCTGGATAGCTGGGACTACAGGCACATGCCACCATGCCCAGTTAATTTTTGTATTTTCAGTAGAGACAAGGCCTCACCATGTCGGTTAGGCTGGTCTCGAACTCCTGACCTCAAGTCATCCACCCACCTCGGCCTCCCAAAGTGCTAGATTACAGGCATGAGCCACCGTGCCCAGCCTGAAATCTCATTTTTTAAGTGACATCTTCTGATTTTTTTTAAAGTTAAACATAATGTGAGCCTAATCAAGTACTTCTACAAGCTCCATTTGACTTGAAGAACTCTGCCTTTTTGGCTTTGAGTTTCATGTGCTGGAATACTTATTGAGCATTTCTGTTTAGTGTTGCATTGGCACTTCAGACTCAACAGGTCTAAAATAGAACTTATCAACTGTCTACCCCCTTACCCTGCCTTCAGATGCTTTCTTCTGCTTCTTTCCTTATTTAATGGTATTGCCATATACTGAGTTCATTCAAGTGAGAAACCTAGCAGTGATCCCTGAATCTTTTCTTACTGCTTTTTCTTAGTGACCTATTTAATTAGTTACCAAGTGTCACTAATTTTATCTTTTAAGTAATCTGCATCTATCACTTTCTTTCTACCCCTACTGCCTCTTTCTTAATATATCATCATCTCTTGCCTAGGCTGTTGCAATGCCTCCTGTATTCTCCTTGTTTTGAGTGTGGTCCCTCTGAGTTCTGTTTTCCACATTGCTTCGGACGTGACTTATCTGAATGTATATCTGACCATGTTTATCCCATTTAAAAGTGGTTCCCCTTTACTCACAGGCTAAATTAGCATGATATACAAAGTCCACCATAATCTGGTTTATATCCACATTTGAGTCCCACCTTTTATCCCTCTTCATCTTTTATTTTAGATTCCAGTACTATCAGACTGCTTGTATTTTCTGCTTGTATTTTCTTTTTTTCTTTGGTTTTGAGACAGGGTCTGGCTCTATCACCCAGGCTGGAGTGCAGTGGTGCGATCTCTGCTCACTGAACCCTCTGCCTTCGGGGCTCAAGCCATCCTCCCACCTCAGCCTCCTGAATACCTGGGACTACAGGTGCGTGTCACCACACCCAGCTAGTTTTTTGTATTTTTAATAGGGACAGGGTTTCGCCATGTTGCCCAGGCCAGTCTCGAACTCCTGGACTCAAGCAATCCACCCGCCTCCGCCTCAAAGTGCTGGGATTACAGGCGTACCTGCCATACTGCTTGTATTTTCCTACAAATATATGGGGTACCTGTGAAATTTTGTTACATGTATATAGTGCTGTACTGATCAAATCAGGGCATTTCGGGTATCTGTACATTTTTGTCAAGTGTAGTCCCTCTACTCTGCTATCAAACATTGAATTTATTCCTTCTTTCTTACTGTATGTTTATACCCTTTAACCCACTTCTCTTCATTTTCCCCTCTTCCCCCTACTTGCCCCTCCCAGTCTCTGTTATGTGTCTTTCCACTCTCTACCTCCATGTGATCAAATTTTTTAGCTCATATATATAAATGAGAACAAGTGATATTTGTCTTTTTGTGTCTGGCTTATTTCACTTAAGATAATGACCTCAAGTTCCATCCATGTTGCTGCAAATAACATTTCATTCTTTTTTATAGCTGCGTAATATTTCATTGTGTATATATACCACATTTTATTTATTCATTCATCCGTGATAGACATTTAGGTTGACTTTTTATCTTTGCCATTGTGAATAGTGCTGCAATAAGCATGCAAGTATTGATTTCTTTAGAGAAGAGGCTTTAAATGAGATTGATGAATATTTTGTTTGTTTTTAGAGACAAGGTCTTGCTGTGTTGCCCAGGCTGGAGTGCAGTGGTGCAATCCTAGCTCATTGCAGCCTCAAACTCCTGGGCTCAAGTGATCTTCCCACCTTGGCGTCCTGAGTAGCTGGGACTACAGGTGTGTGCCATCACACCAGCGAATTTTCTTTTTCTTTTTCTTTGGTAGAGATGGGGTCTTGCATGTTGCCTGGGCTGGTCTTGAACACCTGGGCTCAAGTGATCCTCCTGCCTTGGCCTCTCAAAGTGCTGGTGTTACAGGTGTGAACCACTGTGCCCAGCCAAATGGATATCTGAAATAGGCATTTCTCTAGTATAAACTTCTTTTTAAAAAAGGGATTTATAGGCTGGGTGTGGTGACTCATGCCTGTAATCCCAGCACTTTGGGAGGCCAAGGTGGGCAGATCATCTGAGGTCAGGAGTTTGAGACCAGCCTGACCAACATGGTGAAACCCCGTCTCTACTAAAAATACAAAAATTAGCCAGCAATGGTGGTACTGTAATCCCAGCTACTTGGGAGGCTGAGGCAGGAGAATTGCTTGAACCTGGGAGGCAGAGGTTGCAGTGAGCCGAGATTGTGCCATTGCACTCCAGCCTGGGCGACACAGCATGACTCCGTCTCAAAAAAAAAAAAAAAGAGAGATTTATAGAGCGGGAAAATTTTGCTTCAGGAACGAGGCAGAAAGTCCAAAATTCCTTGTCTAGGTTGTATTGTTCTAAGTATTATAAATTGAATTGTTGTTTAATTCAGTGGACTATAGAGGGCAGTGTTTCACAGTTTAAAGTTACTGATTTTTCTGTGAAACTAAATACACTTCAATTATGCTTATTTTGTGTATTTCTCTAATAGACACACAATAAAAACTATAAGATTAGAAATTATTTTTTAGCTGTACTTAATAAATAAAAATACATTTTAATGTAAAATTATAATAATTTCAATAAAGATAATCTTATTATCTTTACATCCCAAAATGATGTACTTTTGGGATAATAGATTAGAATTAAAAATGACTTTGTTTTCTTATTCAATCCATGTAAGTTAAGAAAAATAAGCATCATATGGTGATCTAAATTTATTAGAAAATTTAGAGAAAATTAGTATCCTGTGCAACTAAAATTTTCTTTTGCAAAAGAATTTTTTTTTTTTAAAGAGATGGAGTCTCACTATGTTGCCTAGGCTAGACCTGAACTCCTGGGCTCAAGTTATCCTCCTGCCTCATCCTTCCAAGTAGCTGGGACTACAGGTGCACACTGCCTTGCCCAGCTTGCAGAAGACTTTTTTAAGACTTCTTATTTGTGCATTAGAGCAGAATAAGCTTTTTGCAGATACAACAGTTACACATTTTAGTAGATTAATTGAATTATGATGTTAAAGCTATAGCTAAAAGAAATAATCTAGAAATAGTTTCTTTCCTGATTTTAATAAAACATTTCTGACTTATTTTAGTAAAAAAGTAACCTGTGTGTATTAGTTGGGAATTAAGAACTAGAACTGCATTTTATCTGTTTTTTAAATTATAAGGAGATTATTTTTTCTACTGAAAAAAAAATTCGTTCTAATGATAAACTCTATTATGACATGTTTTGTTACTAGGAACAGAGATTGATTATATTTTGGGCCAAATTTATTAACCTCCATATAGAGGTAATTTTCAGTACAGAAAAGCATGGTGTGTTATTAAAAACATTTAATGGTCTATCCTACTGACTTTATAAAGAGTTATGCAATATTTAGGAACTGTAGGATTCTTAATGCTTGTGTGTATGCTCTTATATGTGTGTATGTGTTTGTTAGTGGTCCCTGTTTGTGGTTTAAAAATGTATAGCAGTCCTCCCTGATCTATAGTTTTGCTTTCTGAGGGGTTTCAGTCACCTGAGGTCAACGGTGGTCCAAAAATATTAAGTGGAAAATTCCAGAAGTAACCAATTGATAAGTTTTAAATTGCATGCCCTGTTGTGATAAAATCTCTCCTGTCCCACTCCATACATCCCTTTGTCAAGATGTATCCATTACCTGTTCCTGTATAGGAAAAAACATAGTGTATATAGGGCTCTGTAGTGTCTACAGTTTCAGGCATCTACTAGGGGTCTTAGAATACATACCCCATGGATAAGGGGGTATAATGTTATACAAAGCATTATATTGTGTAATGTTTTGGTTAGCTTCAGAGGGGAACTGGTTAATAGATATATAATCTGATATATTCATTGGATATTTTCACATTTCTTCCATCCATGTACTTGTGTTGTTTTTGAGTTTTCTTGTTTTTTTTGTTTGTTTTTGTTTTTTGTGCTTTTTTTGAGACAGAGTCTCACTCTGTTGCCCAGGCTGAGCGCAATGGCATGATCTCAGCTCACTGCAACCTCTGTCTCCCGGGTTCAAGCAATTCTCCTGCCTCAGCCTCCCGAGTAGCTGGGATTACAGGTGCCCGCCACCACGCCCGGCTCATTTTTGTATTTTTCGTAGAGACGGGGTTTCACCATGTTGACCAGGCTGGTCTCAAACTCCCGACCTCAGGTGATCCGCCTGCCTTGGCCTTCCAAAGTGCTGGGATTATAGGCGTGAGCCACTGTGCCCGGCTGAGTTTTCTTGTTTTATTTGCCAATTGTACTTTTAAATTTTCTTTTGTGATACTTGTCAGTTGAGGAAAAGAAGCATTGTATTAGCCTATATGTGTGCATAGGCAAAAACCTTTGAGTGACAACTTCATTCTTTTTTTAAAAAAAAAAAATTTAACCCATTTATGCCTAGTGTTCCATTATTGGAATGCAAAGCTTGTGGGAGTTATTTACATCCTACTGCTCAAGGTCATTGCCAAGGTCTGATTTTCACAAAAAAAATTTTCAACCTCCGGCATAAATGAGTTAATAATATAACTTAAACAGAACGTGTGAATGCTTTTTGGCTTCACATTCCATCTTTAAATAACACCATAGTTTTGCATCAGAGATCTCAAATGATTTTACCTGGGGATAAACTTCTAGTCTTTTCATTGGTATTGGTGGGATTGGGTTGCATTGGAACCAGATTCAGATTTTGGTATGTGATAGTTGTTTGTTTTGCTATTTTCCCCTAGCCATAATATATACCTGAGTGCCTAGACATGATAAATGTTATCTTCCAGTTGTCCCGTTTTTCCTTAGGTTGAATTTTAATATATTCAATAACAAATTTAGTGAAACTCTTAATAATCCATGTTGTTGATTTAAGTAAAAGGGAAAATGAAAAGTGCCCCACCAACTCTTTCTAGGTGTTATAGCATTTTCCATCATATGGTAAACACTAGGTCATTTTACTTTATTTTTTTACATGAATGTTCATAGTCGCTTTATTTATAATAACCCCAAACTGGAAACCAAAATTTCCATCAACAGGAGAAGGCTAAACAAATTATGGTGTATCTACAGAATGGAATACTAAATAGGACCAAACTATTGGTATACATAACATGGTGGCTCATGCCTGTAATCCCAGCACTTCGGGAGGCCAGGATGGGAGGACTGCTTGAGCATAAGAGTTCAAGACCAGCCTGGGCAATACAGCAAGACCTCATCTCTACAAAAATAAAAAATTAGCTGAGTGTGGTGGTTTACACCTGTGGTCCCAGTTACTCAGGAGGTTGAGATGGGAGGATCGCTTGAGCCCAGGAGGTTGAGGCTATAGTGAACTCTGATCATGCCATGGCACTCCAGCCTGGGCCACAGAGTGGGACCCCATGTCAAAAATAAATAAATAAATAAAATTCTAGAAAATGCAAACTACAGTGACAGAAACCAGATCAGTGGTTGCCCGGGGATACAAAGTAGGAATAAACAGCAGGGATTACAAAAGGGACACAAGGAAACTTTCCGAGATGGTGGATATATATGTTCATCATCTCGACTGTGGCAGTGGTTTCACCAATATACGTCAAAACTCATCAAACTGTACAATTTAAATATGCACAGTTATTATATGTCAATTATATTTCATTTAGGCTGTTAAAATAACACCACCTTTCACTGTCAAAACTATCTCAGTTTGAATGCTGGTAATATTCTATTTCTTGATCTGGATGCTGGCTTAATGGATTTTTAAATCTGGGTGTTGATTTCATATTTATTCAGTTTGTGAAAACCCACTTAAAATATGTACATTTTTCTATATACATGTTAACTTCAACTCCTTTCCTCTCCACAAAAAGCCTGAAAGAATCCCTGAAAGGGACATGTAGAAAATGTCCCAGTTGGACAGTAAATTATAGGGAGACAACACTGGATCATTTTAAATGTAGATCCTGAAAGTCTGTTGATTTGGATTTGAAATCCAGTGAAGGAGGATATTTTTTTATTCTCCATTTGTTTTAAAAATACACTGGTACAAAAGTAGGTGAAATTATATAACACAGACTTAATGAATGTATTATTTCTATTCTAATATATTCGATAGCTAAAAAGTTTTTAGGTAAAAAGCCAGAAAGATTCTATTAGTCTCAATTAGTCCTTTTAACAGTCTTGTAGAGAAAATAATTCCCCTCTTACAGATGAGGAAGCTAAGGATCAGAGAGGTTAAGTAACCCAGCCCATAGCCAGAATGTCCAAAAGCAAAATTTCAGGCCTAGGCTTGCTTAACTTAGATACCTGAATTATTTTCTCCACATGACATTACACATTTTAGAAGATTTTTTTTTTTAGCTTTTCAGATATATTTTATGTTTTATGTTGTATTTCTTTAAATATCAGCTATTTGGCCATATTTTATTGGAGGCTGGTGCTCTTTTCTAGGGCTGCATACCCTTTTAAAAGCAAGTATGAATTTCACCTATATTTAAGCTATTCTAATATACCTCTCATTTTATAACTTTTTAAAGAGCAATATACTCCAGATGTGTTTCAGGATGGCTTTATAGCTTTCTGTGCTACCTTGACAACATAGTGCTATCTCTTCTTGTATTTCTCCCTGCGTATAAGTGAATATTAGCAGAATTATGAATAAATTGGAAATTGTAAATGAATAGAAAAGTGGTCTTTAATTCAGTAAGAATTGGTAGTCTTTGGAAGTATTTTGAAATACTACTTTTAGATTTACAGGGAGGCAAAATCTCAACATGGAATGAATATTATAATTTCATAATTTTAACCCTATTATGTATAAGATTGACTATGGGTGTGTGTATGTATGTACATATATATACAGGTGTTAATATGGACGTTACTTTTTAGTACAAGTAAAAGGTTATAAGAAATATTTTAATCAAGTGAATCCAGAACTTATTTTGGTGGTGGTGATGGTTTCATTTGTATGTTTATGTGTGTGTGTATATGTGCATATGTGTGGGTTTAATCTCTCTGTGCTACTGTTATTATGTACCATTCAATATCAGTAACTATAGCAAAGGGAGTTTGATGGTATTAGCAATAACTTAGACACAGTAAAAAGCTGAAAAACAGCAAAATTGTATATACATATATTACTGACTTGTATTCCAAACAATCCTATCTATATTGCCTCAATTTTTTAAAATGTGTGGACAATTTATCTCTTTTTACAGTTTTTGAAATTCTTAACATTTTGGGATATTAAAATTTTGTGTTACAAAGTTAGATAGAGACATTTTAAAGTTTATTTCTTTCCCCATCGCCCTCCCCTCCACTCCTGCCAAATTTGACTCGTGTAAAAGTTTTTTTTTTTTTTTTTTTGAGACGGAGTCTCGCTCTGTCGCCCAGGCTGGAGTGCAGTGGCGGGATCTCGGCTCACTGCAAGCTCCGCCTCCCGGGTTCACGCCATTCTCCTGCCTCAGCCTCCCAAGTAGCTGGGACTACAGGCGCCCGCCACTACGCCCGGCTAATTTTTTGTATTTTTAGTAGAGACAGGGTTTCACCGTTTTAGCCAGGATGGTCTCGATCTCCTGACCTCGTGATCCGCCCGCCTCGGCCTCCCAAAGTGCTGGGATTACAGGCGTGAGCCACCGTGCCCGGCCCGTGTAAAAGTTTTACATATTGAGAGACTAAATGTTTAAAATATCTAATATTTATACAATAGCTGATTAAATCATTTTTACCACTATCTTAATCTTTCTGCTTTTTCTACATACAAATTTTTATAGTCCATGGAGCATTTCACTTGTATATGTTTTATTCTATGGAATTATTCTATGCTTTTGTTCAGTAGTATTCTACTAGATTCCTATACTTCCAAGTACTGTATAGTCTTTGTTTTCATATCTATTTGTGTTGCAAAACTAGGGGGTGACTATGTTAATTTGTCCCTTGAGATTCAGTTCAGCTAAGATTTATTGAACCTCTTCAGGCTGTATTACTTAGCATAAACTAATGCTGTTTCTTGCTGAAGTCTTACAATAATAATAATGATTAATTATATGTCATCTTCTTAAATTTTTAAAGAATTAAAGTACTTTAGAATGTGTTTTTCCTGGTAAACTCAGGATACCAAATTACTCAGCTTTTAGCTTTTTTCTTTAGCATTCCTGCTGATCAGTGTAACATGAAATCATCCAGTTCAATTACTGTATTATTGGACTATGATTTTGAAAAACTGATTTAGATTTTATTAATTTTTTAATCGTTATTGATGATATACACACCCGCACCCCCGCACACACACAACCACCCAGCCTGCCTTTGTGTTTGTAGTGTCTTCCATGGAAATTTAAATTGGGGAAGTTTCTCTCTAGACCAACAACTACCCTCTGGCTTTATTATCCAGAGTTTCCAGGAATGCCTGATGAAGTACTTCAGCTACATCTACCCTAAATCACAATACTGTTGTCCTCTGATACTCTGAGCCATTCTTGTTTACCAATAAAGTGTGTGCCATTCATTCATAGTATAATTTTTTGCCACACATCACCTAAACGTTACACATCAACTCTTGAATAGTGAAGTAATGGAGAGTTAACAAATTTGGTTCCCAAATGGGCCCAGCAGAGGATACCTTAACTTAAAGGAGGGGTTTGACACTATAGTGGGACTGACCAAGATAGAGCAAAGATATTTTGGAGCTCCTCAGGTCTGGCCTTGCCCTATACGTACCTATGTTCCTAAAATTTCAGCACCTTAGAAATAATATCATTAAGTGAATAACTTTAGTCATTAGAGATAGGAACATTTTTCTTTGTTTATAAATATCTGCATGCATGTGTGGGAGAGAGATTTTTGAGGAAACTCATTGGTATAAACCTCTGCTGAGGCATAAGACCATGTATTTTGAATAATTTGCTATACCAACCATACTTGGTTTTTGTTTGATCATTTTTATGCTTAAATAAAATCTGGAATTTAAAATTTTATTACCTTACACCTATTGGGAAAGAGTAAAGTGCCAGTTTTCTTGATATGGTGTGGCTGTGTCCCCACCCAAATCTTAATTTGAATTGTATCTCCCAGAATTCCCATGTGTTGTGGGAGGGACCCAGGGGGAGGTAATTGAATCATGGGGGCTGGTCTCTCCCATGCTATTCTCGAGATACTGAATAAGTCTCACAAGATCTGTTGGGCTTATCAGGGGTATCCGCTTTTGCTTCTTCATTTTTCTCTTGCCGTCACCATGTAAGAAGTGCCTTTTGCCCCCCACCATGATTTTGAGGCCTCCCCAGCCATGTGGAACTGTAAGTCCAATTAAACCTCTTTTTCTCCCCAGTCAGGTATGTTTTTATCAGCAGCATGAAAACAGACTAATTCATATCTCCTTCCAAGTTGACAGATAAACTTTTTTTTTTTTTTTCCTTAAAATCTCACTCTGTGTTGCCCAGGCTGGAGTGCAGTGGCACAATGATGTCTCATTGCAGCCTTGACCTCTCCAGTCTCAGGTGATCCTCCCACCTCAGCTTCTCGAGTAGCTGGTACTACAGCCACATGCTACCATGCCTGGCTAATTTTCGTATTTTTTTGTAGAGACATGGTTTTGCCGTGTTGTCCAGGTTGGTCTTGAACTCCTGGGCTTAAGAGATCTGCCCACCTCAGCCTCCCAAAGTGCTGGGATTACAAGAGTGAGCCACTGCACCTGGCCAACAGATAAACTTTCAATTATTTGCGTCACTTAGGAGCAAAGAAATATCAATTGCAAAAAGAACAGAAGAACAAATTCTTAAGTTGCAAATTTCTATTTATGTTATATTCACAGGTTAATACAAAAAGTTCTGAAACTTTAGAAAACAGAATATTTTTCTTTAAGAGACGGATTTATTTCATCAAAGAAATTGAGCAGTCAATTATTTTTACCTATCTTCACACAGTGGCATTTGGTCTCAAATACCATTTTAATTATGTGCTTTAAAAAATCAATTCAATTTAACTTTATTTAAAAAAATACTTTTTGTGAGCACAAACAAAGTGACCTCTTAATGCCCGGATATGATGAAATGTGGATGTAGCACTTGTTGGTACGCAAATAGTTAAAACTGTGGTGTTGTCTTTTCTAGGTGTTTAGCAAAGATTTTTCTGTATTCTAGAGTTCCTTGTCAACTGTGTGATCATAGAATCATGGGAGGCTTGAGATCTTCTAGGCACTGTTTGAAATATTGTAATATATACCGTAGTTTAAGTATGTGCTGTTTTGCAGATAGCCCTCATTTCATGCAGAGTCCTGTATTTAAATAACTCAGTTCATTGCTATTCTAAGTAGTGCTTTTGCAGTTAAACATCTGAAAGGCGATTGACTTTTTTCCTATAGCACCATAATTTATAAGAAAACATAAAATGAAAAGACTAGACCAAGATGATTCTGGTACATGGTTGTAATCTTAATATCAGTTTAGAGAGTAAAGACTAAGTCTGTTCAGAATAGACTGTTTAACCAGCTGATCAGCTGGAATTTCATATAGCTTCATGGTTCTTGTGGGTATTTTTTTTGCTGTTTTTTATCTTTATGTTTAGGTGTTGGGTGTCTTTGATTTTATGTCTTCTGAGAAATTTATGATCCTATGCTTTATTTGTGACACTAGTCTCAGCTTAGGCAATTGATTGAAATACGATATAGGGAAATTTAGCATGCATTTTTTAACAGCTTAAATTGGAAAAATGAACCAACAATGTTAATGTGGAATTGTTTTGGAGCAAGGTAAGAAGGGAACAATAGGTTAATTTCTTTCTATTTGTATTAGTCTTTTATTGTTAAAATCTTATTTATTATATTTGACATAATTTGCTTTTGGAGATTAGTAGTGTATTATGCTTTAAAGTTGTGAAGGAAGATTGTAATTCATTGAAATTATATATGTAGAAAACAAATTTGTAAACTGTAGAGTGCAATGCAAGTATAAATTTTATATCAAATATGATACTTAACTGAGGCAAGTATTTTATTAATATGCCACCAAAAAATAAACGGGATGCAATGTTAGTGTTGCTGAGGATATTAGTGAATGTTAACCTGCACATGGTAGGCTATGGTGAATAAATGACCAGGTTGAAATTATAGAGAAATTATTCACAGGGAAACATTAATACATTTCCCTTAATGTGGCTGTACCATGGCAAACCTCGATTCTTACGGGATCAATTTAGTTGTCTAACTCATATTCCTTTAATTTAGAGTTGGAAAATTATTTTCTTCATCTATATTGAATCTGTCAGTTGCATGAATTAGATTTTATTAACCAAGTTGAAAATGAATTCAGTTTTTGAAAATGTTTTTAAAGGCCTAGATTTAAAACTCTGTAGAATTACTATATTGTTTTCAGGCTCACTATAGAGTATCCTTCTTCTAGAGGCAGTGGAATTTTATTTTCTTTACAAAGCATGTGAAATACGACTTCTAGTTATTTGACACAATTTCTAATTCAAGACCAAAAATATTACTAACTTTACAGCTTTACTTTCAAAACTACCAATGTTTGTTGGACTTTGAATTCTTGGAGTATGGCAAAGATGAAAAGGGGGAGAGTTAGGGGATGGGTTGAACTTTGCATACAATGCAGAATCAAATCTAAAAAAACAATCAGGGTAATTCTTGACAGGTAAAAAGAGCCTAAGAGGAAAAATAGAAGATGCTATTACAGATTTGGGTCTGAATTTCTCAATGTGTATCTGTTTATGGAAAAGGACTATATATTATTAAACATGGTTATCTTATGGTCAAAACCCTGTAGTAATAAAATAAATTTGAGCACTGGCAGTGCAGCTTGGTTGGTGTATAGATAGAGGTGATGGCAAGCAGGTGTTCTGTTTGATACTGAAGCATTCTAGCCACAAGTTGAGGACATATGGAAAACTGGGTGGAATTGCAAATTTTTCTTAAATGTCAAAGTTTCCCTAACCCTACAAAATGTAGTTGTGGAAACTAGGATAAGGCAGTTGTCATGTTTTTGCCTTGTCTTCCTCTGTGGTATCTATGGAAAGAATAACCAGCAAAGATTTTTATGGTGTTAAGCTAACTGATAGCCTTAAATATCTGATTTAGGGGTAACTTGAAGTAATTTTTGGAAATAGGGCAGAACCGAGATTAACAGAACCTTGTAGACTCATAATGGAAGGGTGAGACATTTGTAAAAATAGTCTGTCTCCAGGAGAAATAACAAATGCCAATAAACAGAGAAAGATGTTCAACCTCACTAATAATCAAGAAATGTAAGATAAAACAGTATATACTACTTCTTATCTGACAGATTGAATTAGAAGACTTGTTGGCAGAGCATGAGAAAATAAACCCAGTCACGCATCTTTAGTGGAGTGTAAATTGGCAGCAGTCTTCTAGGATATAGTTTCTTTGCCTCCTTAAACCAGCGGCCTTCTTAGCCTCCTTTGGTGTGAGGACCCGCGTCAGCAGGACCTCCTATCCAGCCAAACTCATGGAGGCTTTGACTCCTACTGCTTCTGGGCTTAGGACATGGGGGACAAAGGTGGCAGAATCTCTATCCTCAGTAATTGCTTGGAGGAATTACCTAGCAAGCCCAGAAGTTCAAGAGGCAAACTTTGCCCAAGGATAGGCAGGAGATAGGAAAAGACTGGCAGATGATTCCTTTTTTCTTTCTTCCTTTTCTGCTGGTTCTGAGCTACATTGGTCCATAGCCTGACTGGAAAAGATCCTATGTGACCTAGGTCACTCAAGCCAGTACCATCTTTTGTTTGCTTTTCCTCCACTCCTGCCACACCCCCGTTTTCCTCTCATCCTTCATATTCTGGGATTTTACTTTCCAAGAAT
This sequence comes from Homo sapiens, assembly GCF_000001405.40. Classification (NCBI taxonomy): domain Eukaryota; kingdom Metazoa; phylum Chordata; class Mammalia; order Primates; family Hominidae; genus Homo; species Homo sapiens. The sequence continues at coordinate 180,467,985 of NC_000001.11, read as the reverse complement.
TCCTTAGCTTGGGAGCTTTGCCTCAGGTTTTGTTCTTTAGGGCTAAGTAGCTAACAGTCCCATTTTTGGGACTCTGAAAATGTCTGCAGGTTTTAGAAGATTTATGTACATGTTTACAATGTAGCATTGTTTGCTTTACTGAAAAATTAGAAACATCTAAATGGATCTCAATAGGGGAATGGTTAAATAATGATATATCATACAGTGAAATACTATCCAGCAATAAAAAGAATGATATGGAAAGTTGTTCATGGTGTATTAAATGAGATAAAGTGTAGGTCAGTATGTTTAGATTGATCTCATTTTGGGAAATTAAGCCCTTTATTTTATTTTTTTTAGAGACAGGGTCTTGCTGTCACCCAGCTGCGGTGCAGTAGCGTGATCATAGCTCCCTGCGGCCTCAAACTTCTGGGCTTAAGTGGTTCTCCTGCCTCAGCCTCCTGAGTAGCTAGGGACTACCAGCATATACCACCATGTACAGCTAATTTAAGTTTTTTTGTTTGTTTGTTTTTGTTTTTTTTTTTTTTTTTTTTTTTTGCAGAGATGGAGTCTAACTATATTGCCCAGTTTGGCCTTGAATTCCTGGGCTGAAGTGATCCTCCCACCTCAGCCTCCCAAAGTCCTGGGATTACAGGCATGAGCTACCATGCCTGGCCTACTTTTCACTTTATATACTTCTATAAGATTAAATTTTTTTGCATGTTGAATATCAATAAAACGATGGAAAAAGAATTTGCTACATGCTGGGTGTGGTAGCATGTGTCTGTAGTCCCAGCTACTCAGAAGGCTGAGATGGGAGGATCACTTGAATACAGGAATTAGTGCAGCCTCAGAAACATAGTGATACCTTGGCTCTAAAAAAATAAAAGATATAAAAGAATTTGCTACTTAAAGATATAAGCACTGAAATATTTATTTAAAATGGAGAACAAATATGTTTAAGAGATAGAAAACTATACTAGAGTCCTTAGACTCTAGTGTTAATCTTTGGGGATCATATAGGAACTAAAATTTAAACTTTATTGTAGATGTTTTTACAGGTACATCTATACATATTTATATAGATATATATGGGTTTACCTTAAACTGGGGCATTATTCTAAATGCTTTATATGTATTATCTTATTTACTGGTCACAATAACTCTTTGAGGTAGGTGCTGTTGTTACTCCTTTTTCACAGACAGGGAACCAAAGCCTAGAAAACTTTAAGAAAGAAAAAAACAAAACCATGCCTGATGTTGTATGTACTTAAAATGACAGCAGATAAAGTTTTTGACATTCATGAGCTATATAATGGACATTTTGTGCATAGGCAAACTATTAATTAAAGGTAAATTTTAATGAAGTTTATCCCAATTGTTTTAATAATAAAACAAATTATTTAAAAAATATAAATACACCCAATAATAAGTCATTAATTTCATTCTCCAGCAAGTCAAAGAAACAAGCAAGTGTTGGGAAAGTGTCAAGCTCTCATTGCATGAACACTATAATCAAACTGCCAGACCACCTACCAAACAGTAAATATTAGTTTGGTGCAAAAGTAATAGGCAAAACCACAATTACTTTTGTAGTAACCTAATACCTAGTAAATATTTTAATAGAAATGTGGCCACAAATAGTCCCAGAAAATTCCTTTGACTATGTTATGTTTACATTTCAATTTTATGTTGTTGGTTTGTTGCTTTAACACTGAATATAATTAGAATAAAAATATGCTAATACTTTAATTTTATATTTTGAGTCAAAGCTTACTAAATTAAACCTTTACTCCCAAAATAGTATCTGAAGTAAATATATGCAGTTTACCCACTTTATTTTTTCTTTTAAAAAATTTTTATTTTAGGTTTATGGGTACATGTGAAGGTTTGTTACATTGATAAACACATACCATAGGGATTTGTTGTACATATTATTACATCACTCAGGTATTAAGCTCAATACCCAATAATTATCTTTTCTGCTCCCACCCTCCCCCCTCAAGTAGACTCCAGTGTCTGTTGCTTCCTTCCTTGTGTTCATAAGTTCTTATGTAGCTCCCACTTATAAGTGAGAACATACGGTATTTGGTTTTCTGTTCCTGTGTGTGTTTGCTAAGGATGATAGCCTCCAGCTCTATCCATGTTCCTATAAAAGGCATCTCATTCTTTTTAATGGCTCCATAATATTCTGTGATGTATGTGTACTGCATTTTCTTTATCTCCTCTGTCATTCATAAGCATTTAGGTTAATTCCATGTCTTTGCTATTATGAACAGTGCTGCAGTGAACATTCATATGCATGTGTCTTTGGGTAAAATGCTTTATATTCCTCCGGGTATATACCCAGTAATGAGATTACTGGGTTGAATGGTAGTTCTGTTTTCAGCTCTTTGAGGAATTGCCATCCTGCTTTCCTCAATGGTTGAACTAATTTACACTCCCACCAACAGTGTATAAGGGTTTCCTTTTCTCTGAAACCTCACCAGCATCTGATTTTGTTTGAGTTTTTCATAATGGTCATGTTGACTGGTGTCAGATGGTATCTTATTGTGGATTTGATTTGCATTTCTCGAATGATCAGTGATGTTGAGCTTTTCTTTCATCCTTCTTGGCCACATGTATGTCTTCTTTTGAAAAGTGTCTTTTCATGTCCTTTGCCTACTTTTTAATGGGGTGGTTTTTCGCTTGTTGATCTGTTTAAGTTCCTTATAGATGCTGGATATTAGAGCTTGTCAGATGTATAGTTTTCAGATATTCTCTCCCGTTCTGTAGATTTTCTGTTGATAGTTTATTTTTCTGTGCAGAAGCTCTTAAGTTTAATTAGATCCCTTTTGTCAAGTTTTGCTTTCGTTGCAATCGCTTTTGGTTTCTTTGTCATGAAATCTTTGCTGTGTCCAGGATGGCATTGCCGAGGTTGTCTTCCAGGGTTTTTATGGTTTTGGGTTTTACATTTAAGTTTTTAATCCATCTTGAATTGATTTTTGTGTACGATGTAAGGAAGGGGTTCAGCTTCAATCTTCTATATATGGCTAGCCAGTTATCCCAGCACCATTTATTGAATAGGGAGTCTTTTCCTCATTGCTTTTGTCAGCTTTGTCAAAGATCAGTTGGTCATAGATATGAGGCCTTATTTCTGGGCTCTCTATTCGGTTCCATTGGTCTATATGCCTGTTTTTATACAAGTACCATGCTGTTTTGGTCACTGTAGCCTTGTAGTATAGTTTCAAGTTGGGTAATGTGATTTCTCTGGCTTTTTTCTTTTTGCTTAGGATTGTCTTGGCTATTTGGGCCCTCTTTTTGGTTCCATATAAAATTTAAAATAATTTTTTTAGTTCTTTGAAGAATGTCATTGGTAGTTTGATAGGAATAGCATTTAATCTGTAAATTGCTTTGGGTAGTGTAACCATTTTAATGATATTGATTCTTCCTGTCCATGAGCATGGGGTGTTTTTTCATTTGTTTGTGTCTGATTTCTTTGAGCAGTGTTTTGTAATTCTCATTGTAGAGATCTTTCACCTCCTTGGTTAGCTGTTTCCTAGGTACTTTGTTTATTTTTTTGTGACAGTTGTGAATGGGATTGCCTTTCTGATTTAGCCCTTCATTTTGTTGGTGGTGGTGTATAGGAAAGCTAGTGATTTTTGTACATTGATTTTGTATCCTGCAACTTTGCTGAAGTTGTTTATCAGCTGAAGGAGCTTTGGGGCCGAGACTATGGGGTTTTCTAGATATGGAATCATGTCGTCTGCAAACAGATAGTTTGACTTCCTCTCATACTATTTGAATGCCCTTTCTTTCTTTTTCTTGCCTGATTGCTCTGGCCAGGACTTCCAATACTATGTTGAATAGAAGTGGTGAGAGTTGTGCTGATTTTCAAGGGGAGCACTTCCAGCTTTTGCCCAGTTAGTATAATGTTGGCTGTGGGTTTGTCATAGATGGCTCATACTATTTTGAGGTCTGTTTCTTCAACACCTAGTTTATTGAGAGTTTTTAACATGAAGGGATGTTGAGTTTTATCGAAATCCTTTTCTGCATCTATTGAGATAATGTGGTTTTTTTCTTTAGTTCTATTTATGTGATGAATCACATTTATTGATTTGCGTATGTTGAACCAACCTTGCATCCCAGGGATGAAGCCTACTTGATCATGGTGGATAAGCTTTTTGATGTGCTGCTGGATTCAGTTTGCCAGTATTTTGCTGAGGATTTTGCACTGATGTTCATCGAGGATATTGGCCTGAAATTTTCTTTTTTTGTTGTGTCTCTGCCAGGTTTTGGTAGCAGGATGATGTTGGCCTCATGGAATGAGTTAGGGAGGACTCCCTCCTTTTCAGTTTTTTTGAAATAGTTTCAGTAGAAATGGTACCAGCTCTTCTTTGTACCTCTGATAGAATTCAGCTGTGAATCTGTCTGGTCCTGGGTTTTTTTTTGATTGGTAGACTACTTATTGCTACCTCAACTTCAGAGCTCGTTATTCGTCTTTTTAGGGATTCAGTTTCTTCCTGGTTCATTCTGGGGAGAGTATATGTGTTCAGGAATTTATCCATTTCTTATAGAGTTTTTAGTTTATATGCATAGAGGTATTTGTAATATTCTCTGATGGTCATTTGTATTTCTGTGGGGTCAGTGGTAATATCTCATTATTTCTGATTGTGTTTATTTGAATCTTTTTTCTTTTTTATTCTAGCTAGCAGTCTATTTTATTAATTTTTTCAAAAAACCAGCTTCTGGATTCATCGATCTTTTGAATGAGTTTTATGTCTATATCCTTCAGTTCAGCTCTGATTTTGGTGATTTCTTGACTTCTGCTAGCTTTGTGATTTGTTTGCCCTTGGTTCTCTATTTCTTTTAGTTGTTAGGTTGTTAACTTGAGATCTTTCTAACTTTTTGATGTGGGCATTTTAGTGCTATAAATTTCCCTCTTAACACTGCCTTAGCTGTGTCCTAGAGATCTGGTACATTGTATCTTTGTTCTCATTAGTTTCAAAGAACTTCTTGATTTCTGCCTTAATTTCATTATTTACCCAAAAGTTATTCAGGAGCAAGGTATTTAATTTCCATGTAATTGTATGGTTTTGAGTGAATTTCTTAGTCTTGGGTTCTAATTTGATTGTGCTGTGGTCCGAGAGACTGTTTGCTATGATTTCAGTTTAGCATTTGCTGAGGAGTGTTTTACTTCTGATTATGTGACCGATTTTAGAGTCAGTACCATGTAGCATTGAGAAAAATGCATATTCTGTTGTTTTGGGATGGAGAGTTCTGTAGATACTTATCAGGTCCATTTGATCCAGAGCTGAGTTCAGGTCCTGAATTTCTTTGTTAATTTTTCATCTCAGTGATCTATCTAATATTGTCAGTGGGGTGTTAAAGTCTCCCAATATTATTGTGTGAGGGTCTAAGTCTCTTTAAAGGTCTCCAAAAACTTGCTTTATGAATCTGGGTGCTCCTGTGTTGGGTGCATATATATTTAGGATAATTAGCTCTTCTTGTTGAATTGAACCCCTTAACATTATGTAAAGCCCTTTATCTTTTTTGATCTTGATGATTTAAAGTCTGTTGGAAACTTAAGATTGTAACTCCTTTTCTTTTCTGTTTTCTATTTGCCTGGTAAATTTTCCTCCATCCCTTTATTTTGAGCCTATGTGAGTCATTGCATGTGAGATGAGTCTCTTGCAGACAGCATACCAATGGGTCCTGGTTCTTTATCCAGCTTGCCACACTGTGTCTTTTAATTGAGGCATTTAGCCCATTTACTTTTTTTTTTATTTTTGAGACGGAGTCTCACTGTGTTGTCCAGGTTGGAGTGCCATGGCACGATCTTGGGTCACTGCAACCTCTGCTTCCCGAGTTCAAGTAATTCTCCTGCCTCAGCCTCCCTAAATAGCTGGGACTACAGGTCTGTGCCACCACGCCCAGCTAATTTTTATATTTTTAGTAGAGATGGGGTTTTACCATGTTGGCCAGGCTGGTCTCAAATTCCTGACCTCAAGTGATCCGCCTGCCTCAGCTTCCCAAAGTTTTTGGATTACAAGTGTGAGCCACCATGCCCAGCCTACCCCATTTACATTTAAGGTTAGTATTGTTATGTGTGGATTCGATCCTGTCATCATGATGCTACCTGGTTATTTTGCAGACTTGTTTATGTGGTTGCTTCGTAGTGTCACTGGTCTGTGTACTTCAGTGTGTTTTTGTAGTGGCTGGTAGTGGTTTTTCCTTTTCATATTTAGTGCTTCCTTCAGGAGCTCCTGCAAGGACCTCCTGCAAGGCATGTTGGGTGCTAACGAAGTCCCTTAGCATTTACTTTTCTGAAAAGGATCTTATTTCTCCTTTGCTTATGAAGCTTAGTTTGGTTGGATATGAAATTCTAGGTTGGAATTAGTTTTCTTTAAGATGTTAAATATTGGCCTCAAATCTCTTCTGGCTTGCAGGGTTTCCATTGAGAGGTCTACTGCTAGTGTGATGGGCTTCCCTTTGTAGACTACCTGGCCTTTCTCTCTGGCTGCCTTTAACATTTTTTCTGTCATTTCAACCTTAGAAAATCTGATGATTATGTGTCTTGGAGATGATCTTCTCGTGAGGTATCTTACTGGGGTTCTCTGCATTTCCTGTCTGCATTTCCTGAATTTGAGTGTTGGTCTGTCTAGTAAGGTTGGGAAAGTTCTCAAGGATGATATCCTGAAATATGTTTTCCAAATTGGTTCCCTTCTCCCTAGCTCTTTCGGGTACACCAGTCAGTCATAGATTTGGTCTTTTTATATAATCCCATATTTCTCAGAGGTTTTGTTCATTACTTTTTACTTTTTTTTCTCTATTTTTGTCTGCTTGTCTTATTTCAGAAACATAGTCTTCAAGCTCTAAAATTGTTTCCTCCACTTGGTCTCTTCTGCTATTAATACTTGCAATTGTATTATTAAATTCTTGTATTGTGTTTTTCAGCTGTATCAGGTTGGTCGTGTTCTTCCCTATCTTGGATATTTTGTTTGTCAGCTCCTGCAATGTTCTATTATGGTTTTTAGCTTCCTTGCACTGAGTTAGAATGTGCTCCTTTAGCTCAGTGGAGTTCATTTTTATCCACGTGGTGAGGTCTGTTTCTGTTGTTTCAGCCATGTCAGCCTCAGCCACAGTCCGAACCCTTGCTGGAGCAGCGATGTTGTCATTTGGAGGAGAGAGGCCCCTCTGGCTTTTTGAGTTTTCTGTGTTTTTGTGCTAATTCTTTCTTATCTTTGTGGGCATACTACCTAAATCTTTGAGGTTGCTGACCTGTGGATGGGATTTTTGGTTTTTGTTGTTTTGTTTTTTAAGAGTCTGGCCACTTTTTTGTAGGGCTGCTGTGGTTTGCTAGGTATCCACTCCAGTCCGTAGTTGCCTCAGATTTTCCAATACCTGGAGGTATCACCAGCGAAGGCTGTGAAACAGCAAAGATGGCAGCCTGCCCCTTCCTCTGGGAGCTCCATCCCAGGGAGGGTACAGACTTGTTGCTGACTTGAATGCACCTGTAGGAGGTAGCTGGAGACCCTGGTTGGGAGGTCTCGCCCAGCCAGGAGGAACGGGATCAGGGACCTGCTTAAAGAAGCAGTCTAGCCTCACTTTCATAGAGCAGCCATGCTGTGCTGGGGTACCGTTTCTGCGACCTGTTGGGTTGGGCTCTCCAAAGCCTGGAGGCTGGAACGGCTAAGTTGCTAAAACAGCAAAGATGGCAGCCTGCCCCTACGCCGGGAACTTTGTTCCAGGAAGTTTTCAAACTTCTGTCAGGCAGAGAACAATGGTGGGAGTGGCTTGAGGCCCCTGTTGGTAAGTCCCACCCAGTGAAGAGGAACAGATGGGGGACCCACTTAAGGAACATCACACACCGGGGCCTACTGTGGGGTAGGGGGAGGGGGGAGGGATAGCATTAGGAGATATATCTAATGTTAAATGATGAGTTAATGGGTGCAGCACACCAACATGGCACATGTATACATATGTAACAAAGCTGCACGTTGTGCACATGTACCCTAAAACTTAAAGTATAATTAAAAAAAAAAAAAAAAAAAAAAAAAGAAGCAGTCTGGTCATGCTTTTGTAGAATAGCTGTGCTGTGCCGGGATACTGCTTCCATCCCTAAATGGTTCGGACTCCCCTAAGCCCACAGGCTGGAACCAGTTTACCAGTTTTAAATGTTTTTTTGAGGTCATATGTGTTTGATATTTTCCCTTTGTAAAATTTAAGAGTATATATCTGGATGTGTAACAATCTTTTCCCCGTATAAGCATCACTCATTTAATAGAATTTAGAAGATGAATTTATGAATTAAATAACAAACTGACTTTAATTTTTTCTTATCTTCATGGAATTTGAGAAACTTGACATTTCACATAGATTGCCAGAGACTACCAAACCCCTTTTACTGTGTAGGTTATAAACTAAAATGAATGTGGGAAAATGTTTTAAAATGTACTAACAACTATTAGTGAGAGCCCTTGTCCTAGTAAACAGACCCTTGTACTTGGACTATAATTGTCACAAAGGCCCAGTTTTATCATTTGCCTATCTTCATCAGGATGTTCATTAGGTGTGTGTGAGTTGCAGGACCTAATTAGAGCTGAGTTTCCTTAGCTATGCTAGAATTGAATATTTCAGTCTATGGCTTTATGGGCTGCTATTGCTATGCAAGGATACCTTTAACAAACGGGTCAGATATACTTAGGGGGGAATGTTAGTAAATAGAACAGTAATTATAATTATGGAGAAAGTGCAAAAAGAGTTAAATTACTGACCATGGTTTCAAATTTAGAAACATTAAGTTGAACTGGAGCCAAATTACTAAAATATTAGAGATTTCTTTTGAATAACGGGAATATTTTAAGTTATCTGTTAGACTACCAGATTGTCTAATGAACCTATCATTTTCAGCATCTTACGAATAACTTTAGTGCTTTATAATATGAATTATTTTTAGTGTTTTACACTACTGAGATCTTGAAAAAATATCATTACTTTTATTAGAACTTTGAGGTTCTAATAAAACTTCTAATAAAACTTTCTAATAAAACCTTTAAAAAATTTGTTACATTCTAAGTGTGATTGTACTGCATATGGAGATAAACAGTTTTATAATGGAACATATGCCTTTTTTTAAATAATGAAGTTTAATAGGAAAATGACAAAGATTTTATGCCAGACTTTTTAGGAATCATTATTTAAATCTAAGTTTTTAGTTCTTTGAAGGTCCTTTGTAGTATGTACTTCTCTTCCCAATATTATGAATCCAGACTTAGCTCTAACTTTACACACTGTAAATTTGATTGCCATTTGATATAACTTTTCATTGCCCCTCAACTATGGTGGATTTATTATGCCTTTTTTTAACTCACGCTGTTTTCTGAAATGCCTTTATTACTGTTCCTACCTATGGTTTTTGTTTTTTTAGGCCCTGGTTAATTCCTGTTTATTCCGTGAAGCCTTCAGTCCACACTACCTTCTCCCTTTCTGCAAATGAATCACATTTATTATTTATGGCAAATGTTTTAATATTTGATCTTATTTGTCTTATATTGTTTCTTATCTGTATTATATGACAACATACCTAAATTCCTGGTTATACTGAATGTCTTGGTAGCAGGTGTCTTGATTAATATACTTTACAGTGATGAGCTCAGTGTTTAAGACAGTAGGTTCTTAAAAGTACTTATGCTGTTGCGTTGAGTTGAACTGAAATAAGTTGGGGATATTTCTTAACATAAATTATGCCCCATAATATGGCATGTGTGCTTTTTGAAAGTGGTTCTAACAATTATGTATATTTTTCATTGTCTTTTTGAAAACATTCCAGTTGCTGAATCATGCTTATTTATTGAAGGACTATTTTGAGCCATGCCGTAGGAAAGATATATTAGGATTATACTATCAACATTGGTAAAAAGTTAATTTTTGGCCGGGCATGGTGGCTCACACCTGTAATCCCAGCACTTTGGGAGGCCAAGGTGAGTGGATCACCTGAGGTCAGGAGTTTGAGACCAGCCTGGCCAACATGGTGAAATCCTGTCTCTACTAAAAAAAATACAAAATTTAGCTGGGTTTGGTGGTGGGCGCCTGTAATCCCAGCTACTCAGGAGGCTGAGACAGGAGAATCACTTGAACCTGGGAGGTGAATGTTGCAGTGAGCTGAGATCGTGCCATTGTACTCCAGGCTGGGCGACAAGAGCGAAACTCCGTCTCAAAAAAAAAAAAAAAACAGTTAATTTTTGTGGTACAGTAGACTTTTTTGGAATAATGCATTTAGTGTTTGTGTATGCCTATATGTCTTTATATTTTATTATGTGAAAATTCTCTGGCTTCTTCTATTAATTTTGCTTCCCTCAAAATAACCCACTCATTCTGATTCATGTTAGCCTCTTGCTCTCCTTAAATGGTTGTAATTTTTCTCTGCCCTTTGATTGTAAGATTCCTTAGCACTAGGTCTGGCTTTTGAGGTCTTTTGAGCAGAACTCAGGTCTGACAGGTTAAGGGAGATCTAATTTTTTCCTAGTCTTGTAGGTTAGTGATCCCTACTGAGACAAGATGAGATGGAGTAAGAGAGACGTTTCTCCCCGTAGGACTATCTGGGTGAATGCTGAGTAAAGGTAGGTCAGTCTGCAACAAAGAGATTGAGAACAGTTCAGCCTACCAGCATAGTTTGGGACTGCCAGAGTAAGCAGGATTTACCATATGTAG